>NC_000001.11:180154283-180457314 GCF_000001405.40 Homo sapiens | reverse complement strand
AAATTATATGTAGCATGTAGCAGATGTGGCCCCTCTCTGCTTGCTAAGGTAATCTACCTTCACCAGGCAGTTGGACCCTTTTGAAGGTTCAGGTTTTACTGCCTGAGTAAATTTCTGTTCT
Source organism: Homo sapiens (assembly GCF_000001405.40). NCBI lineage: Eukaryota > Metazoa > Chordata > Mammalia > Primates > Hominidae > Homo > Homo sapiens. The sequence continues at coordinate 180,457,193 of NC_000001.11, read as the reverse complement.
CACCTTTGGCCCCGTGGATCTCTTGCCCCTACATGCTCTCCTTTAGGTACACTGGGCTTGTTTCAGTTTTTGATATGCCATACTGGGGAGAGGAAGCCAAGGGTATGTGTTTACATCTTCCTATTATTGTTTATAGGAAAAGTTTGCTGTTTCTACTGTCTTTCTACGGTTTCTAGGTTTGCAAGGCTTTTTAGTCAATATAGTTTTTTAAATACTTGTTATAGTGTGATGTTATAAAATATGTTTGTTTGTAAAGATGAATATTCTAGCAAATATTCTCTACCAAAAAATTTAAAAATAGCCAGGCATGGTGGCACACACCTGTAGTCCCAGCTACTTGGGAGGGTGAGGCAGGAGGATCACTTGAGCCCGGGAGGCTGAGGCTGAGGCTGCAGTGAGCCCTGATCATGCCACTGTACTCCAACCTGGGCAACAGAGAAAGACGGTGTTAAAAAAAAAAAAATTTTAAAGATCAACATTTAGTCACATTCATTGTGTGAATTTTTCTGATATTCTTCATAGCTAGTTGGAAAGTATAGGTGGAAATACCTTTCAGAATTGCATGTTTGTTGTTGCTGTTTCATGATGTATCAGTCTCTCATCAAAGAAATGTTCTGTGTGCCTATAACTATCACGTTTACACTTTTCATGTGCTTTCTTAGGGTGGAATTCCTTGACCAATGGCAACCTAGGTGAAGTTTGCTATGGATCCTCTTTGAGCCGATCCTCAATAAAATACCAGAGCAATTACTGTACCCACATTAATGGTCTTCTAATCTCCAACCTTGCATGTAATTGCTACTGTCACATACAATTGCTGTCTGCCCAAGTTTCTTTCCCTGGGGACACTTGTGCCGTTCCTTGATATAGAGTTAGAAAATGAAAAGAGAGTTTTTGAAACTTTTTGAGGGTTTGGCTTTTAAATCTGTCTACTTTGAGAATTTAAAACTATAAAATTAAGTCACTTTTTTTTTTTTTTTTTGAAATGGTGTCTCGCTCTGTTGCCTAGGCTGTAGAGCAGTGGTGCAATCTTGGCTCACTGCAACCTCCGCCTCCTAGGTTCATGTGATTCCCCTGCCTCAGCCTCCCGAGTAGCTGGGACTATAGGCATGTGTCACCACGTCCAGTTAATTTTTTGTATTTTTAGTAGGGACAGGATTTCACCATGTTGGCCCGGCTGGTCTCGAACTCCTGACCTCAGGTGATCCGCCCGCCTTGGCCTCACCTTTTTTACTTTTGTAGGACTGACTCGAATAAGTCTGACAATAATAAAAGATGATAAAAAAGATTTCAAGGTTCATTGATTGTAATTATATTTCTGAAGAATTAATTATGAATACATTTCCTTTATGGATTAGGACCATATTGGCCACAGTTCAAAAAATGTAATTCTAAGATGGTGGTATTTTTTAAAAAGTGTATATAAAAAGTGCATAATCTAGAATTAATTCAATTTTATGGTTGTGGTAATAGGACAAGATCATAATCTAGTGGCTCTAGATTGGGGATTACCTATTAAAGTAATGCCTTCTTTACCCCAGATTTGGAGAATGAATTCTACAGAGTGAATTTTTCAGCAAATCAAACCTACCTTTTCAAGTATCTGAACTTTTTTTCACTTTTAGGTAGTCTTTGTAAAGTGATAATAAGTTTCCTAGTTTCTTTTTTTTTAAATTATACTTTAAGTTCTGGGATACATGTGCAGAACGTGCAGGTTTGTTACATACATATACATGTGCCATGATGATTTGCTGCACCCATCAACCCATCATCAACATTAGATATTTCTTCTAATGCTATCCCTCCCCCTGTCCCCCAACCCCCGATAGGCCCTGGTGTGTGATGTTCCCCTCCCCGTGTCCATGTGTTTTCATTGTTCACCTCCCACTTATGAATGAGAATATGTGGTGTTTGGTTTTCTGTTCCTGTGTTAGTTTGCTGAGAATGATGGTTTCCAGCTTCATCCATGTCCCTGTAAAGGACATGAACTCATCCTTTTTTTATGGCTGCATAATATTCCATGGTGTATATGTGCCACATTTTCTTAATCCAGTCTATCACTGATGGGCATTTGAGTTGGTTCCAAGTCTTTGCTATTGTGAATAGTGCCTCAGTAAACATACGTGTGCATGTGTCTTTATAGCAGCATGATTTATACTCCTTTGGGTATATACCCAGTAATGGGATGGCTGGGTCAAATGGTATTTCTAGTTCTAGATCCCTGAGGAATCGCCACACTGACTTCCACAATGGTTGAACTAGTTTACAGTCCCACCAACAGTGTAAAAGTGTTCCTATTTCTCCACATCCTCTCCAGTACCTGTAGTTTCCTGACTTTTTAATGATCACCATTCTAACTGGTGTGAGATGGTATCTCATTGTGGTTTTGATTTGCATTTCTCTAATGACCAGTGATGATGAGCTTTTTTTCATATGTTTGTTGGCTGCGTAAATGTCTTCTTTTGAGAAGTGTCTATTGATATCCTTTGCCCACTTTTTGATGGGGTTTTTTTTCTTGTAAATTTGTTTAAGTTCCTTGTAGATTCCAGCTATTAGCCCTTTGTCAGATGGATAGATTGCAAAAATTTTCTCCCATTTTGTAGACTGCCTCTTCACTCTGATGATAGTTTCTTTTGCTGTGCAGAAGCTCTTTAGTTTAATTAGATCCCACTTGTCAATTTTGGCTTTTGTTGCCATTGCTTTTGGTGTTTTAGTCATAAAGTCTTTGCCCATGCCTATGTCCTGAATGGTATTGGCTAGGTTTTCTTCTAGGGTTTTTATAGTTTTAGGTCTTACATTTAAGTCTTTAATCCGTCTTGAGTTAATTTTTGTATAAGGTGTAAGGAAGGGGTCCAATTTCAGTTTTCTGCATATGGCTAGCCAGTTTTCCCAATACCATTTATTAAATAGGGAATCCTTTCCCCATTGCTTGTTTTTGTCAGGTTTGTCAAAGATCAGATGGTTGTAGATACGTGGTGTTATTTCTGAGGCGTCTGTTCTGTTTCATTGGTCTGTCTCTCTGTTTTGGTACCAGTACCATGCTGTTTTCATTACTGTAGCCTTGTAGTATAGTTTGAAGTCAGGTAGCGTGATGCCTCCAGCTTTGTTCTTTTTGCTTAGGATTGTCTTGTCTATATGGGCTCTTTTTTGGTTCCATATGAAATTTAAGGTAGTTTTTTCTAATTCTTTGAAGAAAGTCAATGGTAGCTTGATGGGGATAGCATTGAATCTATAAATTACTTTTCATGACATTGATTCTTCCTATCCACGTGCATGGAATGTTTTTCCATTTGTTTATGTCCTCTCTTATTTCCTTGAGCAGTGGTTTGTAGTTCTCTTTGAAGAGGTCCTTCACATCCCTTGTAAGTTATATTCCTAGGAATTTCTTTGTAGCAGTTTTGAATGGAATTTCACTCATGATTTGGCTCTCTGTTTGTCTATTATTGGTTTATAGGAATGCTTGTGATTTTTGCACATTGATTTTGTATCCTGAGACTTTGCTGAAGTTGCTTATCAGCTTTAGGAGATTTTGGGCTATGACAATGGGGTTTTCTAAATATACAATCATGCCATCTGTAAACAGAGACAATTTGACTTCCTCTCTTCCTATTTGAATACCCTTTATTTCTTTCTCTTGCCTGATTGCCCTGGCCAGAACTTCCACTACTATGTTGAATAGGAGTGGTGAGAGAGGGCATCCTTGTCTTCCACCAGTTTTCAAAGGGAATGCTTCTAGCTTTTGCCCATTCAATATGATATTGGCTGTGGGTTTGTAATAAATAGCTCTTATTATTTTGAGATACATTCCATCAATACCTAGTTTATTGAGAGTTTTTAGCATCGAAAGCCTTTTCTGCATCTATTGAGATAATCATGTGGTTTTTGTCATTGGTTCTGTTTATGTGATGGATTATATTTATTGATTTGCATATGTTGAACCAGCCTTGCATCCCAGAGATGAAGCCAACTTGATCGTGGTGGATAAGCTTTTTGATGTGCTGCTGGATTCGATTTGCTAGTATTTTATTGAAGATTTTTGCATCGATGTTCATCAGGGATACTGGCCTGAAATTTTCTTTTTCTGTTGTGTCTCTGCCGGGTTTTGATATCAGGTTGATGCTGGCCTCATAAAATGAGTTAGGGAGGTTTACCTCTTTTTCTCTTGTTTGGAGTAGTTTCAGAAGGAGTGGTATGAGCTCCTCTTTGTACCTCTGGTAGATTTCGTCAGCTGTGAATCCGTCTGGTTCTGGCCTTTTTTGGTTGGTAGGCTATTAATTACTGCCTCAATTTCAGAACTTGTTATTGGTCTATTCAGGGATTCGACTTCTTCCTGATTTAGTCTTGGGAGGGTGCATGCGTCCAGGAATTTATCCATTTCTTCTAGATATTCTAGTTTATTTGCGTAGAGGTGTTTATAGTATTCTCTGATAGTAGCTTGTATTTCTGTAGGATCAGTGGTGATATCCCCTTTATCATTTTTTGTTGTGTCTATTGAATCTTCTCTCTTTTCTTCTTTATTAGTCTTGCTAGCAGTCTACTTTGTTAATCTTTTCAAAAAATCAGCTCCTGTATTCATTTATTTTTTGAAGGATTTTTCATGTCTCTATCTCCTTCAGTTCTGCTCTGATCTTAGTTATTTCTTGTCTTCTGCTAGCTTTTGAATTAGTTTGCTCTTGCTTCTCTAGTTGGTTTTATTATTATTATTATTATTATTTAATTTTTTGAGATGGAGTCTCACTCTGTTGCCCAGGCTGGAGTACAGTGGCATGATCTCGGCTCACCACAACCTTCGCCTCCTAGGTTTCAAGTGATTCTCCTGCCTCAGCCTCCCGAGTAGCTGGGACTACTGGCACGTGCCACCATGCCCAGGTAATTTTTGTATTTTTAGTAGAGATGAGGTTTCACTATATTGGCCAGGCTGGTCTCAATCTCTTGACCTCGTGATCTGCCCACGTCAGCCTCCCAAAGTGCTGGGATTACAGGTCTGAGCCACCCACATAGTTGTTTTAATTGTGATGTTAGGGTGTCGATTTTAGATCTTACCCGCTTTCTCCTGTGGGCATTTAGTGCTATAAATTTCCCTCTAAACACTGCTTTAGCTGTGTCCCAGAGATTTTGGTACGTTGTGTCTTTGTTCTCACTGTTTTCAAAGAACTTGTTTATTTCTGCCTTAATTTCATTATTTACCCATTAGTCATTCAGGAGCAGGTTGTTCAGATAGAAATGACCCCTGAAAGTATAGTCTTTCCTAGTTTTTTTAAATGTAGTTTACTGAACACATTTTTTCATTTTTCTCTGCTTTTTAAATTGAGACATTAAAATTCACCCACTGTGTTCTCCCATTTAAGTGTACAATTCAGTGGTTTTTAGCATATTCATGAAGTTGTACAACCATCATTACAATTCATCTTAGAACATTTTCATCCCCTCAAAAAGAAACTCCATACCCTTTAGCTCTTAGTTTCAGTCTCCTCATTTCCCTCAGCCCTAAGCAACCATTAATCTAGTTTTTGTTTCTATAGATTTGCCTATTCTGGTTTCAAATGGGGAATATCACATGTAGTCTTTTATGACTGACTTTTTTTATTAGTATGTTTTCAGGGTGTTCTTTCACATTGTAGCATGTATCAATACTTCATTCCTTTTTATGGATGAGTAGTATTCTATTGTATGGATATGCCACATTTTGTTTATCCATTCATCTTTTTTTGGACATTTGGGTTCTTTCCACCTTTTGGCTATTTTGAATAATGTTGCTGTGAACATTTGTGTGCAAGTTTTTGTGTGTACATATATCTTTATTTCTAATGGATATATATCCAGGAGTGGAATTGCTGGATCGAATGGTAATTCTGTGTTTAACTTTGAAGAACCATTGGACTGTCTTCTAAAATGGCTACAACATTTTATAGTCCTGTCAACAGTGTATGAGGGTTCTGATTTATTTTCTGCCTTTTTGATTGTAGCCATCCTAGTGGGTCTGAAATGGTATCTTGTTGTGATTTCAATTTGCATTTCCCTGATGACTGATGATATTGACCACCTTTTAATGTACACATTGGCCATTTGTATATCTTTTTTAAGTTACATTTCCCTTTCTTGTTGTAAGCTTGTAATCTCATTATTAGAATGAATTTATTGGTTATTTAGACTAATTTTCTGTCTCCAGATTATTCTAGCATACAGTCTTTTAGCTTCTATTGGAAGACTCTTAATGAAGGGAAATTTACTATTTGTGAAGAAATTGGCCCAATTTTTGAAGAACTCCAGTTGTTAGAAGCTTCTTTTTATATTAAGCCAAAATTTATTTCACTGTTTTGGTATCGTTATTGTTTTCTACTCTGTTATATTTTTGCTTTTTAGGCCCACATAGACGATGTTCAGTTTTTTATATGAGTCTTTCAGAAGTTTTTTTTTGTTTGTTTGTTTTGTTTTTTTGACAGAGTCTCACTGTCGCCCAGGCTGGAGTGCAGTGGCGCAATCTCGGCTCACTGCAAGTTCCACCTCCTGGTTTCACGCCATTCTTCTGCCTCAGCCTCCCGAATAGCTGGGACTACAGGCGCCTGCCACCACGCCTGGCTAATTTTTTTGTATTTTTTAGTAGAGACGGAGTTTCACTGTGTTAGCCAGGATGGTCTCGATCTCCTGACCTCGTGATCCACCTGCCTGGGCCTCCCAAAGTGCTGGGATTACAGGCATGGGCCACTGCACCCGGCCGAGTCTTTCAGAAGTTTTAAGGCAGCTTTTAAGTCTCCTCATCTCCAGACCAAATATTTCTGATTTCTAAAATTGTTCTTCATCTTCTTCACCATCAAGTCCCACTACCTTCCCAGTCATTCTTGTGTGAACAAATTTCAGTTTCTCAACACCTCTTTTAGAGTATGGCCTTTGGAATTGAACAGACTGTTTTAGGCATAGTGTGACCACTACAGAATAGAACTTTTCTCTCTTTAGAACACTATACTTGCACTGATTGTGGCTTAAAATTACCTTAACACTTCTTGCAACCACATTACAATGTTAATTATTCTTTAACTTTCAGTAAACTAAAATCCTGTCTTTTTTTATACATTCTGTTATGCAATGTCTGTTGTGTACTAAGTTCAATACTTTATGTGTACCCGTATTAAATTTCATTTTATTTTATTCAACATCTTATTCCCACATTGAAGATTTTTGGGGTGGGGGGGTCCTGAATGTGACATCTAGTGTGTCAACTGTCTTTCATTGACCCTGTCATCCGGAAATTAGATTAGCATGCTTTTTTTTTTAAGTTTTTTTTTTTTTAATTTAAGTTCTAGGGTACATGTGCACAATGTGCAGGTTTGTTACATAGGTGAACATGTGTCATGTTGGTTTGCTGTACCCATTAACTTGTCATTTGCATTAGGTGTTTCTCTTAATGCTATCCCTCCCCCTGTCCCCACCCTACAACAGGCCCCGGTGTGTGATGTTCCCCACCCTGTGTCCAAGTGTTATCATTGTTCAATTCCCACCTATGAGTGAGAACATGCGGTGTTTGGTTTGGGAGGCCGAGGAGGGCAGATCACTTGAGGTCAGGAGTTCAAGACCAGCCTGGCCAACATGGTGAAACCTTGTCGCTACTGAAAATACAAAAACTAGCCGGGTGTGGTGGCGGGCACCTGTAATCCCAGCTACTCAGGAGGCTGAGGCAGGAGAATCACTTGAACCTGTGGTGGAGGTTACAGTGAGCTGAGATCACACCACTGAACTCCAGCCTGGGTGACAGAGTGAGACTCTGTCTCAAAAAAAAAAAAAAAAAGTGCGAGTTGTAGGTCAGTGATATGTTGCTCCGTTTTGTATCCATATGGGTTGCTTGCACATTTAGTTTATGGAATGTAGATAATGAATCATAGCTTCAAGAAAGTCTAAGAAATAAGATTTTGAGAATTCTGCTTTAGAAGTTGGGATTCACAATTTCGGAAACTATTAAAATGTTGAAATAGTATTCATACTTTGGTAAGCTACAAATAACTGATGTTCACTGAACTTGTGTTGTCAGTCTCTAAATCTCTCTTTCATGAAATCATGCAACTAAGATAGTTGCATGGAGACAAAAATAATGGAAAAGAGAATGGAATGGAAACATACCAACTTTAGCAATACTAATCTATTTATTTGTGTATTCCTATTCATGTGTTACATTAAAAATTATTTATGGTATTTTAATTCTGGGAAGATGGTAGTGGCTGTAGCATAGTTTTTGAATAGTCCTCCTTCCTTAACAGAATAACTAGGATAGCATAATCAAAAGCTCTTGAGCAATATCTGTAACAAAATTAGTTGATTAGAGAAAATAGGGACAAACCACCAACAGCTACCAGATTTATATTTTAAAAAAAATGAAAGAAAACAGATTTGTGTGGCATTGGCATCTCTTTAGAAGGAAGCAGAAGGAAGCAGTAGAGTACCTATGAGTACCTTACTATCTTGAGAATGGCAGATTTCTAAAATAGCCAACAGGTAAAGCTAAAAGGGGTTTTTATGCACTTCAATTCATGGCTGAGTACAAGAGGTTCATGGTAACGTTCTCTAGAGCTGCCTGGGCTCTAAGCTTCTAAAATTAACTAGCCAAAACTTTCTTCCAGTATAAAGCTTCATACTAAGAGCAATCTACTAGGAATTTAATCAAAATCAAGTAGGACAACAAGGACAATAAAGACAAAAGGAAAAAGAAGAACCAGAGGGGGCAAGAGCTAAGTATCCTAGGGGCCAAAATTTTTACCACTTCATGAAAACAATAGAAAAGGGAGATAGAGATCTAAAAATCTATCCTGACCTATGTTTCTGTCTTAAAAATTTAAGAACATTAAATTTAGGTAAAGATGACCAACAAAAAAGATTGTTGTTGAATCTCATACCAAGTTGCAATAGTTAAGGATTGTATCTTTTTCTTATAATATCCAGAAGTTATATTATTGGTGAAAATAATTAATATGTGCTTAATATTTGTATGGGTCTTGGTAGGATTGCCATATACTTTCCAAAAGACTAATACCATTTTACAAGGCCATTAGGGCCATTAGCTTATTAGTACCTGTTTCACTGTAATTTTACTGCCTTATTTATTCTAATGTAGCTAGTTAAAAATTCATTGTTCATTGTTGCTTTAATTTGCATTTTGCAAATTATTAAGGGATGTTAAGCATTTTCCCAAGTATTGGTGTATGTGAGTAGAACCCTAAACCCGTGGGTAACTTCAAGTATCTAACTGTTGCCTACTTATAATCATGGTCTGTTTATCCATTGGGTCTTAATGATTTTTTTTTTTGTACACATGAGATCATTTGGATACATTATAGAAATATTAACCATTTGTTTTGCTTGCTTAAAATACAGTTTCTTCTTTTCCTGTTTATTTTTGAGACGTTATTACAGAAATGCTGGTTTAAATATTTGAATCTTTTGATGTTTTATGATTTCCTTTGGTGTTTAAAATCCAAAAAAAGTTATAATTTCTGAACAGCTATGATAAATACTATATTCAAGATAATTTTCTAAAGAAAATCTAAATTTTGATCAGTGTTATATTTCTAGAAAATTAGTCATAATAACCTGAAGGTAGTTTTCCATGATAGCCATTTTAAAACAGTGTTAAATTGAGTAAAAATACTAACAAATACAAATGACTTACATATTGCGCCTTAGTTTTAAAGTGTGCTGGAACCAAGACAATTGACAAAAGCCAAGAAATCGACAAGAGTAATATAATATTTATTCTTAAATTCTATTGTGGGGTGGTAGAAAGCAATTTACCATTTTTGGTTTGTTGTTACAAAGTGATGACATTTACTTGGTGGACTATAAGAGAATCTTCGGAGTTCTGTTGACCATATTAATTATATGTAAAAATTATCTCATATTTCTGTGGTGTAAAGTGTTTGGTTAAAAAAAAAGTGTTCTTCAGTCTTTTAATCTTTAAAAAATGTGTTAGCTAGTGTATGTAGTATATATACAAAAAATATTAGGAAAGGCTGAAATTTGGAGGATTGGATAAAATACTTGTTCATATCATTTCTGTTCTCATTGCTTTTATTTAAAATTATTTTCCAATGCTAATTTAAGCATTTATGCAACATTTCTAGAGAACTGACATTTTTATAAATGTCTGGGTTTTTTTGTTTGTTTGTTTTGGGACAGAGTCTCACTCTATCACCCAGGCTGGACTGTCGGGGGTTATCTCAGCTCACTACAACCTCTCCCTCCCGGGTTCAAGCAATACTCCTGCTTCAGCCTCCCAAGTAGCTGGGATTACAGATATGCACCACCATGCCCAGCTAATTTTTGTATTTTTAGTAGAGATGGGGTTTTACCATGTTGGCCAGGCTGGTCTCAAACTCCTAACCTCGGGTAATCCGCCTGCCTCTGCCTCCCAAAGTGCTAGGATTACAGGCATGAGACTGCACCTGGCTAAATGTCTGTTTTTTAAAGGTTGTAGGAGATGATTTTTTAAAATATTGCTGTGTGTTTGTAATTTTAAGAGAAACAGGTTAAAAACATACGTTTATGGAGTTCCCCTTTCTTGAAAAATTTTATAAATATTACTGTTATAAGTAGCAACCAACAATATTTTCATGGTAAAGTTTTCTTTTTAATGCTGTGACAAATGGTAGATGAGATGAAACCAATATTCTTACTTTTCTACTTGAAATGAATAGCTATTCATGTTTCAGGAAAAAATTTAGTATTTCAAAAGGATTATCAGAAAAGTGTTCCTCTTTTAAGGGTTTAGAATGATAGTATTAATCTAGCAACTAAATTATGCATAATTTATCAGAATAATTTTGCTTCAAAAATGTTTAAAGTTTTCTCTTTGAACTAATGGAGTACTTTATGTAAACATTTTAAAAGTACACTTAAGGCTGGGTGTGGTGGCTCACACCTGTAATCTCAGCACTTAGGGAGGCTGAGGTGGGTAGATCGCTTGAGCCCAGGAGTTAAAGACCAGCATGGGTGACATGGTAAAACCCTGTCTCTACCAAAAATACAAAAAAAAAAAAAAATTATCCCGGCGTGATGGTGCTTGCTTGTGGTCCCAGCTACTTGGGAGGCTGAGGTGGGAGGAGATCCCTTGAGCCTGGGAAGCAGAAGTTGAATGAGCCAAGATCACCCACTGTACTCCAGCCTGGGTGACAGAATGAGACCCCATCCCCCCCAAAAAAAAGTACACTTAAGAAACAGACAAAATTTTAATTTAGAATATTGTCAGTATGTAATAATGGTTTCCAAAATAGCTTGGAGAAGTAATATAATGTAATTTAATAGAACACAGGCTTTGGAATATCAAAGGATCTTGGTGTGAATCCCAATTCTGCCACTTCTGTGGCATTGGATACTTCACCTCTTTTCAGTTTTTGAATCTGTAAAATAAATATTTACTTATATTTCATCAAATCTTTTTTTTTTCTTTTGTAGAGACAGGGTCTCACCATGTTGTCTAGGCTGGTTTTGAACTCCTGAGCTCAAGTGATCCTCCTTCCTCAGCCTTTCAAAGTGCTGGAATTAAAGGCATGAGCCACTGCACCTGGCCAAATCTAAGGCAGACATTTATTCAGTTTTTAATATTTTTGAAATCTGTATGAGTCTTAGTGTATTATATTTAATTGGCTAGTTTTTCTTTCTGAACATTACAGAAAATAATGGTGCTTCTTATAATTGAGGATATCTTAGATTAAATAAAATACAGTGATAATGCCAGCTTTATAGACTCGTTTTGAAGTGGAAGTTGGATAGTATAAGCACATAGAAAATATTCCTTAAGTATTAGTTTTCTATCTCTTTTTCTTATAACGAAGTATGTTAGAGTTTTTATGATTGGTTTGTTTGGGGGATTTGTTGTTGTTTTATCAAGAGAATCAGGAGTTTAGAGCTATTAGGTAAAGACCATAGGTCAATATTTTAAGTCCCCACATCACAACATCTTGTATCTATATTGCTGAAACACTTTTGCGTTGGAGAAATGGCCATGTTTTGGGCAATAATAATTATTGTATTAGCTAACACTTACAAAATGGCCACTTTGCACTGGATACTGTTTTATTTATGTATAAATATAAATAGGTATGAAATAGGTACTATTATTCCCATTTTTACAAATGAGGAAACTGAGGCAAAGAAGTAGATTAATTTTCCCAGCATTCTACAGTTAGACTATAAATGAATTAAACAAAACAGTAAAACAAATCCAAAAAAGGTAGCACACAGAAGCAAGAAACCTCTTTGCATAGATTAGCTTGATAATCTTAGGAATAGAAGAAAAAGTTTCACAAGGCTTTAAATCTTGACTCTAAAACTGACTAAGGTGGAGTCTGAATCAAGTGATAAAGATTTAGCCAACAACTTATCCTTTCCCTTTTGAGTGAAGGAGCATTTTAGTTTCTCAACTAATAGAGTCTCAGGCAATGTAAGAACTGGCAAATTTTATCCTGTTCGCTGCCAAATTGGACTCTATTTAATTGCTGATGCAACATAAAAGTGACTTAATGGATTTTGAGTAGAGAGAAATGGAATAAACTTCTAAGCCTCTATGAAAGAAATTTCACTGGAGTGGATATCAAGAGGGTAAAGTAGCCAAAGTTTATCCACTCTGGTAGATGAAGTGTATAGAAAGGAAAACTAACGCATCTTTGGCATCTTTATTCTGGATTCAATCTGATAATGGCAGGTTATTTTTAAAATATTATTTCTGCCTAAGATATAATCTTTTTATTTCCCCACAAAACATTGTGACCATGTGTATTCTAACATGTGTATTTGTGCAGTTGCATTAGAAAGAGGAACTAATCCCAGGAAAGGGGAATGTATTTAGAATATACCATAATCAAATTATGGGGTCAGTTTTTTTTCTAAAGATTTTAATTAAAAGTACTTTCTTTTTTTTTTTTTTGGAGAGACGGAATCTCACTCTGTCGCCCAGACTGGAGTGCAGTGGCCTAAAAGTACTTTATTTCTTATTTTTAAAAATATTCATTATGTCTGTTTATGAGTGAAAAAATGAAAATAACCTAATATACAACTGTTAGATAATGGTTAAGTAAATTATATTACATTACTGCATGGAATATTATGCTGGGTTTAAAATTAATGTTTGTAGGACTTATGTTCCTGGGAATGGTGGAGTAATAGGGATGAGATTTACCCTTTTGCCAAAAACAAGAAGAAAACCAGATGCATGGCTAAAATTTCTGGATGAAACAGTAATTTTCAGACATTGTATTATAAGTAGTGTAAAGTTACAAAAGAAGGGAAATGGCCGGGCACGATGGCTCACACCTATAATCCCAGCACTTTGGGAGGCCAAGGCAGGCAGATCACGAGGTCAGGAGATCGAGACCATCCTGACTAACACAGTGAAACCCTGTCTCTACTAAAAATACAAAAAAAAAAAAAAAAATTAGCTGGGCGTGGTGGCGGGTGTCTGTAGTCCCAGCTACTTGGGAGGCTGAGGCGGGAGAATGGTGTCAACCCAGGAGGCGGAGCTTGCAGGGAGCCAAGATTGCACCACTGCACTCCAGCCTGGGCGACAGAGTGAGACTTCATCTAAAAACAAAACAAAACAAAAAAAACAAGCTGTGCCTTGCAGGTGCGTCCCATTTATTACCTGGCAGCATTTTCCAGGCTGCAAGGAGGGGGATCCCAAAATGGCCTGGCAGTCTTACCATTTTGAACTAGAATTTGCGGGGCTGAATACCAGAGAGGATGATCCTATATTGACAGTTCCAGAGGTCTGCAGAGGGGTCCCTTTGGCTGAATACTGATCTATGCATGTATAAGAGGAAACTATTAATAACAGGCCGGGGAAAGAAACATAAGAAAGCAGTAGGCCAATTTCTGGAGCTGACATAGGACTGAGAATATTTTGTTTCCTACCAGTCAGGAGTAGAATGAAAATGTAATATGTGGGGCATATGGTAGAGGCTTCAGAAGGGTTTCACTTCAGTAGCTGTGCTAAATTAAATGCTATATCAAAGGCTGCTTTGCCCTTGCCTTAACACTGCTTAAAATTGAGCCTCAAAAGGATCAGACTAATTCCAAGTAACTTAATGCATGCCAAAACAAAGTCCAACATAATTTAAAGGAACACAACAAAATCCAGCAAGCAAGAATGTAAAATTTATTACAATGCCTTGCTTACAATACAGGTCTTTAAAGCTTGCCAAAAAGGAAAAAAAAAAGTGGGGGCAGGAAAATATGACCCAGGAGAAAAACCTGTCAATAAAAGTACATGGTGGAAATGATAAAGATGATAAAATAACAGACAAGGACATGAAAACACTTACTTTACAAATATATACTATATATTCAAGAAAGTAGAGGAAAAAGTGAACATATGTAGAGAGATGGAAGATGCAAAAGTATCAAAATGGAACTTTTAGATAGGGAAAAATATAATATCTGAAGTAAAAAATAGACTGGATATGATTAACAGCAGATTAGACATTGCATAAGATCAGTGAACTTGAAGCTCGAAGATGGAGCAAGTGAAACTAATCAAAATGAAGCACAGAGCATAAAAAGACTGAACAAAAAAAGAACAGAACTTCAATGAGCTGTGGGAAAATACAAAGCAATGTAGCATTCATATAATTGGAGACCCAGAAAGGAGAAAAAAAGTGAGAGAAGACAGAAACAAAATTTAGTTAATAATGGCTGAAATTTCAAATAGTTCATAAACTATAAACCAGAGTTTTTCAATCTTTGCTCCATTGATATTCTGGGCCAGAAAATTCTTCTTTATGGAGGATATCCTGTACATTGTAGGACATTTAGCAGTGACTCTGTTCTCTATTCACTAGATGTCAATAGCACTGCGTAGTGTGACAGCTAAAAAATTGCCCCAGACATGCCAAATATCTGTGGATGGAGAGGGCAAAAAAAAAAGTGCCCCTAGTTGAGAGTCACTGCCATAAACCCATAGATCCAAGAAGCTCAATGAACCCCATGCGGAAGAAATGTAATGAAACCATACAATACATAACAAATTGTTGAAAGCCAGTGAAAAAGAGAAAAAAGCAGACAGAAAACATGATGAAGATAAACAAGGTAGAACTACAGCAGACTTCTTTTCAGAAATCTGAAGTCAATAGGTTGACAACAAAAGGAAAAGACGACCAACCTGTAATTCTATACTCAGTTAAGTTATAATAGCTTTCAAAAATGAAGGTAAACTTTACTTAACATAATGGGTATTTATGAAAAACCCAGAGGTAGATCAGGAATAAGACAAGGATGCTTGCTTTCACCACTCCTGTTCAACATTGTATACATAAATTCTAGCCAGAGCAATTAGACAAGAAAAATAAAGAAACAGCATCCAAATTGGAAAGGAGGAAATAAAAATGTTAATCGGTGACATGATCCTACACAGTATATAGAAAATCCAGAGAATCCACAAAGACACCGCTAGAGTTAGTATGTTAATTCAGCAAAGTTACAAGATATAAGATCATAAGATCAGCATGCAGAAATCATTGTGTTCTTTAGACCATCAGCGGATACTCTGAAATGGAAACAAACAAAAAAATTCCATTTACAATAGCCTTTAAAAGAATTAAAAACAAAAACCTGGGAATTTTAACCAAGGATGTGAAAGATTTTAGACTGAAAACTATATTGCCGAAAGAAATTAAAGAAGACCTAAGTTAATGGAAATTCATCTTGTGTTCATGGATTGGAAGATTTAATTTTATTTAGATGGCAGCGCTGTCCAAGTCAATCTGATTTATATGGAATTGCAAAGGGCCCCAAATAGTCAAAGTATTGAAAAAGAGCAAAACTAGTGGATTCAAACTTTGCAATTTCAAAATTTACTATAAAGCTACAGTAATTAAAACAGTATGGTACTGGTATAAGGATAGACATATGGAAAAGAATTGAGAGTGCAGAAATGAACTCTCAAGTTTATGGTCAGTTGATTTTCAACAGGGCCACTTCATACCCAGTAGGGTGTCCGCAATAAAAAAGATAATAACAAGTTTTGGCAGGGATGTAGAGACATTGGAACTGTCTTAGATTGCTGCTAAGACTGTACAATGGTGCAGCTGCCATAAAAGACAGTTTGGTGGTTCCTCAAAAAGTTAAAAATAGAATTACCAATTCTTTTGGGTATATACAGGAGTGGAATTGCTGGGTAATTTGGTACTCAAATACCTGTATACAAATGATCATAGCAGCAGTATTCACAATAGCCAAAAGTGCAAACAACCCAAATGTCCATTAACTGATGAGTGGATAAGCAAAATTTGGCATTGTTGTATACATATAATAGACTATTAATCATAAAAAGGAATGAAGAACCGATACATGCTATAATATAGATGAGCCTTGAAAACATTAAACCAAGTGAGAGGCCAGACATGAAAGATTACATAGTGTATGATTCAATTTATATGAAATATCCAGAATGGTTAAATCCATAGAGACAGAAAGCAGATTGGTGTTGCCAAGGTTTTGGGGGAGAGGGGAATGGGGAGTGACTGCTTAGTGGGTTCAAGGCTAAAGGTTTGGGGGAGAGGGGAATGGGGAGTGACTGCTTGGTGGGTTCAAGGCTAAAGGTTTGGGGGAGAGGGGAATGGGGAGTGACTGCTTAGTGGGTTCAAGGCTTTTTGGGGGGAATAACAAATATGTTGTGGAACTAGATGCAGTTGGTTGCACAATATTGTGAATGTATTAAATGTCATTCAATTGTACATGTTAAACTGGTTAATTTTATGTGAATCTCATGTCAATACAAAAAGAAGTAAACGTGAAATAAAGACTTTTCAAGGCTGGATCTGGTGGCTCATGCCTGTAATCCCAATACTTTGGGAGGCTGAGATGGGCAGATCACTTGAGGTCAGGAGTTCGAGACCAGGCTGAACAACACATTGCAACCCCATCTCTACTAAAAATGCAAAAATTAGTCGGGTGTCATGGTGGGCATCTGTAATCCCAGCTACTCTGGAGACTGAAGCAGGAGAATCACTTGAACCCAGGAGGCAGAGGTTGTAGTGAGCTGAGATTGCACCACTGCACTCCAGCCTGGGCCACAGAGTGAGACTTCATCTAAAAAATAAAAATAAATAAATAAAAACTTTTTCCAAATAAACAAAAGCAGGTAATTCATTGCCAACTGAACTGAACTATAGTAAATTTTAAAGGAACTTCACATGAAAGGAAAATTATATAAGATGGAAATTTGGACCTCCATAAAGGAATGAAGAGTCCTGGAAGTGCTAAATATATGGGTAAATTTAAAGACTTTTTTTAAATTTTAAAATCTCTTTAAAAGATCACTGAACTTCCAGTTTCAGCCTCAACATGTGAAGAACCTGCAAGTTATCACTCCTCTCCTTAACAATAACAGTAATCTGACCAAACTGAAAATCAAAGACTGTTCTAGATCCATCAGAGATTGAGGTACCAGTTCAAACTGCCATCCCCAAAACTGGAGAGACAGGTGAATACAGAGAATCATAACCAAGATAACAGAAGATGCTTGGGCCATAAACTGGTAGAAACACTTCAATGGTAATGGATGAATTGCTTGAGGCTGAGTGTGGACTAGGGAGTCAAAAACTCCTCCCCAGTATTTTTTTTTTTTTTGAGACGGAGTCTCGCTGTGTCGCCCAGGCTGGAGTGCAGTAGCGCAATCTTGGCTCACTGCAAGTTCTGCCTCCTGAGTTCCACCATTCTCCTGCCTCAGCCTCCTGAGTAACTGGGACTACAGGCGCCCACCACCATGCCCAGCTAATTTTGTTGTTGTTTTATTTTTAGTAGAGACGGGGTTTCACCATGTTAGCCAGGATGGTCTCGATCTCCTGACCTTGTGATCCACCCGCCTCGGCCTCCCCCAGTGCTGGGATTACAGGCGTGAGCCCCCACACCCGGCCCCTCCCCAGTCTTAGTAGGGCCTTCCACTTTGGTAGGTTTTATCTCCCAGAATCCCATTTACGGTAAAGAGTCAAGAAAAATCTTGTGTTTTGGGCCAGGGGAAGGAGCATATAGTTAACACTACTGAGTTAAATACCAAAAATGGTTAAAATGGTAAATTTTATGTTTACAATAATTTAAAATTTTTAAAAAGAAATGAGCTATTAGACCATGAAAAGACATGGAGGAACCTTAAATGCATAATGCTAAGTGAAAGAAGCCAATCTGAAAAGGCTGCATACTGTATGAGTCTAATCATTTGACATTCTGGAAAGAGTAAAACAAAGCAGTGAAAAGATCACTAGTTGCCGTGGGTTCAGAGTATGGAGGAGAGTGGGGAGGGAGGGAAGGGTGAATAGGTAGAGTACGGGATTTTTAGGGCAGTGAAACTATTCTGAATGGTACCGCAGTGGTGGGTACATGTCATTATATGTTTGTCAAACCCATAGAATGTTCAATACAAGAGTGAACCCTAATGTAAACTATGGACTTTCATTAATAATAGTGTATTAATATAGGCTCATCAGCTGTAACAAATGTGCCACTCAATGCAAGATGTTAGTAATGGGGGCAGTGGGTGGGAGAGTTGTATACATGTGAGAGGTATGAGATAACCCTATTTTTTGTTCATTTTTCTGTAAACCTAAACTTGCTTTAAAAAGAAGTCTAAATAAAAAAGAAAAAAGAACTATACTTATTTTTTTTGAACTACCACGTAACTCTTAATTAGTAGTCTTTATTTCACAGCAAATAATTACCAAGTGGACCATAGCTATCTCTTCCCAATTGTCTATTTCACTTTAAGAGAGTCAATGAATGGCGCCAATAGAAGCTATGATTGTCTCATGAACAACCTTGTCTTATTGCTTCTTAAATGGTTATGTCCTTTGCCTATTCTATTTAAGACACCCTGTACCTTAAATAGAGTAGGCAAAGGACAGAAACATTTTAAGTTCTCTAACACAGCAGTCCCCACCCTTTTTGGCACCAGGGACTGGTTTAGTGGAAGACCATTTTTCTGCAGCAGGGATTAGGGGGCCAGTGTTGGAGGGGGATGGTTTCAGGATTAAACCATTTGACTTCAGATCATCAGGCATTAGATTCTCATAAGGAGTGCGTAACCTAGACCCCTCACATGTGCAGTTCACAATAGTCTTCACAGTCCTGTGAGACTCTAATGCTATTGCTGATCTCACAGGAGGTGGAGCTCAGGTGGTAATGCTTGCTCAACCGCCACTCATCTCCTGCTGTGCGGCCAGGTTCCTGACAGGCCATGTATTGCTACTGGCCTGCAGCCCAGGGGTTGGGGACCCCTACTCTAACATTCTGTGCATACCCTCATCATAGGGCCTTTGCACTGGCTTTTTCCTATGGCTGGAACAATCTACTCCAGATACCTGCAAGACTCACTTCTTCACTTCCTTTGTCTTTATTCAAAGGGCCTTCTCTAGAAGGCTTTCCCTAACCATCTTATTCCAAATTATAACCTTGTTCCTGGACCTGTTTTTTTTCTTCATAATACTCCTTAGGTTTTAATATTGGAAAACTTATTCATTTATTGTCTGTCTCTGTCAGACCTAACCTGATTTTTGTGTGACGATTTTGTATCCTGCAACTTTGCTGAATAACAGATTGGGTGGAATCTTTAGGATTTTTTTACATATAAAATCTTGTTGTCTGTGAACAGATAACTTTACCTCTTCCTTTCCAATTTGGATGCCATTTTAGGAAAAACTTTCAAACTGTGTTTTTCCTCTGCTCTCATACCACTACAACAACAGAAGACTTCTGTGACCAAATACGTGGGGATTTCTCCCCAACATTATGTGAGCAGTTCTGCAGCAGACACCAACTGGGTATCCTCCTAATCAGTTCTGACACTAGGTGCCTAGAGATAGTGTCAGATTCCACAGGTTGAGGACTCAGTCCCCAGGACTGCCTCCCACCCCTTGACCAGTCACAAGCCCCGGTCTCCAGAATTTCTTACCAACTGGCTTCAAGTTGTGGTTCCCATGACCCCCTCTTTGGGTTCAACTGAGTTCTGGAGTGGCTTACAGAACTCAGGGAAACACATTTGCCAGTTTATTATAAAGGATGTTACAAAGGATACAGATGAAGATGTCGAGGGAAAAAAGCCAAACTGCAAAGTATTTGAAGAGATTTATTCTGCACCAAATGTGAAGACCATGACCCATGACACAGCCTCAGAAGGTCTTGAGAACATGTACCCAAGCTGATGGGGTTATAGCTTGATTTTATATCCTTTAAGGAGATATGATAGCATTAACATTGGCCTGGATACCATCTTGAATAGAAGTGATGAGAATAGATATCCTTGCCTTGTTCCTGATCTTAGAAGGAAAGCTTTCAGTTTTTCACCACTGAGTATGTTGTTAACTGTGGCCTTTTCATATATGGCCTTTATTATTTTGAGGTAGTTTTGTTTTTGTTTTTGTTTTTTGAGGTTTCAATATTTTATTCAGGTTTTTTTAAAGTGATGTTAATTACAGCATTTGAAGGGGAGGATCTAATTCCACACAAAATGGAAGACTCTAAAATGTACCCATTAAACTGCTAAAAAACAAATTGAGTGGTGAGAATACAACAGAAGTCCAATTTAGATTCTGAGTGTTGTCACCATGTGATTACAATCATACAGACACTTCTAAGCTTATAGGTGGAGCTCCTGGAAGCTATTTCATACTCTGGTGCAAGGGCAAAAAAACACAACGCAAGAAGGAATAAGTCCTGAATTATTGGCTTTATCACGTCCACCCTCTCCACCCCAAAATGGCACAAAAGAATCGTGACCACACCACTCTGCAGACGTTTTGGTGTAAAAGAGGTGACGATGAACTGGGGTGGGAACAGGTCATGAAGATATGTCTAAAAAAAATCCCATTCAGGTGAGTTTGTACACACCATCAAGTAGTGAGCTTCTCATCAATTAGGGTTAGATAAACAAGGTTCAATTCTCAGGAAATCACAATTTCTTTCATTTACTCAATATGAATTTACAAAGTGCCTACATATTATCAGCTTCCACTTGCAGCCATTTCTAGATAAAAAAGAAACCTGATATCTCAAAGGGGCCACCAAGTTACCCCCAAGTCTACCACTGAAAGGACCTTTTTTGGAAATGGTTTTCTTCTGTACCTCTGAAAGGGTAACATCTTAAAGCTGAATCATCTTTAACCTGGAGGTCTAACATATTTAGCAATACTTGCATTCCAGACGTACAACATTAAACGATACAGTAAATTCTGAAGGTAGCTATGCTGCAAAATAGTTTAAAATTAAACAATTGTACAGTATTCATTTATGCTTGAAATTCCAGGCCTAAACCAAGCTTGTGGCCACCACCATTGACGTTCTTGCCATCCAGAAGAGCTGACAGTGTCAATTTGATACCTGGTTTTAGGGTCTGAGTGTATCCTAAACCCATCAGGCTGGAGTTATTCACTTTAGCCGAGAAGCAGCTGTCAGAGTCAATCTGATACTTGGCTGCTATTCTGAAGTGCGTGTTACTGTTTCCTGCTGTCCAGGCGAGATTGACAGCGGTCTCTAACTTCTTGTTCACCTTCTGGTAAATGGAGCTGCCAAACTCTGTCCCGTCATTCATATTAGTGTGAAGCTGGAATTCATAAGTCTTGTAGCCAACTGCAAAGTTGCTCTGGGTTACTCGGGACTTTGCAGTCTCAAAATTCATCCAGGCTGGGCATGGTCGCTCATGCCTGTAATCCCAGCACTTTGGGAGGCCAAGGCGGGCGGATCACGAGGTCAGGAGATTGAGACCATCCTGGCTAACGGTGAAACCCCGTCTCTACTAAAAAAAAAAAAAAAAAAATTAGCCAGGCGTGGTGGCGGGCGCCTGTAGTCCCAGTTACTTGGGAGGCTGAGGCAGGAGAATGGCGTGAAACCAGGAGACGGAGCTTGCAGTGAGCTGAGATCCTGCCACTGCACTCCAACCTGGGCGACAGAGCAAGACTCCGTCTCAAAAAAAAAATGCATCTGGTAGCCGGCCAGCCAGCCCTCGTAACCCAGCACCAGAGTACCCCAGATGGAAAGGCCAGCGATGTTGAAATCCGTGTCGCAGCCCAGGTTAATGTGCTTCTGCTTGTACCCTGTCTTGATTTTAGCTTTTTTTTCCCCAGTGTTAGGTGAGAAGGATGAATTGAAGGTAAGCTTCAGATCATGTGCAAGCTGACCTTCCACGGTAATCTCGGTGCCTAGTGTATTGTCGGTGTTCCATTTCTCTGTAAACGTCAGGCCGTACTCAGTCCATCTGTACTTGGTTTACAGACTGCCCATGACTTTGGTGGTCTCAATGTTGGCTGAGCCTGAGCTTGTAAATTCCAATTCATTCTCAGATTTTGTTTTCAAATCAAGCCAAATCCATAACCCTTGGTGAAGACATCCCTGGCAGATTTGCCAAGATTGGCATTCGTGGGTGGCACAGCCACCTTCGGCTTAGAGGCATTGGCAGCAGGCTCGGTTGCGGCTATGGCCTGTTGAGGTAGTTTTACTCTATTCCTAGTTTATTAATACATTGGTTTGGTTTGGAAAGACAGGACAACTCGAAGCAGTGACTTATCATAGGTAGATTCAAAGATTTTCTGATTGGCAGTTGGTTGAGAGTTAAGTTATTATCTAAAAGCTTGGAATTAATAGAAAGGAATATCTGAGTTAAGGATTTGTGGAGACCAAGGTTCTTACTATATAGATGAAGTCTCATAGGTGGCCACTGTTAGATGCAATAGATGACAATTGTTTCCTATTCAGATCTTTAAAAGATTCTTCAGATCTCTCAGCTAATCTCTTTAGGATCAGAAAAAGACCTGGAAAGGGAACAGGATTCTTTACATAATGTAAAATTTCCCTTTTAAGAGATGGCTTTGCAGGGCCATTTCAAAATATGTCAAATATATTTTGGGATAAGATATTTTGATTTCTTCCAGGGTCTGCTCTCTGTCATGTGATGCTATACTAGAGTCAGGTTGGAATTTGATATCTTATTGATACAAAGAGTCTTTTTTGTCAGTTGTGAGATCTCTGTTTTAATGTTAATGCTGGTCAGTTGTTCCTGAATGCTAAAGGGAGGAAAGTATAATGAGGCATGTCCAGACCCCGACTTCCCATCATGGCCTGAACTAGTTTTTCAGGTTTCTTTGGAGAAACCTTAGCTGAGAGGAGGGGTTCATCCAGATGGTTGTAGGGCTTAGAACTTTATTTTTGGTTTACAAGGAGATGTGTAGGGTGAGGCATGGAGGAAGGGACATGGCGCTTTCATGATCTCTCTGGGCATGCCACCCTCCAGGAACCTCCATGTGTTCCACTATCCCCAGGCTCCCAGCACCCATTCCTCTTGGGTTTCATGATGTCAGTATTCCTTCCCCTAGGGTATAGGGCAGGACTCTCTCTCGGGATTGTGACCCACAATCAGAAAGGGTAACCTGGGGCAGGTAAAAGGAGGGCAGGAGAAAGTCCCATAGATTCTCTTTCCTGAGGCTTGCTCCTGAGGCCTGACACACCTAATTATGTAACGAAAGACTGTAACAAGGGCAATAGGAGTTAGAAACCAGGAACCATGGACAAAAACAAATCTCTTTTGTGCGCACTCTCTCACTCTCGCTCTCTCTCTGTACACACACACACACACACACACACACACACACACACACACACACAGCATAACACCACAAATGCCTTTTATTTCTTGTCTGATCGCTGTGGCTTGGATACCATCTTGAAAAGAAGTGATGAGAATGGATATCCTTGCCTTGTTCCTGATCTTAGAAAGAAAGCTTTCAGTTTTCCACCACTGAGTATGTTGTTAGCTGTGGCCTTTTCATATATAGCCTTTATTGTGTTGAGGTAGTTTTATTCTATTCCTAGTTTATTTAGTGTTTTTATCATGAACACATGTTGAATTTTGTCAGATGCTTTTTCTGTATCAATTGAGATGATCATGTGGGTTTTGTCCTTCATTGTATTAATATGCTGTGTTATATGATTGATTTTTGTATGTTGAACCATCTTTACATTCCAGGAATAAATCCCAGTTGATCATGATGTATAATCCTTTTAACGTAATGTTAAATTCAGTTTATTAATATTTAGTTGATTTTTTGGATTAATATTCATCAGGGATATTGGTTTTAGTTTTCTTGCAGTAGTTTTGGCTTTGATGTGAGGATAAGACCTCATAAAATGAGTTAGAAGTGTTCCCTTTTCTTTAATTATTTTGATGTATGAAGAGGATTGGTGTTAATTCTTCTTTAAATATTTGATAGAATTCTCCAGTGAAGTGATCTGGTTCTGGGCTTTTCTTTGTAGGGAAGTTTTTTTTTTTATTACTGATTCACTCTCTTTCTTGGTGATAGGTCTGTCAGATTTTTGATTTCTTCGTGATTCAGTCATGGTAGATTGTATGTTTCCAGGAATTTATTCATTTCTTCTAGGTTATCCAGTTTTTTGGCATGTAATTGTTCATAGTTATCTCTTATGATTCTTTGTATTTCTGTGGCATTAATTGTAACATCTCCACTTTCATTTCTGAGTTATTTGACTCTTCTTTTTTCTTAGTTAACCTAGAATAGCTCATTTCTTTGTGTTGCTGAATAATATCCTATTTTATGGGTGTATCATTTGCTTATTAATCTATTTAAGGACATATTGGATTTTAGCCATTCCAATAGGTGTGTAGTGGTTTCTCATTTTTGTTTTCATTTGCATTTCTTTAATGACATGATGTTTAAACATCTTGTCACTCGCTTATTTGCTATCTCTGTATCTTCTTTGGTAAGTTGTCCATTTAGATCTTTTACTCGTTTTTCATTGGGTAACTTATTTTCTTAGTGTTGAGTTTTAAGAATTCTTTGAATATTTTGGATACCAGTCTTTTATTAGATAAGTGTTTTGCAAATTTTCTTTCAGTTTATGGCTGGTCATTGCATTGTCTGAACAATATCTTTCACAGAGCAGAAATTTTCAGTTTTAATAAAGACCTACTAATCAATTTTTTTCTCTCATGGATTATAAATTTTTTTTTTTTTTTGAGACAGAATCTTGCTCTATTGCCAGGCTGGAGTGCAGTGGCGTGATCTTGGCTCACTGCAGCTTCTGCATCCCAGGCTGAAGCAATTCTTGTGCTTCAGCCTCCTAGGTAGCTGGTACTACAGTCACGCACCACCATGCCTGGCTAGTTTTTTGCATTTTTAGTAGAGGTGGTATTTTGCCATGTTGGCCAGGCTGGTCTCAAACTCCTGGCTTCAAGAGATCCACCTGCCTCAGCCTCCCAAAGTGCAGGGATTATAGGTGTGAGCCATTGCACCTGGCCTGTCATGGATTATACTTTTGATATTGCATGTAAAAAGTCATTGCGAAACCCAGTATCACCTAGATTTTCCGCCATGTTACCTTCTAGGAGTCATTCTTTTTTAAGAAGCTATGCTTGCCACTTCATACTTGGTTCTATCTCTATTTTTTTTCCTTTCGTATCCAGTTTTCTCATTTTTAGTTTTATTTATTTAGTTATCATCTCGAGCGCCAAGTATGTTTTAGTTTTATCCTATCAATGGAACATGTATTTGGAATATAATTGGATTAAGTAAAATAAGTTCTCCCTTTGTACACGTTCCTCAGCTTATAATGAGGATACATACTGGTAAATCTATTATAAGTCAAAAATATCATAAATCGAACCATTGTAAGTTGGGGATCATCTCTACTTTTTTTTGGTATAAAGAAATACATTATCTATCCCAGAAATTCTTCATAGCATTTATTCTCTAAAAATGGCCCTCAGAGCACAGAGAAATCTGTCATTTACCTAGTGCTTCTTGTTTGCTAGCATCATACTAATACACTTTATATACTTTGTCATTTAATCATGTTAATAGTTGTCGTCTATGATTTTATAACTTTGTTTCTATTACAAGTTGATAACTGACTTGATTCATCTCCTCAAAAATTTACAACATTTTTTGAAACCTTAGTTCCCCCAGTAGTGTTAGGAACAGATAGAATATGCTATCTCCGGGGAAGGGGGTCTTTTTCCTCAGCCCAGTGATCCACAGACTGAAACAAACAATTAAAAAACAAAACAAAACTCGTACTTCTCTTAAGTACTGAAAAAATGTGTATGGGGATTGACTGTATTTTATTTGAAGTAAAACTAGTCTTTTTGCAGTCAAATTAAATAATAATGTAATTTTGATTCTAAGGGAATATTTATGTCCGGAATCAGAGTTTTGACTTTTGCAGGGTGTCCTGTACTAAACGCTGTCAATACATGGGGTTTTGCAGAGGTTGCACTTTGATCCTTGCAGACAGTATTATCCAGGTTCATTGCTTCCACATTACATGTTTTAGAAGAATCTTATTACTAAATTAATTTTACTCTTGTGTGTTTTGAGAACATAGAGGGGCAAGACGTGTTGAATCCTTGAGTTTGGAAAGTATTTCTGTGCAGTTTGCTTCTTTTTTCTTTTATTTGAGATATAAACCTCCTTTCCTATCCCTCCTCTACCTTTTCTCCTTCCTTTTTTTTTTTTTTAACCCAAAAACATTTTCTTTATAATTAAATTTGAACTTTTACTGTAATGTAGCTTCTTATTTGGGAACTTTTATAAATCTAGATACGATTTTGCTGATCACATTCATGTCTGGGATTTATTTTTCTTTTTCTCACCTGAACATCCATATTTACCACATTGAACATCATCTCACAGTCAGCTAGGAGAATTGTTTTTTGGTGGCTCCAGAAGGCTGTACTGGAATACCTTAGATTGCCAGCCAGGTACCCATTCCACTCCTGTGATGACCTGAGAATCCTATTGCCTTTCTGTTACCACCTTAAAAGTTTTACTAGGGTTTGAAGAGATGGTTGAGGGTAAAATCCTTAGTCTTTCTTAGCAAAATAACATTTTGTAACTGATTTAAATACCTATTGTTTTAACCCATTTGTCTTTTTTTCACTTTTTTTTCTCCTTCCCACAGATACCAGAGAAGAAAGGAAAAGAAGCAAATACAGGTTTTGGTGGGCCAGTTATTAGTTCTCTATATCATGAAGAAACCATCAGGTAATTTCTCTTCTGATCTTTGATAATAGAAATATATATGCCTGTGTGTGTGCATGTGTTTGTATGTATGTGCTTATGTATGTGTATATGTGTACTATATATTTTTAATCCTGAAATCTTCAATTTGTGAAGCATTCCTTCTTAACATGAAACTGATTTGGTGGTATTTGCCAGCAGGACAATAAATGACAGGAAATAATTTTTTAGGTGTATAATCTTTAAAATCAATTAAATGTCTGAACCAGTGCCAGATAAGTCTGAATAAGTGATAATAATTACTTTTCATTGGTGTCTAGTGACGACTGTCTCATTCAATGACTTTCCCCACACAAGTAGTTGGTGGGACAAGATGTTGTGTCTCAATCTAAAGCTAAGGATTTTTGTGTTAATTTTCCTCAAAATACTATTATTTTAAATATTTTAATTTTTTAATTTGTTTAATTAAAAGTTAATTTAATTTGCTGTAAATTAAAAGTAATTTTGGAGTATAAAATGATACAGCCACTGTGGAAAACGGAAGTTTCCTCAGAAAGTTAAAATAGAATTACCATATGATCCACCAATTCTGTTTCTCAAGAAGCAGAAACAAGAAAGCAGAATCTCAAAGACATATTTGCACACCCATGTTCATAGCAGCATTCTATACAGTAGCCAATAGGTGGAAGCATCTGTTGACAGATGGATGGATAAACAAAATGTGGTATATACAATGGAATATTATTCAGCCTTAAAAAGGAAGGAAATTTTGACAGCTGTTGCAACATGTATGAACCTTGAGGATATTACGCTAAGTGAAATAAGCCAGTCACAAGAACACAAACACTTTGCGATTATACTTACATAAGGTATTTAGAGTAGTCAAACTCACAGAAACAGAAAGGATTCAAAAATCAGAGAGACAGTAAAATGGTGGTTGCCAGGAGCTGGGGGTAGGGGAAATGGGAAGTTGTTTAATGGGGACAGAGTTTCAGTTTTACAAGATGAAAAAGTTACGGGGATTGCACAACAGTGTGAATATACTTAACACTACTGAACTGTATACTTAGAAATACTTTTAGCTTTTAGTTTTTGATAGTGAAGATCATATTTTACCCATCTTTGCATTCTCACTATCTGAGGAAGGCCCCCAAACTTAGTAGATCTTCAGTGAAAGTACTCAGAACTTGGGAGGTAGCCACAGCTGCTTCCCTTGAAGAGCTGATAGTTTAGTGACTATTGCTTATGTAGAGTTAGCCTAAGAGCCCTATTGTAAGACAGAGAGCTGCTGGTTTGGTTCTTCTGTGATATGCCTATCCTAACCTCTTTCTCTTAAGCAATAAAAAATGTATAGGCTATTTTTCTTTCCTAGTTAGATAAATAAATTGAGATAGTTTCTTGACTTTCCTTTTAAAAAAATTACTAAGCTTAAGTTTCTAACAATATCAGTCACTTATCTGTAAATCATAATGATCTTTATTTTGTATGCCATTTTCCTTAAGGGCTCCCATACTCTAGTATTTTTCAAAATGATGTACTGAATACATTTTCTTTTCAAATGTCTGATGACGTGACTGATCACAGCAGCCCTACAGAACACGAAGCAAATCAAATGTACTCCAGTTGTAGTGAGAGTAGAAATCCTGAGATAGAGTTAAACTGTATTGAAAGGGTTAATCTTCCTTCCTTTATCCCCCACCCAATTGCTAGTGAAGTGATTCTTAGATTTAAATCAGTATTTAGAATTTTGACAGTGATAAACAATGACAAAGAATAATACAGTTTATTTTTGTAGAGATTTAAATTCAATTCAACACACATTTATTATGAACCTATAATGACAGAAAACATTGGAATATTTGTGCTTCTCAACTTCTTCACTTTTGAATAATATGTTCTTACTACTTTTGGCATTTTCATGAAAGTATGTTTAATAAATATTAATTGAATGAAATATGAACCTTTGTGGGCAAAATTGGTTAGACTTGGCCTTTTTTTCATGAAGTCTTCATTAAGTATTAGTCTTATGATATCATCTAAATCTTCATATTCTGAACATATTGTTAAGAAAGAGTAAGAAACATGAATGTGAGCAAGCCATTGAAAGCTGTTTAACTATTACAAACACAGTAATTTTGTTACTACTACAGCAGATCAGAAATTACAGCAACTAATCATACTCTTGTATTGGGAGAGTTCTTTTTATAGTGTAGAATTCCATTATAACAAATTAGGCCATAATGAAAATTCGTTGTTTTTTGGTTTTTGGTTTTTTTTTTTTTTTTGAGACAGAGTCTTGCTCTGTCACCAAGCTGGAGTGCAGTGGTATGATCTCAGCTCACTGCAACATCTGCCTCCTGGATTCAAGCGATTCCCCTGCCTCAGCCTCCTGAGTAGCTGGAACTACAGGCGCACCACCATGCCCAACTAATTTTTGTATTTTTAGTGGAGACAGGGTTTCACCATATTAGCCAGGATGGTCTCGATCTCTTGACCTCGTGATCCACCTGCCTTGGCCTCCCCAAAGTGCTGGGATTACAGGCGTGAGCCGCTGTGCCTGGCATGAAAATTCTTATGTACTGAAATGTTGGATTATTCCAGTGAAGAGCCAGATGTAGTCCGTATGGTTTCTTACGTATCAGAATGCAATTGCAACAATGAAAATGGGTTATTTCTTGAAGTTATGTAATCAAATTATGCTTGTATTTTGGTGAAATATATCTGGTGTTTTATTTTTCTAAGAGAAAGTTGTGCTTTAATTGATATTAATTGCAATTTCTTGGCAGAATTATATTTAACTGAGGCGAAAGTGACAGTAGGTTTTAGAGTTTTAGAAGCATCAAATGGTAGACTTGGATGAAAGCAAAAATTCTTTTCTATGGAACTGTTATTTTTAAAAAAGGACATAAAATAATGTATTTTGAAGGTTTGTTTTGATACTTTATAACTCCAGATTTTTTTTACATTTGTAAAGATCAGGCAAATCACTATCTAATAAATCCATTTGGTTAAGTTTGGGTTCCATTGTTGTGGCAGCTTTTCTGACGAATGTGTATTGTATAATAGATGATGAGTTATGAGTTTGAGCCAAGGGCCAGTGGGGCCAATTCTGAGCTTGCTTCCTGCTTTCTACTCTGTCATAGAAAGTATCAATATAATGTCAGAGGTTCAGATCTCTGTGTTAATATTGCAGAGCTCTGACATCAATTTCTCATTCTGAAGCAAGTTAATTGTTCTGTAATATAATTGAGGGGGTGTAGGGGGATTCTAATTAAGTACAAAAAATTATGGAGCCAAACCGCTGGCATTCAAATGCTAGTTCCACCACTTACTAGCTGTGTGATCTTGGGCAAGTTACTTACCTGTAAAATGGGGATAATTATAGTACTTATCTCACTTGATACTTAGCAGATTATGTGAATACATAGACATCCTCGAACAGTACCTGGTGCAAAATAAGTTACTGTGTAACTGTTAGCTTTTATAAATAGTATTGTTATTCGGCAGAGGGAGTCCCTACAGAGGAGCCAGGAGCTGATGTTAGGAGCTACAATAACATGGCATTCTGGTTATATAATTAAATGCAAGTTGTTTGCTTTTGCAAAAGAAAATGGAAAACAAGGAAGGGAGAGCCAATATTTTTAGAACTATAGAAACGAGAGTAACAAATCTTATAACAGGGAGTAACCTCTGGTTTTGCGATCAGCTGTTTTTCATTTATACCGCAGATGGGCAGAAAAAGTACTGGTCAATAAGCATAGGGGTTTGTAGAGTAAGATGATTCTGCACTACATATACAAGAAATTGCTTCTGGTTACTTGCATGCTTCAAAGGTTTGATCTAGAAGTTTGCACATAAATTGAGAAATTAGGGTAAGAATTAAAAATGTAGTAAATGAAGATTGAACAGTACCCACACCACCCTGCAATAAGATTTGATCCTCCCTGTTATATTTTGTAGTTTGATGTCATGTAATCTATTAGAATTTTATTAATTCTGCTTACACAGACAGCCATCTGGACCTTCTCTAAGCAAGACCAGTCCTAGTATACAACTGAAATGATTGATGGGCTCTGGAATTGATTAGTTGTTCTGTGAGACAAATGAAGTGTTTTGGCAGAAAATACAAGAGGTTGCTGCTTGTGGTCAGACACAAAAGCCTGTAGAATTTCAAAGAGATGCTTTAATCATTGACTTATAAAGTTTCCATTTTTAAACAATAATGGATTTTGAAAATATTTCCCAAATATCTTTTCATTGGCTGCTGTCTAGTCCTGATTATAAATGGAAGAATATAAGTATAAAAAATTAGAATGAAAGTGATTGTTTTATGCTTTAATTTTGTATTCTTGGTGAAATATGAACTAACTTGGAAGTAGCATAAAAGCCTGTCATGCATAAATTATACTCTAAAATTTTCCTGAAAGAGATATGATTGGAGAAAAAGCTGTAACGTGTATAGTTTTATTGTAAATTACTTCTAAAATCAGATGTTATAAAATTCTATTTATTCATTCAAAGCTTCACATTGTTACATTGCAGCCTGTTTTTAACAAATCTACTTAAAGATTCTTAAGCTTCAAGAGTATGTGTTCTACATATTTGTGTTTTAAAAAATGAATATTTGGATTTTTATGCATTTAACAGGCCGTCATTCTGGAACACCACTATCCTAATGATACCACTGCCTTTAGCACCAAAAAGCTTCCCTCCATCTGTTTGGCTGGTGGTAGTGTAATACTTCTCTATTTCACCATGTTGCCTATGATCAACATTGTGTTAACACCTTGGTGATAGGTGATAAATTGGATGACATATGTCTTGTTAAATTCTGGTTATTCTTTGAGGACTACACAAGTGGGTATAGGCAAGTGGGCAACTCCCCCTGGAGAATCTGACTGCTCAGAATGAACTTGAGTTATGGATTTATTCAGCCTGTAAAACCTCAGCTGGCATAAATAATTGAGAAAGCAAAGGTTTGTCTTTGGTGCATACCTCAGGGACTCATGGCTCCCTTCCTCCTCTCTACCTCCCTTTCTTATGAAAATGATTCCAGTTGCACTCCTAGATAATAACACACCAAGCAATTAAAAGCCATGGGTGGCTGGAGAGAGGAGAAAAGGTTTAGTTAATGAGCTTTTCCTCTTCCAGTGCCCATGAGAACCTCAGGAATGACAAGGCGATTAAAGCGAAGAGATAATTATAGATTATGTGAAAATGGGTCCCCTGGGACATGTGGGTCTTGACATAAACAGTAACTGTTGTAAGAGTCTCCTGGCTCTCATATTCACCCTTTTCTAGCGTGCTTCATTTACCTCCTGTGTGCTCAGTGTCATGATGCCAACCAAGCATGTACACAAATCTAGCCCTTTCTGAACCAAGGGTCATTCATCAACTGAAACCATCACCTTTTCTTCCTCTCTGTTTTCTTCTTTTTTCTTCTCCTCTTCCTTTTTCCAGTTTTGTTCTCTCTTTCCTGTCTACCCCATCTAATTTTTCTTTCTCTTCTTCCCATATCCTTATCTGTATGTGGTACCTATGAAATGCTTGTTTACAAAATTTGGTGTGTGTATGTATGTGTGCATATATAAAGATATATAGAGGTTGTGGGTATACTGTATCCATTACAGTAATGAGAAGCAGAATATGCATTACAAATAATATGAACAGGACCCCTTACCATCTCATCTAATGCCAGTTTTCCGCTCACCCCCTTTTTCACTCTGTTCCAACCACATTGGCTTATTTTTTTCCTTGAAGTTCTAATTAATATTTATTAGATTAATTGACACGTAGGGTATGAGGAATGACCTCCAGCTTACAATATATGCTGAATTCTTAAGATAAGAATAATGACAGTTAACATTTATTGACCATTTATTATATGCTAGTATAGTAACCATACTATATGTATTACTTCTCTTAATCTTTAGGATGACCCTATTAAATATAGATGCTATTAATATTCTTTTTTTTACAGATAAGGAAACTGAAATTCAGAGAAGTTAACTTACTTGCCCAGGGTCACATAGTTAGTAACGCTGCTGTTAATTACTGTGCTATGCTGGCTCTGGAAATGTTTGAGGAATCATAATCTCTAGTTAATGAAATTGAGTCTGATAGTTGTTACTATTTAATATGGTGAGTATCTTCAGTTAAAATTTTTAAAATAAAATTTCTTTTCCATTTAATGTTTTAAAAAAATGTACTTTCCTGGTAAAATTGGAGACTTTGGTCTTTCATGTATCAATGTACTGATGATGATATTTCCTTTGGATCGATTATCTTACTGATTTTAGACTTACCTTAATGGTTGAGAATGTAACTCAGCTCTGTAGAGACTTTTAGGAAAGCGGATCTGTGCTTTTTCTGATACGGCAACTGATTTTCCAGAGATTTATTAGAACTTAACTACATTTTATGTTATTGGCATTTAAAGTATCAGAAATTTTCAGTCAAGTTTGTTTAAGGTTAAGCAGCTTTTAAGGGGTGAAAATACATTTTTAGTAAATGGTGTCTTTATAAGTTATGGTTATGTAACTTCTCCAGTATAACTAATTATCTGTAAGAAATATCTGGGTCATTGATTTTTTTCTTTGTCAATACTTTATTGAAAGATTGTGAGAAAAATACATAAAAATATATGTAGTTTTATTTGAAGGGACCCTTACCAACGTAAATAGTATAACAAATGGAAGTTTCAATTTGAAGGCTTTAAGAATTTTCTAGACCTAGAACTAAGTACCTTGCATATATTAATATAATTCAGTCTGAAAATAGTTATGTAGTAGAAGAAGATGTTGCCATTATCATATGACAGGAAGGGGGAAAACTAACTGGTTTGTTTCTATAACTGTCTGAAATCAGTTGCAGATATGGCACTGTGATGCAGGAATTGTGATTCAAAATATAATTTCTGCTCAAAAAACACAGGTTGTGACTGCATAGGTCCACTTATACGTTGATGTTTTTCAGTAAATATATTGGAAACTTTTTTGGAAATTTGCAGCAATTTGAAAACACTTGCAGATGAACTATGTAGCCTAAAATATCCAAAAAATTAAGAAAAAGATATGGCATGAATGCATAAAATATATGTAGATACTAGTCCATTTTTTCATTTACTACCATAAAATGTACACAAATCTGTTATAAAAAGTTCATCACAATGTAGGCACATAAACACTAGCAGACCATATCTGGTGCCATTCTCAATCCAGAAAAATGTAAAAAAAAAGCAAAGATGCAGTATTAAATCATAACTGCATGAAATTAACTGTAGTACATACTATACTACTGCAGTACTTTTGTAGCTACCTCCTATGGCTAGTGTGGTGAGCTCAAGTGTTGCTAGTATCCACTTAAAATGCCAAGACGCTAATCATCTCCAAGTGAGCAGTTTGTCCCTCCAGTAAACTGCGTATAACAGTAAACAGTGATCTCTTGTGGTTTTTGAGTATTTTATCATTGTATGTAGCACTATACTCTAAACCTTGAATAACACCATGAGACCCATATGAAGTACCACTAGTGATGCTGGAAGTACTCCCAAAAAGCAGAGAAATGTCATGACATTATAAGAAAAAGTTGAATTGCTTAATACGTATTGTAGATTGAGGTCTGCAGCTGTGGTTGTCTGCCATTTCAGGGTAAATTAATTGAGCATTACGGACTTCTGTAAAAAAGAAAAGGGATGGGCCAGGTGTGGTGGCTCACAGGGTGGCCTTGGGAGCACCTTCGAAGGCCAAGACGGGTGGATCACCTGAGGTCAGGAGTTCGAGACCAGCGTGGCCAACATGTTGAAACCCCATCTCTGCAAAAAATACAAAAATTAGCCGTGAGTGGTGGTGTGCGCTTGTAATCCTAGCTGCTCAGAAGTCAGAGGCAGGAGAATTGCTTGAACCCGGGAGGTGGAGGTTGCAGTGAGCCGAAATCATGCCACTGCACTGCAGCCTGGGTGAAAGAGCGAGACTCCATCTCAAAAAAAAAAAAGAAAAAAGAAAAGGGAATTCATGAACCATCACCACAGCTACACTGGCAAGTACAAGAACCTTGCACATTTTGTGCAATATCTTTTAATCTCATATTGTAAGTTCAGCTTTTATGTAGGTGTAGTATTGCTATAGGAAAGGCATACTTAGAGACTCTACTATGATTTGAGAAAAAAGTCATTCTGTGACAAAGCAAAAGGAAGGTGAAGGATCTATACCTGGAAAATGTAATGCCAGCAAAGGATGATTTGATAAGTTTAGAAAGAGGTTTGACTTTAGAAAGGTCAAGATAATAGGAGAAACAACTTCTTCTCACCAAGAGGCAACAAATAAGCAAATTTACAAGAAAAAAAAACATTAGAAAGTGGGCAAAAGACATGAACAGACACTTTTCAAAAGAAGATGTACATGCAGCCAACAAACATGTGAAAAAAAGCTCAACATCACTGATCGTTGGAGAAATGCAAATCAAAACCATAATGAGATGCCTTCTCATGCCTCTCTTTTAGTAACAGTCAGAATGGCTGTTATTAAAAAGTCAAAAAACAACAGATTCTGGTGAGATTGTGGAGAAAAAGGAACACTTTATACATTGTTGGTGGGAGTGCAAATTGGTTCAACCATTGTGGAAGACAGTGTGACAATTCCTGCAAGACCTAGAGGCAGAAATAACATTTGACTCAGCAATCCCTTTACTGGGTATATACCCAAAGGAATATAAATCATTCTGTTATAAAGTTACGTGCATGCATATGTTCATCACAGCACTATTCACAATAGCAAAGACATGGGATCAACCTAAACACCCATCAATGATAGACTGGATAAAGAAAATGTAGAATACTATACAGCCATAAAAAGGAACAAGATCATGTCCTTTGCAGGGACATGGATGGAGTTGGAAGCCAATGTCCTTAGTAAACTAACACAGGAAGAGAAAACCAAACACCACATGTTCTCACTTGTAAGTGGGAGCTGAATGATGAGAACACATGGACACATGGAGGGAAACAACACACACTAAGCTCCTTGGGGAGTAGGGGGAGGGAGAGCATCAGGTGGAACAGCTAGCTAATGGATGCTGGGCTTAATACCTAGGTGATGAGACAGTCTGTGCAGCAAACCACCATGGCACCTATTTACATATGTAGCAAACCTGCACATCCTGTACATGTACCCCGAACTTGAAAAAAAAATCATTGAGGAGAGAGGATATCTATTTGCATGAACAGGTGTTTAATGTAGACAGAAATGCCATATTCTGGGGGAGGAAAAAAATGCCACAAAGGACATTTATTAGTAAGGGAGAGAAGGAAGCACCAGGATTTAAGGCAGGAAGGGATAGGCTACCTCTGTTTTCTGCAAATTCAGGCGGGTTTATGATCAACACTATACTTACCTATAAAACTGTTAACCCCTGTGCCTTGAAGGGAAAAGGTAAACACCGTCTTCTGGTCTTTTGGTTGTACAATAAGAAGCCCCGGACAATGAGAACCCTTTTTCTGGATTGGTTCCATTGATTCTTTTTCCCTGAAGTCAGGAGGTACCTTTCTAGTAAGAGACCGCCTTTTAAAGTTCTTTCAATATTGGACAGTTCTCCAGCCACTCAGAAATTCATGAGTTCAACACTGAAGGCATCTACTGCAATCTACTGGCTCCCAAATACAACATCTCTAATTCACCCTCTAGATCGGGGGGTTATAAGGACCTTTAAGGCTCATTACACATGGTACTCTATGGAAAGGATTGTCAACACCACGAAAGAGAACCCTGATAGAACATTATGAAGGTCGGGAAGGATCCATTGGAGATGCTGTCATTATAGAAACGGCGGTGAAAACCGTCATGCCTGAAGCAATAAATTTCTGCTGGAGAAAACTGTCTACATGTTATATGTGACTTCACAGGATTTACGACAGAGCCAATCAAGGAAATCATGAAAGATTGTGAGTATGGCAAAAATGTGTGGCAGGGCGGGGCAGAGAGTTGGTTTTAAGATATAGATCTTGAAGAAATTAAAGAGCTAATAGACACCACACTAGAGGAATTAACAGAAGACGACTTGATGGAAATGATTGCTTCCAAACCAGATAGATATGATGAGGAACAAGATGTAGAATAAATAATGCCCCAAAGAGATTGACATTAGACAGTCTTGCAGAAGCGTTCTGATTATTTAAGACTGCTTTTGACTTTTACTACATGGACCCTTCTATGATATGGGCACCCAAACTTAAGCAAATGGTGAAAGGATTGGTACTGTATAAAAACTTTTAGAGAAACAAACTAAAAAGGGAGAAATTATGGTGTATTTTCACAAAGCTACACTGAGTGTGCCTGCCTCACCTGCCACCTCTTCTGCCTCTGCCAGTGCTGAGACAGCAAGACCAGCCCCTCTTCAGCCTGTGAAGACAACAGGGTGAAGACCTTTATGATGATCCACTTCCACTTAATGAATGTATATTTTCCTTATGATTTTCTTAGTAACATTTTCTTTTCTCTAGCTTACTTTATTATAAGAATATACTATATAACACAAATAAAAATTTATCAACTGTTTATCGATAAGCCTTCAGGTCAACAGTAGCCTACTAGTAGTTAAGTTTTTGGGGAGTCGAGTTACATGCAGATTTTTGACTATGCAGGGGGTCGGTGCCCCCCACCCTCCGTGTTGTTTAAGGGTCAACTTATACGAATTCCTTTGGTCATTTCACTAGTCCATTGGGTACTGTGTATTTTGAACCTACCTTATTACCTCCTTGACTCCTGCACACCATTATTTAAATACCATTATAAGAAAAACATGCCATCATTTAATTGTAAGATGCTGCAGATTATAAGATTCATAGGAGATGTTAACATGAAAAAAATTTGCATTTAGAATCAATGAAATATGACAAGGTAATAGTTTCCAAATGTCTATTTGTCATCCAGGATTTCAAGAACAATATATTTTTTTTTTGAGACGGAGTCTCGCTCTGTCACCCAGGCTGGAGTGCAGTGGCGCGATCTCTGCTCACTGCAAGCTCCGCTTCCTGGGTTCACGCCATTCTCCTGCCTCAGCCTCCCAAGTAGCTGGGACTACAGGCGCCCACCACCATGCCTGGCTAATTTTTTGTATTTTTAGTAGAGACGGGGTTTCACCGTGTTAGCGAGGATGGTCTCGATCTCCTGACCTCGTGATCCACCCGCCTCGGCCTCCCGAAGTGCTGGGATTACAGGTGTGAGCCACCGCGCCCGGCCTCAAGAATGATTTTAAGAACAGCACAACACACAAAAAAACACTTTATTAAGTACTTTGTTTTGAAGGCTAGGCTTCTTACATGTGGTTACTGCCCAAGCAATGTTTTGCCTCTTCCAGGGATTAAACCAAGGTTTTTCAGAAAGGAGGTACTATTTGCAAGATTTTACCTGAGGATCATAGTATAGATTCTCATTTGTTGTCTTTGGTAAGATTGAGAGTCAAAAACAGTATCCTACAATGTGAAATCAACATCTGTAATTTTAATTAGATATTAATTAGAAGTGGGGGTTTTCAGTGTGCTAAGTATGGCAGCCATGACTATTTAATCCTTGATTTAGGATTTGATTTTACCTATTTTGCTTCTCCCAGATAAGTCTTTTTTTTTTCTTTTTTAAGAGACAGGATCTTTCTCTGTTGCCTAGGCTGGAGTGGTGTGATTATAGCTCACTGTAACCTCAAACTCCTGTGCTTAATTGATCCTATCACCTTAGCTTCCCAAATAGGTAGGACTACAGGCACGCACCACCACACCCAGCTAATTTGAAATTTTTTTTGTAGAGGTAGGGTCTTGCTGTGTTGCCCAGGCTGGTCTCAAACTCCTGCGCTCAAGTGATCCTCCCTCCTTGACCTCCCAAAGTGCTGGGATTATAGGTGTGAGCCACCACACACTTCCTCATATAAGTCTTAAATGAGCTTCACTAAACACCTTTGAGTAAGAATAGATTCTTTTTTTCAGGGAGAAAAACATCTGTAAGTAAAATTAATATATGCCTGCCTGTATGATTGTTTTATATTTATAAATTAAAACATACTTTTTAATCTCAACTTATAAAATATTGATGGTTTCATCAGATAAAGATTATATAAAAATTATATTTATAAAATTAAGATTAGATATGTGAAAGATTATATTAAAAAGAACATTAGACTTTGAGTTTTATATTTGGCATATACAGAATGTTGAAAAACATAGTTGAAATCAGTGAGATGACGGCATTATTTTCTAACATTATATTTGAACAGAATACATTTCTTTGCCTTTCAGATCAACAACTTCTGGCCATACATCCAACAAGTAAATCAGGAACTTAAATTCCTACAAAGAAGTAATATTCACTAGCAGTATGACTGAATTTTGGAAGATAGTGTGCAGTGCCAGCTTTTATCCTAGAAAGACTACCTCCAAAGGAACTTCACAGAGTGGCATTTTTGGTGAATTACCATTGATCAGAGTCCATTTTTCAACCTCAAAGATGTAGAAAAAAGATCCGTAGATCAAGCAGACCCTTAGAAACAGAGTAGGAATAATAAAATTGGCCCAAAACTGAGGTGTAAACTAAAATGCTTGTTTGCTTACCAAAGGGACTATGTCTTTGTAGTGATTGAAGTGCTGGGTCCCTCCTTTCTGAGAATTGAGGAGTCCAGAAAAACAGATTAATAGTTAAATGATTATTTGTGAACATAAAAATAGAGCCAGGGAAAGTGTATCATTTTGAGGATTGCCTTAGCCATGGTCCTAATGAGACCTCATGAATGAACTGTCTTTCTCCAGAGAAATCACTCAGAATGCTTTTTTGCCTCCGTCTTTTGGTTATACTTCCTGAAGTATACTAACTATAGTAAGGAGAGAGGTGTAATGCCTCTCCTTTACAAACGAGGAGAAGAGTGTTTGAGCAGAGGGAATGTGGAAAAGGAGAATGGTAATGAAATATTTGCCACAGGAACCCTTTCAGGTAGATCAGTTTAGTAAAGAATACATTTATCTAGAAGATGAAGAGCTGGAAATTGAGTCACTTAAAATGATCTATACCTGCATATCTCTTTAAAGGAGTTTATGTACCCTAGAGCCCACAAATTCCTTAGTTTGAGGAATTATGGCATTTGTTTTTATCTTTGTAGATATTGGCTTACTTTCTTTGGATTTTCATTCATGCAATAAATACTTATTCATTGTCTATTTACTAGAATACTGTGTTTTATATCTGATTTCCAGTTGCTTAGTAAATACATGAATTGAATTGAATATTTGTTGAATGTGCCTATTAAATAGATTTCCAAGCTAGTTCCTTCCATAATTTTTGTAGTTAAATGGACTTTATATGTCTTGCCATGAGACCTATTTGAAATATTATTTTGATAAGAAAATGCTATCTGAGTAGAAAATGGTACAGATAACATATTTAGGAATGGGCAAGGATCTTCCTGTGATTGGGTGAAAAAGCCGTACTTAAACACTCTCCCTCTTTCCCATAGAGTGTGCTCTGATATTTCAAAAGAATGTCAAAACCAGTGATTATTCCTTCAGGAATATAAATGTATTTGCTGTCAATTTCAGAAAAGTTGTAGTAACCTGAAGAAGAGACTTTCTGTTTTGTGCTAGAGATAACATGGGACATCCTTTAGGGTAGCATCATAAACATAACTCACAGTCATCTATAGATAATGAATATGATAATTTTGAGATTCACAAAGAGAGGGAACAAGATACCTGAGTAAAAAATCAAGAAAGGAAAATAAAGATATGGAGAGACACATTTATTTATTTAAGGCTCTACTGTGTTTCATAATGGTTGGATTCATTTGCATGTTATTTTGTTTCAAATAAGCATGGATATAGTGGGCAAGATTGACTATGGAAGGCTGTATTGAGCTCTTAGAAAATGGTAGAGGGAGAAAGTTTGATTTATACATTGTACATAATTTTAGGGGGCAAGAAAGGAAATATGGAATGATATTGCTGTAGATGTTTCTTCATTTTGGCCACTAGATGGTGACATTGTATAAAAACAGCTTGGTTGTAGAAGGTAAGATACTCAAAATTTGGTGTGGGATTGGATAGCTGTATTTAACAAGTAAGCCCAAGAGTGTCACTTAATTTTTTTATATTCGTCATTCAGCCTTGTAGCATTTTTGGCGA
Source organism: Homo sapiens (assembly GCF_000001405.40). Lineage (NCBI taxonomy): Eukaryota > Metazoa > Chordata > Mammalia > Primates > Hominidae > Homo > Homo sapiens. The sequence goes on along the minus strand of NC_000001.11, from coordinate 180,416,051 downwards.
ATTTATTGAACTTCTCTTTTTGGTATTTAATTTATATGTGTATACTATCCTGAAGTATTTTGTTAATATCTCTGTGCCTAGCATATTTGGTGATGATAAACTATATACGATAAACAAATACTTAAACAAATGCTACCTGCCCTCCAAAAAATTCACATAGCAAAAAAAACTAGTTGATATATTTGATGTGTCTAAGAAACATATTTAAGATACATTAAACAAAATAGAAATTTATATGTGTTTGTACTGTGTTTACTTTTTTACTGCTTACAACGGTATACATGCACATTTGGAAGTTGGACTCAGGAAGAGGGGCCACTCCAAAGGTCCTCTCATCTGTGAATAACGCTTACATATACTGGGTATGCGTAACCCACATGCCAAGGATCCTTCTGCTTTCCTTTCTGTGCCCTACCACCAACTTCCCATTATTTTCCAATTCAGAAACAATTGGCGAGTAGCACTGTAGTATTGCTATGACTTTAAAAGACACAGTTCTTTCTGTAACAGTTGAAGTTGGTGCCTCTTGAATTAGTGGGTTTTCTGTTACTGGATTGGAAGAAAGTAGGTCCCTATTATCCTTAAGTTGGAACTCTGAAGGTATTCTTTCATAGACATGGTGTTTTTTTTTTTGCGTGTGTTTGTTTGTTTGTTTGAGACTTAGTCTTGCTCTGTCACCCAGGCTGGAGTGCTGTGGTATGATCTCGGCTCACTGCAACCTCTGCCTCCTGGGTTCAAGTGATTCTCCTGCCTCAGCCTCCTGAGTAGCTGGGATTACATGCACGTGTCACCACGCCTGGCTAATTTGTGTATTTTTAGTAGAAACGGGGTTTCACCATGTTGGTCAGGCTAGTTTCGAACTCCTGACCTTATGATCCACCCGCCTTGGCCTCCCAAAATGCAGACCTGATGTTTGTTTTTGGTTTTTTTTGTTTGTTTGTTTTTTGTTTTTGTTTTTGTTTTTTTTATTTTTTTGAGATGGAGTCTCGCTCTGTTGCCCAGGCTGGAGTGCAGTGGCGCAATCTCGGCTCACTGCAAGCTCTGCCTCCCGGGTTCACGCCATTCTGATGCCTCAGCCTCCCGAAACATGGTGTTTTTAATGGTGGTTAAATATGGCTAACGTGGTATTATTTGCAGCTCTACTTTCTAAAATCAGAATTCTCTTTTCTGGGGTTTGACCTCACTTCTTATTTTCTTTACAGAATAAGTGATCGAAAAAGCATTTTCTCTTCTGTTTAACAGGGCCTCTTCAAGTGACCATATAGTCCTATTAAACATGATTTCTTACTTAAAACCTACATCATTTTCTCTAGCTTTGAAGCAAGTTGTTTTTCCCCTGTTCTGTTATAGTCCTTTTTAAGGATCCAGCTTTTACCTTATGTTAATCCTGTGTAGATTTTTGTCATCCCAGCTATACTGTTTGGGTCTTAAAGGCAAACTTTCTTGCTTAGCCTTTTATCTGTTATCAACAAATTCTTGTCCAGTGCCTTACATGTAGTAGGTGCTCAATAAAATACTTAAGCGGCTTAAAGAACACTTAGATGGCTGATGCTAAAGTAGTGTCTTTTAAGAAAATTAGCTATGACTGGAAATAACTTTCTGTATGACACAAGATGTTTAGATTGGCTTTTAGGATAGAAGAACTCCTATGACCAGGTGTTTTGCTTTCTGATGAATGGATGCTCTGGCATTGCAGGTTATAAAACACATCAGTTTGATTTTTGGAACGCAAAATGCATTCCTTTATACTTGTTCATAAAATTCAGTCCACATATGGGGCAGTTTGATTGTTGATATTCTAAATTACTGATCGTTATGGGAGTCACTGATTCTTTTGAGAATCCGATTGAAACAATTCTTCCCCCTATACATACAACATCCAGAAAAATGCACATGCGTTATAAAGATAATTCTGTACATTATTTAGAGAGCTCATAGATGTCATGTTAAGAACTTCTGCTTCAGATTTTGGAATAGACTGCAGCTGATTAGTCAAAAGGCAGCATAATATAATAGAAAAATGTACTGTATACAAAATCAGTTGGTCTAAGTGAGTTCTAGCTCTTATTCCACCTTTGATAAATGTAGTACCATTTGGCAGGTCATTTAACGTCTCCTTTTTGCCTGTTTTTTCATTTGTAAAGTGAAGTTGCATGAAAGATTAAGTGAATTAGCACGTGCAATATACTTAGAAGAGTGCTGGGTATGTAGTATGCTTCCCAGCTTTTCTTTCTAGTCTTTGATTCTACTATCTTATAAAGGATTTTTGAATTTTTTAATGCCCCCCTCTTTTTGTCTAATTGATTTTCTTTGCTTTAAGAAAATCACTTTCATATATATTTTTAAAACTTGAGTAACACTTTATTCTCTTATCCTGTAAGGCAAGTAGGAAACTAAGAACTTTAGTCTTTTCAGGAGTTGGATATATTACAGCTACTGAAAAACTGTTACTGTTCATGTAAAATTTTTTTGTAAGCAGAGTCCATTAACATCTATGTCAGCAGCAAACAGATTGTGTTGAAAATATGTAACTTTAATGTATTACCCAGTAAAAAAAGACCTTTCTTTTTTTTATTCTAGGGAAGAAGACAAAAATATATTTGATTACTGCAGGGAAAACAACATTGACCATATAACCAAAGCCATCAAATCGAAAAATGTGGATGTGAATGTGAAAGATGAAGAGGTATGAAAAACATGCCCTGTTAATTATTTTCCTATGCATGGTTGTTCTGCCCCAGTGCCTTTTCCTAAATGGTAGGCCAATGAACTACAACTCAAAGTACAGTATGGTTAAGAGTATATCAGAATATCTAAATGAGATGGTGTTACCTAGTTAAGATACGTTCTGTGATTATGTCCAACATATTTTTATCTGTGTTTTAGAAGTTACTACCTGAAATTTGTAGGAGTCTGATAGCTTCCATATGTTTATGCTAAAGGGAGAGATTATTCGCATAATAAGTGAAATCTACAGGTAATAGCAAAATCTCATTTATACATAGCTTTCGTGTCTTCCGTTATTATACCTTGAACAGCTAGGTATATTGTTCTTTGCTCAATAAATACATCTTTAGAAAACTGTCAGAATTTTGGTAAATCAATAATTTAAATGCTGGCCTACTAATTAAAGGAATCCTATAGTAAATTATTTTATAAAATATATTACTCCTTTTTTTGGAGGGAGAAACAGGGTCTCACTCTGTTGCCCAGGCTGGAGTGCATGGGTGCGCTCATAGCTCACTGCATCCTCAAACCCATGGGCTTACGCAATCCTCTTGCCTCAGCCTCCCAAGTAGCCAGGACTACAGGCATGTGCTGTCACTCCTGGCTAATTTTTTTATTTTTTGGGGAGATGGGGTCTTGCTATGTCGCCCGGGTTGGTCTTGTCCTCCTGGCCTCAAATGATCCTCCTCCCTCAGCTTCCCAAAGTTTTGGGATTATAGGCATGAGCCACTGTGCCTTGTGTATTACTTCTTAATTTATTTGTGTTGTGAATAATACCATTCACATACTGAGTTTTAACTGACCCTGAATTATAGCTGTTAAAAGAGCAAAATTTGCTAACTCACTTCTAATCATTTTCTCATTCTTTGGTGATGCTGTGAAAGATTACTGAAATGGCCAAAGGTAGTAATTGTTAGGAAGAAAGCATTAAATGATCATAGATAATCTGTAGAATAGATAATAATCAACTTATATGTAATTCAGAGCTCCCTATACAAAAGGTTAGCCCTTAATATTATCTCACCTTTAGGCAACATCTTTCCTGTGATAATATTGTCAATGGTGTCTGGAATTGAAAATGTAAGACTATGATACTGCACAAAGGGACTAGTAATACTATGTGTTTTTCACTAAGTAGTGAAACAAAATAATACCAGGTCTTCTGATTCTAATTAGGTTTGTGGTTTTTTGTATTTTGGGTTTTTTTTTTTTTTTGCCTTTCAGAATCAAAATACAGGCATACCTCTGAAATATTGCAGATTCAGTTCCAGACCACTGCAATAAAGTGACTATCGCAATAAAGCGAGTCACATGAAATTTTTGGTTTCCCAGTGCACATAAAAGTTGTGTTTACTGGCCAGACGCGGTGGCTCACGCCTGTAATCCCAGCACTTTGGGAGGCCGAGGTGGGCAGATCACGAGGCCAGGAGCTTGAGACCAGCCTGGCCAACATAGTGAGATCCCATCTCTACTAAAAATACAAAAAAAAATTAGCCAGGCGTGGTGGTGGGTGCCTGTAATCCCAGCTACTCGGGGGAGGCTGCAGTAGGAGAAACGCTTGAACCTGGGAGGCAGAGGTTGCAGTGAGCCTAGATCGCGCCATGGCACTCCAGCCTGGGCAACAGAGCGAGACTCCATCTCAAAAAACAAACAAACAAAAAAGTTGTGTTTACACTGTACTGTAGTTTATTAAGTGTAGAGTAGCATTATGTCTTTAACAAAGTACATACCTTAATTTAAAATACTTTATTACTAAAAAATTCTGACAATCATCAGACTTGGCTTCAGCAAGTCATAATCTTCTTGCGGTAAAAGGTCTTGCCTCAGTGTTGATGGCTGCTGACCGATCACAGTGGTAGTCACTGAAGGTTGGGGTGGCTGTGGCAATGTCTTAAGTCAACAGTGAAGATAGCTACATTGATTGAGTCTTCCTTCGTAAAAGATTACTCTGTACATGCAATGCTGTTTGATAGCATTATACCCACAGTGGAACTTCTTTCAAAATTGTAGTCAATCCTTTCAAACCCTGCCACTGCTTTATCAACTGAGTTTATGTTGTACTTTAAAATTTTTGTTGTTATTTCAACAATGTTCACAACATCTTCGCCGGAGTAGATTCTGTCTTAAGAAACCACTTTGTTTGCTTATCCATAAGAAGCTACTCCTCATCTGTTCAAGTTTTATCATGAAATTGTAGCAATTCCATCACATCTTCAGGTTCCACTTCTAATTTTAGTTCTCTTGCAGTTACATCTGCAAGTAACTTTTCCACTGAAGTCTTGAATCCTTATCTGTGTCATCCATGAAGGTTGGAATCAACTTCTTCCAGACTCCTGTTAATGTTTATATTTTGACCTCCTCCCATCACACATGTTCTTAATGGCATCTGGAATGGTGAATCCTTTCCAGAAGGTTTTCAGTTTGCCCAGATCTATCAGAGCAATCATTGTCTATGGCAGCTATAGCCTTATAGAATGTATTTCTTTAATAATAAAAGTTGGAAGTCAAAATTATTCCTTGATCCATGGACTGCAAAATGAATGTTGTGTTAGCAAACAAGAAAACAACATTAATTTCCTTATACATTTCCATGAGCACTCTTGGATGACCAAGCACATTGTCAATGAGCAGTAATATTTTGAAAGGAATGTTTTTTTTTTTCCTGAGCAGTGGGTATCAACAGTAGGCTTAAAATATTCAGTAAACCATTTTGTAAAGTAAACAGATATACTGTCATCTAGGCTTTGTTTTCCCATTTCAAAAGCACAGGCAGAATAGATTAAGCATACTTTTTAAGGGCCCTAGGATTTTCAGAATGGTAAATGAGCATTGGTTTCAGCTTAAAGTCAATGGCTGCATTAGCCCCTAACAAGAGTGTCAGTCTATCTTTTGAAGCTTTGAGGCCAGGTATTGACTTCTCTCCAGCCATGAAAGTCCTGGACGGCATCTTCTTTCAATAGTAGGAGTAGTCTATTTTCTCTACATTGAGGATCGTTGTTGAGTGTAGTCACCTTTATCGGTTACTTTAACTAGGTCTTCTGGATGACTTGCTGCAGCTTCTGCATCAGCACTTGGTGCTTCACCTTGTACTTTTATGTTATGGAGATGGCCTCTTTCCTTTAACCACATGAACCAGCCTTTGCTAGCTTCAGACTTTTCTTCTGCAGCCCCCTTACCTTTCTCAACCTTCATAGACTTGAAGAGAACTAGGGCTTTGCCCTGGATCAGGCTTTGGCATAAGGGAATGTTGTGGCTGGTTGAATCCAGACCACTCACTTTTTCCATATCAGCAATAAGGCTTTTTTACTTTTCTATCATTTGTATGCTCACTGAAATAGCACTTTTAATTTCCTCAAGAATTTTTCTCTGACATTCACAAATTGGCAGTTTGGCACAAGAGGCCTAGCTTTTGGCCTGTGTTGGTTTTCAGTATGCCTTCCTCACTAAGCTTAATCATTTCTGGCATTTGATTGAAGGTGAGAGACGGTGCAGCCCTTTTCCTTTCATTTGATACTAGGTTTTACTTGAAACTTAGAGACTATTGTATTACTGGCTAATAATTTCAATATTTTTGTGTCTGAGTGAATAGGGAAGCCTGAAGAGAGGGGGAGAGACCAGGAACAGCCAGTCAGTGGAGCAGTCAGAACACACAAAGTATCTGTTGGTTAAATTTGCCATCTTTCTCAGTGTGGTTTGTAGCACTCCAAAACAATTACAATAGTAACATCAGAGATCACTGATCATTACCCTAACAGATATAATAATAATGAAAAACTTTGAAGTATTGCAAGAATTACCTCAGTGTGACACAGACATGAAGTGAGCACATCTTGTTGGAAAAATGGCACCAATAGTTGGCTTAACTCAGGGTTGCTACAAATCTTCAATTTACAAAAAACACAGTATTTGCAAAGTGCAATGAAGCATAGTGCAATAGAACAAGGTATGCCTGTATAGCTTTCTTTTTTAAATAAATTTGGCATGATTGCTTCCCTTGATTTTTTAAATTGTAGTTTTTTATCTTTGTGCTTGTGAGTTAAAATTTTTATAAAGTTAATACATTTGTTTTTTTAAAAAATCAAATGTTACTATTAGTCTTATAAACAAAAAAATTCTCTCTTACCTGCATCCTTCTTACATTTTATTCTAGCTCCTTTAAGGCAAAAATTTTCTCTTTTTTTTAGACAGATTCTCAGGCTGGAGTGCAGTGGCATGATCAGGGCTCACTGTAGCCTCTGCCTCCTGGGCTCAAGCGATCCTCCCACCTCAGCCCCCAGGTAGCTAGGACCACAGGTGTGCACTACCATGCCTGGCTAATTTTTGTATTTTTAGTAGAGATGGGGTTTCACCATGTTGGCCAGGCTGGTCTCGAACTCCTGAGCTTTAGTAATCAGCCTGCCTCAGCCTCCCAAAGTGTTAGGGTTACAGATGTGAGCCACTGCACCCGGCCAGACTTCCAGTTCTTTTAATGTGTCTTTAGCACCTTACCTACATAATTCTAAATAATATACTTCTATTTCTTGATTTTTCAACTTTAGACATTATTGATTTGTTTCTGTGTTATATTTAGATTTAACTGTTTTACTCATCTTCCCTCTCTCTCTCTGACCCTCCTAACGTAATTATATCACAACTTTTTTATTTTATTTTATTATTATTATACTTTAAGTTTTAGGGTACATGTGCACAATGTGCAGGTTAGTTACATATGTATACATGTGCCATGCTGGTGTGCTGCTCCCATTAACTCATCATTTAGCATTAGGTATATCTCCTAATGCTATCTGTCCCCCTCCCCTCACCCCACAACAGTCCCCAGAGTGTGATGTTCCCCTTCCTATGTCCATGTGTTCTCATTGTTCAATTCCCACCTATGAGTGAGAACATGCAGTGTTTGATTTTTTGTCTTTGCGATAGTTTACTGAGAATGATGATTTCCAATTTCATCCATGTCCCTACAAAGGACATGAACTCATCATTTTTTATGGCTGCATAGTATTCCATGGTGTATATGATATCACAACTTTTAATTTCAGCTTTCTGATTGAATCTCTGTTGAATCAATATTAATATTATTATGACTATGTAAATACTCATTGCTAAGCTGTGGATTGTACTTGTGTGTATCAGTCAGCTTTTGCTGTGGCACAACCCCCAAATTTCAGTTGCTTACAGCAACAAACATTTGTTTTTTTGCTTATATCACTGTCTCATGAGATGAGTGACACCATCTCATTTATATATTCTGATAATGCTCTTACTTGATTTCTTTATGTTTATCTGATATTTCAAAAGGGTTTTGGATCAGTTGAGACAGTCTGTATATTTTATCTACTTTTATTATTAATAGTATGAGTGAAGGATGATGATAATATAACAAATCAATAAGTAGGCCACTTAACTTTTCAAAGTCACAGTTTTTTCACTGGAAGTATCTTGTGTGTACTATATGGTGCCTGTTAATATTTATCTTTCAAATAACACATAATACTTTATACAATGCATGTGATAGTTTACAGAGTACTTTCACTTATTACTATATTATCTCTACAACAGTTCTCTAAGGCAGATATTGTCCTTGTTTTACAGACAGGAACTGAAGTTCAGAGACCTACATTTACTTGCTCAAATCCATATAACTGCTAAGTAGAAACCAGGTCTGGGAGAGTATTCTTCCTACCACTAGATTTTAGAAGGATAAATAAAAAGAAGAAAAAGAAGGATAAGCAGTTGTCATTTGGCCTTCCCTGTGTTATGCTCTGGTTTGCAGCAATTTCTTTTATAAAATATTACTGGAAGTCAAATCCACATGTGACCTCCACAAAGATCACTGGATGGACAACAGTGATAGGGGTGGAATAAGTGCCTAGAACACAGATAGCTTACACTAAATAACACATATTTTGTGTGTGTAAAGACAAGGAAAACTTGGCAAAATGTATTGTTTCTGCCATTTTGTTACTTTGATGTAGTGCTGCTTTCCAGATCTTCCAGTTTGTTAACCATGCAGCTACCTTTACCCTCAGCCTGCCAGAACGTTGTATTTCATGAACAGATGAAGTGCTTACACATTCATAGACTGAGACGCCAAGAATTCAGTTGGGTTCTCTCATTGCTCCAAGCAGATTTCTGCCCTCTCAGCCATGACAATTCAGGCTGAGCTTTGAATACTGATGGCAAACCCTTTTATTATTAATCAGGGATTTGTATGAATTAATTTAAGAACATAAGGGAGGTGGGAGCTTAAAATCAAAATCAAACTTAACATCCCAAAATAAAATAAATAGTATTGCTTCATCACATTTAAAGCTCTAGCAAATAAAACAATTTGGTAAGCTTTGATGATGGACTAAAAGTGTGTAGCCTCAAAATTAAACTTCTAGTTAAATACTTTTAACCCTTTCTGTCCTTTTGACGTTTTCTTATTATGAGTTGGGTAACAATTATAGTTTTGAAAGGACATTCAGTTCTTTTTTGTATTTATCTGATATTTGAAATTGAGATATTTCCCTACTGATTCCCTAAGATTCTCTGGGATAATATACGTTTTTACTTAAAATCTTAATTCAGCAGGTTCAACCTAATTTTATGACTAAAAGTCATGTTTATTGCACTTAAAATTTGCTGTGAGCACATAAAGAAATTTAATTATAATAATAAAGTAAGCTACATTTGTATTCCCACACATTGAAATAAATACATTATTCACTGATAGCTATGAATCTATAATTTATAAATTATTATTTGAAATACATACATTTGGATCTAAGTATTGTATATGAACAAATATATATGAAATGCCTTTTAAATAAAATGTATTTGTATTTCATAATGAAGTTATTTTATTGTACATAAGTATAATTCCTAGTGTACATCTTTTATTCATTTAAGTTGTAATTACTACAGGTTGGATATTCCTCATCTGAAAATCCAAAATCTGGAATGATCCAAAATCTGAAACTTTTTAGCAACAGTGTGACACTCCAAGGAAATGTTCTTTGGAGCACTTTGGATTTCAGACTTTTGGATTAAGGAGGGGCCATCAATAAGTATATAATGTAAATATTTTTTTTAATCTAAAATTTTAAACACTTCTGGTCCCCAGCATTTGGGATAAGGGATACTCAACCTATGCTAATATAGTAAGGCATATATTTCTAATTTGAGAAAATTACCTGGTATTTCCTACTGGTATAGTAATTGGACATTGTCTGTATTTTGCATAATAGAAAAAAGTTTCGTAGTTATGCTTAGATGTTTTAGGGTCCAAGTTTGTAACACCATGGTGTCATATGTACTTTTTTAAAAAATTAAATTACAACTTTTATTGTGTTTTCAGTCATTTGAGAAATGCTTGAAAATTGAATTCAAAATATGAAGGGAAAAGTTAAAGAGAAGATCTTAAAGCCTACTTATTTTTTTAAATGGCGGTTCAATTTTTATCCTTGACCCACATTAGTACAGCTCTTCACACATACCAAATATTTATGATTCTTCCAAGAAAATATTTTTTAAGGGGCAGGGATGATTTCAATAATTTGTGAAGTGTATTTAAAGTATGGGGAGAGTATTTGCTATCAAACATCAGGCTCAAATTATGTTTACATAATTCTTGTCACACGTTATTTCTCAGATTAGTGTACTATACAATCAACACTAAATACATGCTTATTGATAGTATTTAAATAGTATTTTAAATCTTTGAAGTAATTTAAATGTTTTAGATCAAATGTAACAGTGTAATATTTTAGCAAAATAGATGACCATCCAGTGCACCTGTTTATCATCAGTCCCCCCAAAAGCATTCATACATAGTTCATTGGTTTTCCATAGATTCTTATCTAATGCACTCCCAAATTCCACTTTCACTGGGCTGCTTCTTTAGTTACATTCTTTCCTTTTCTGTCCTTTTGACAGTATAATTGTTGTCATTAGCCATTTTCCGTAGTCTATTGATTCTTTCAGATACTTTGAAGAAAGTCACCTTTCTCTTGACTACCATTCGTTTCCTTTTCTACTTTGTTTTAAATCTGTGGCTCCTAACAATACAATTTGCATGCTTTTGGCTTGAGAAACTGCTGCAAACTCTGGTGAAACTGTGACAGTACTAAGTAACAGAAAAGCAAAAGATTTAAGAGGCAGGGTCGGTATACTGAGACTAAATTTATGCAGTTATATGAGATTTGAGAAAGGAAGGAAGAAAAAATGCATCCTCTTAAATCACTTTCTATATCAGGGTATATATTATTTTGGTTATATAGTTGATTAAGATGTTAATTTGAAGGAACTTTATTCACACTAATGACTGAGAAATGCGTTACAAATTGTCTATTACGCTTATTTGCATTCATGTAGGCAGTGCCATTTAAAAATCAAGTCTATGGTCATGTGTTGCATCAGAAACTTAGATTTAATACAAAATCAGAAAATAGTGAAAGTAGCTTAAATCCTATGAGCTTTGGCAACTTATTTTGGGTATTTTTTAATTGTGGTAAAATATACATAAAATGTATCATTTTAATCATTTTTAAATCTACAGTTCTCTGTCATTAAATATGCTCACATGAGGCCAGGTGCTGTGGCTCACGCTTGTCATCCTAGCACTTTGGGAGGCCAAGGCAGGTGGATCACCTGAGGTCAGGAGTTCAAAACCAGCCTGGCCAACATAGTGAAACCCCATCTCTACTAAAAATACAAAAATTAGCTGAGCATGGTGGCACATGCCTGTAGTCCCAGCTGCTTGGGAGGCTGAGGCAAGAGAATCACTTGAACCCAGGAGGCAGAGGTTGCAATGAGCTGAGATCGTGCCACTGGACTCCAGCCTGGGCGACAAAGTGAGACTCTGTCTCAAAAATACACATATGTATATATATATTTTTTTCACATGAGCCAAGTGTAGTGGCTCATGCTTTCAGGCACAAGGAATTCTTGAGCGCAGGAGTTTAAGACTAGGCTGAGCAACATAGTGAGATCCCGTCTCGTGATAAAAAATGAATAAATAAAACAATACATTCACATGTGTAACCACCACCACCATACAACTTTTTTATCTTCCCCAATTGAAACTCTGTACCAAGCCAGGTGTGGTAGCTGATGCCTTAATCTCAGCACTTTGGGAGGCTGAGGTGGGCAGATCACCTGAGGTCAGGAGTTTGAGACCAGCTTGGCCAACATGGTGAAACCCCGTTTCTACTGAAAATACAAAAATTAGTCAGGCGTGGTGCTGCACTTCTGTAATCCCAGCTACTCGGGAGACTGAGGCAGGAGAATCTCTTGAACCCAGGAGGTGGAGGTTGCAGTGAGCTGAGATCGCACCACTGCACTCCAGCCTGGGTGACAGAGTGAGACTTTGTCTCAAAAAAAAAAGAAACTCTGTACCCATTAAACACCCCCCATTCCTCCCTTCCCCTGGCCCCTGGCAACTACCATTCTATTTTCTGTCTCTGAATTTGACTACTCCAGGTACTTCATTTAAGTGGAGTCATAACAATATTTGTCCCTTTTGACTGGCTTATTTCACTCAGTGTAACGTCTTCAAGGTTCGTTCATGTTGTAGCATGTGTCAGTTTCCTTGCTTTGTAAGATGAATAATATTCCATTGTATGCATATACCACATTTTGTTTATTCAGATATCCATTGATGGACACCTTGGTTTGCTCTTACCTTTTGACTGTTGTGAATTATGCTCTGAACATAGGTGTACAAATTTTTGTTTGATTTTTTTTCCCCAAGAATCTATTATGAAAAATGTTAAACATACAGAGAAGTTGAATTTTACAATGAACATCCGTATTTCTACCATCTCGATTCTACCATTAATATTTTACTATGCTTGCTTTATCAATATCTAGACATTCATCAAATCTTTTTTATTTTTTGATACATTTTGGAGTACACAGACAACAGTACACTTTCTTCTAAATATTTTAACATGCGTATAACTAACTAGAATTCAGTATTTGGTTTTTCTTTTAAAATAATATTTATATACAATGAAATGCACAAGTCTTAAGTACACATTTGATGAACTTTGACAAATACATATACCTGTGTAACTGAAGTGCCTATCAAGATATAGAACATTGCTGTCGCCCCAGAAAGTTTCCTCATGCCCCTTCCCAGCCACTGTTTTCTTTTAATCCCAAAAAGGTAACCACCGTTTTGATATTATTCTACCATAGATAAGTTCTGCTTGTTCTCGAACTTTATATATATGGGATTATACATATGTACTCCTCTGTGTAGGGCATCTTTCATTCAGCATAATGTTTTTGAGACTCATCCATATTGCTATAGTTCAGTACTTCCTTCTTTTATACTGCTGAATATGTTCCATCATGTGAATATACCATTGTCTTATGATGGATACCTGGGCTGTTTTCATGGCAACTTCCTATTATTATTGCTGTTAATTACCTCCTTTATACAGGATGAAATAATACCTCCCTTTCATATTCCTTCACCCTTAAGTCACTGACATTATAGCTTAGTAATTTCTTGTGAAGGGATTTTTTTTTTTTTCTTTTGAGACAGAGTGTCACTGTGTTGCGTAGGCTGGAGTACAGTGACGTCGATCACGGCTCACTGCAGCCATGACTTCATGGGCTTAAGTGATTCTCCTGTTGAGCCGAGCCTCCTGAGTAGCTGGGACTACAGAAGTGTGCCACCATGTCCAGCTAATTTTTGTAGAGATGGGGTTTCACCATGTTCCCCAGGCTGGTCTCATACTTGCCCGCTTTGGCCTTCCAAAATACTGGGACTATGGGCATGAGCCACCGCACCCAGCCAGATTTTTTAAAGTAGTGTATTCAAAATCTTTCTCAATTTCCTGACAAATAAGCAACACCATTTTCCCCTACCCTAGATCTTTGCCAGTGAAAGAGATCAAGATCCAGTAGTTGCTGATTTTAAGTGTGTATCACACATACTGGTGTGTGATTTTCTTTATAATGCTCGTAAGTAAATTATCCCACAAGCAGTCATTGGCTTCCATGCTAGGTATAATCTTGAGATGTTAGACTATCTTTCAATCTTATTCCTAAGTGCTTGAAATAACATTGTCATTTCACTATGGACAGGGAAGTGAAAGAAGGAGGCATTGTGTAATTTCTGGTGATTGCAGGTAGGGGAGTTCTCACTATGGCCAGCTGCTACAGTAGTAGCAGCAAAAGGTAGAAGATAGTACAGAGGAGATGGGGACATTACAGGTTGTTGGTAGTTGAAGTCAAGCTCTACTACAATTATAAATTGATACCCAATTTTTTTGCAGAGAGAAATTCAGATCTACCTGTTTGCAGTATTTCATTTGCTAATTAGACAGTACCATACCATATACTATATGTGTTTGATAGAATGACAGGACAACTCTTACAAATTTAAATATACCAAATTTGCCATGTTTTTATCTGTTATACGTATGGTATATGTACTTTGTATTTGATCTCAAAATATCATAAGAACATCAAGACTCATTTTATAATAGAATCTCCTTCCTTCCCTCCTCTCCCCTCCCCTTACCATTTTTTTTTTTTTTTTCTGGACAGAATTTTGCTCTGTTGCCCATGCTGGAGTACAGTGGCACGATCTCATCTCACTGCAACCTCCACCTCCCAGGTTCAGGCGATTCTCCTGCCTTCACCCTCCCAAGTAGCTGGGATTACAGGCACGCGCACCACCACACCCCACTAATTTTTTGTATTTCTAGTAGAGACAGCATTTCACCATGTTGGCCAGGCTTGTTGCGAACTCCTCACCTCAGGTGATCTTCCCTCCTCGGACTCCCAAAGTGCTGGGATTACAGATGTAAGCCACCGCGCCTGGCCAGAATCTCTTCTCTTTTTTTTAATTTTGTGATATTGAGGAGAAAAGTCTAATTAAAAAAAAATTCTACATGGTTTATGGACGAGTTACTAAGGAAATCAGAGAAGCATTTCATATATTAAGATGTGCTCTCTGTATTTTCCAGAAGGTATGAAAGTAATACCACTTAATAGGTTAGCTGCTACCCTGCACTTTCAAAGCACTTTAGAGTCATTCATCTGTCTGAGGTAGGACAGTGTTAGCACCCTTGGTTAATAGATGAGAACTCTTTTTCTCCCTGCATCTTACTGTATTTGAGTTTCAGAATTTATTCAGGGCTCTCCAGTGTTCGTGGTCTTCTGGTGGCCTAACAAAGGTTCCTTTTAATAATGGCTCTCCCTCACCAATCTCCTGAATACTTCTGGGATATTTTTCCAGAAGAGTTTTAAAAATTAGAAACAAAGAATTGTCACTTATTTTGGTAGCAATAAAAATAAATTTAACTTGAAAATTTATAAGAGATTATATCACTCATGGAAAAAGATAAAACAATTATATAGACAAATATGTAAAATAGTTCATAAATTTAGATAAAGTCTTAGAAGATATAGCTTTAATGCACACCTAAGTCATGGTTTTCCTTCTGGAGGAGAGATTTTGGAATTCTTTACCTAAAATAGTTTAATAATTGTAGTGGTCTAGGTGTGTTTGTGGTTAACAAAGAGAAAGGAAAGAAACCACAGGTGTTTATTTCCTGATTTTATCATGATTAATTATAAGGATAGCATCTCTGCAAATTACTGGTTATGTTAGTGAGTGAATAATAATCTTAAATTAGAGCATGTTTATAGGAATTTTATAATTTGAAGAAGTAAAAGGTATCACAGACACCTCATTTTGCTGGTTTTTGTTCATTTAAATATAGAGCATCTTGAAGGTTAAAATTCCAAAGCCTGATTTGTTTTGTCTGTGTTTATTTACAAGTATGTTTAATCCTACTCTTGTTTTTGAGCTTTTTAATACTGCATGGAATATTAATCATTAGGTGGTCTTAATGTAGATATCTTCAGTGCTTCTACAGAAAGTCATTGTCAGAGAATTCATTCTAATTCAAGGTTAATTAGTGTACCATTAAAATAATGTGTTACAAGAATTAATTGCATTGCAGGTCAGAAAATGTGTTAAAAAGTATGGTGTAAATGTCTGAGAGCACATCATCCTTCTTAAAACATTGCTATACATGTGCCCCGCTTCTGGAAAATATATCCAAAGTGAAAATCACTATGGAGGTCCAGTCATAGGTGTTTCCCCTAAAGTAAATTTTTGGCATCACATGGAAAATTTAAAATATGGGAAATTTAAAATATAACTCCCATTAACAGTAAAATGTGTTGCTTGTCAGCTTTACCATTGAAACAGCTAAGGATTTACATTTTAGCTTTAGTTGATATAACCCTATTGGGTCAAACCTAAGGAAAATTCAGGAACGTGGCTGAGAGATAGAAATTATCTATACATCTTATGGTAAAAGTACAAGACATATTATGTTGTCCTACTTAACTATTACATAGTTTTTGTAAGTACCCTATGTAAATATATCACACATCGTCTTAACTATGTATAACTCTTGTCAATAGTTTAACCTAATAGCCATAAAATGCACACTTACAATTAGAACTAAAAATGATAGACTTTGAAATTTTGTCTGATTCTTTTAATGTATTAATAAATGCTGTGAAACAATAACATGGACCTGTAGAATATTTTATTCATTAGTATTTATTCAGAGTCTCATTAAAATATCTAATTGTTCATATGGAGGATTTCTGAATTAGAGCCCTAGTAACAGCAGGTCACATTAGAGCTACAAAAATTTTAACATAGGAAACTGCTCTAGAACTCAACAATACATTTTCACCTGGACTTTTAGAATTGTCTCCACTGAAAAATAACTTCTGGCTGGGCGTGGTGGCTCACGCCTGTAATCCCAGCACTTTGGGAGGCCAAGGCAGGTGGATCACAAGGTCAGGAGTTCGAGACCAGCCTGGCCAACATGGTGAAACCCCATCTCTACTAAAAAGAAATACAAAAATTAGCTGGGCATGGTGGCGGGTCCCTGTAATCCCAGCTATTTGGGAGGCTGAGGCAGAACTGCTTGAAACCGGAAGGCAGAGGTTGCAGTAAGCGGAGATCCCGCCACTGCACTCCAGCCTCAGCAAAAGAGCAAAACTCCGTCTCAAAATAAATAAATAAATAAATAAAAAATAACTCCTAGTGGGCTCTGAACAAGGCAAAATAAATTTTTTTTATTTTGATACTACAATAAATTGTGAATGATTTGACCACACTTTTTCTCTGCTTTCCCCCCTCTTAGGATTTTGTGTAAGCTTATTAGAAAACAGATATTTACAGGTAAATAAAAGTAAATCAAGCAAATGAAAGCAAAAGAAGAAGACAATTTGTAGGGAAGAAGTTTTCCTACTTTGTTTTTTGTTTAAAGAATAGATCCTAGTTTAATTATTTGAAATAATAGGTATGTGAAGAAAGTCTGAATGATAAAAAGAATGTAGGCAGTTTTAGAAAAGCTATTTCTTGAAAGGTGCTTTTTACTTTAAATCAATCCTTGCCCTAGCTTATATCTATTTAAATCTTTTCTAAAATCACATAAAGTAGGGATGTCAACTTAATGTGGAAAAACATTCCATTCTTTATAAATGACAACATCATCACCATCCTCAGAAAGTAGTAAGCCATGCATCACTCATTTATTCAGAAAAGCCCTTAGCTTTTGGGGTTTTGTTTATTCTTTTGAACCAAGTAGGCTTTTTTTCATTAACTAAAACAAGATTTTCTGGCAGTAGAGAATAGAAATAACACACGTAATAGTAACTGTGAGTCTTTGGTAGACAAGTGTTAAAATTAATATTTCATATTTAGTACTTTATCTCCTAATATTTAGTCATCCATTCTCTTTTACAAGTGGCTTTCACAGTCAACTGTTTGGTGATAGACACTGATAGATTGTACTAGTGTTTTTGAGGTATTTCAGAGTGTAAACTTGCAATAGTAAGGAGAAATGCTTATTTTCAAACTGGTTAAATAATCTTTTTAAGGAATGAACTCGAGGAAATTTAGTTATCATACATTTAGATTATGATTTCTACCTAGGTTTAAGTGCTTGCTTTTTTATTCTTATGATTTCTTTCCAGAAAAAAAGAAATGGACATAATATTTAAGAAAACTATACTTTATATTTAAAGTACAGTTTACAAAGCATTTTCTTACAGTTCATTTAGCAGGTATTATTTATATTATTGTTGTTATTACTATCATTATCTCCACTCTGTAAGTGAACTGATTGAGCTGAAAGCAGGCATTGGGCTAGTACAGACCCAGAAGTAGATATTGGGGCTTCCTATTGATTGTTTTCATTGTTGTTGTTGTTGTTGTTGTTGTTGTTGTTGTAGTTTTTGAGATGGAGTTTTGCCCTGTCACCCAGGCTGGAGTGCAGTGGTACAATCTCGGCCCACTGCAACCTCCGCCTCCCGAGTTCAAGCGATTCTCCTGCCTCATCCTCCCAAGTAGCTGGGATTACAAGCACCCATCACCATGCCCAGCTAATTTTTGTATTTTTAGCAGAGACAGGGTTTCACCATGTTGGCCAGGCTGGTCTCGAACTCTTGACCTCAAGTGATCCACCCACCTCGGCCTTTCAAAGTGCTGGGATTACAGGCATGAGCCACCATGCCCTGCCCCATTGATTGTTTATTGCTTTTTCCATAGTGCATTTTTTATATCAATCATTCTTAGAATAATTAACCCATAATTTTTTATATTTCCTTGTCTTTCTTAAAACATTATATCTTTTACATGGCTCCACAACTGAGATAACAAATTCATTTATCTTCTGTGTTTTTAGGGTAGGGCTCTACTTCACTGGGCCTGTGATCGAGGACATAAGGAACTAGTCACAGTGTTGCTGCAACATAGAGCTGACATTAACTGTCAGGTAAGAGTGATAAAGAAGAGCTTTTATTTTTTAAATTGAAGTATAATTCGCATAACATAAAATTTACCAGATTAACTCTTTTGAAATGTGCAATTCAGTGGCGTTTAGTACATTTCACAATGTTGTGTAATCATTGCTACTATATAGTTCCGTAATACTGTTGTCACCGCAAAAGAAAACCCTGTTCCCACTAAGCAGTCACTTTTTAACATTTTTTTTATTTCTCCCCTTGCCCCAGACCTTGGCAACCACTAATCTGCTTTCTGTTTCTATAGATTTGCCTATTCTGGATATTTTATATAAATGGGAATCTTAAAATTTATGGTTGTGTTTGACTTCTTTTACTTAGCATAAAGTTTTGAAGGTGTATCTATATTGTAACATGTAACAATACCTCATTCCTTTTTATGGCTGAATTTTTTGGATATCCCAAATGTTGTTTATCCATTAATCAATTGATGGGCAGCTTGAGTTGTTTCTGTCTTTTGGCAGTTGTGAATAATGCCACTGTGAACATTTGTGTCCTTGTATTTTTATTTGAATACCTGTTGTCAGTTCTTTTGGTTGTAGACATAGGAGTGGAGTTACTGGGTCATATGGTAATTTGATGTTTAACTTTTTGAGCAACTGACAAACTGTTTTCCATAGGAGCTACACCATTTTTCATGCCCAGCAGCTGTGTATGATGCTTCCAGTTTCACCACATCCTCACCAATACTTGTTATTTTTGCTTTTTTAAAAATAACTATTTTAGTGGGTATGAAGTGATATCTCATCATGGTATAATTTTGATTTACATTTCCCTAATGACTAATGATATGGAGTACCTTTTCATACGCTTGTTGACTATTTGCATATCTTTTCTGGAGAAATGTCTGTTTAAGTCTTTGCCCATTTTAAAGTGATTTGTCTTTTTGTTGTTGAGTTGTAGGAGTGCTTTATATATTCTGGATACTAGACCCTTATCAGATACATGATTTGCAAGTGTCTTCTCCCTTTTTGTGGGTTTTCTCTTTATTTTCTTGATGGTGTCTTTTGATGCACAGGTTGTAAATTTTGATGAACTCTATCATTTGTTTTCTCTTTTTTCCTTTTGTTTATGGTGTCATACTTTAGAAACCATTGCCAAATCCAAGGTCATTAAAATTTACCCCTTTCCAGAACCTAAGGTTTTGGTTTTCTTCCTCTTTTTTATTGTGGTAAAATACTCATAGCATAAAATTTACCATTTTAACAATTTTAAGTGTATAGTTATGTGGCATTAAATACATTTGTATTGTGTGTGCCCATCACCAGCACCCATCTCCAGAACTTTTTCATCTCCCCCAACTGAAACTCTAACCATTAAACACTAATTTCCCATTCCTCCATTCCCTCAGCCCCTGGCAACTACCATTCTACTTTCTATTTCTGTGAATTTGACTACTCTAGGTACCTCATATAAGTGGAATCATACAATATTTGTCCCTTTTTGACTGGCTTATTTCACTCAGCATAACATCATCAAGGTTCATCCATGTGGTTGCATGTGTCAAAATTTCCTTCCCTTTTAAAGCCGAATATTATTTGTATGTATTTACCATACTTTGTTTATTCCAATATCTGTGGCACTTGGTTTGCTTTTACCTTTTGGCGATTATGAATAAGGATGCTGTGAACATGGGTGTACAAATGTCTGTTCAAGTCCCTGCTTTCACTTCTTTTGAGTATATACCCTAGAAATAGAATAGCTTGATCATATGATAATTCTACGTTTAATTTTTTGAGGAATTGCCATATTGTTTCCCACAGTAGCTGCACCATTTTACATTCCCACCAGTAATACACAGATATTCAAATTTCTCCGCATCCTTGTCCACACTTGTTGTTTTCTGTGCTTTTGACAATAGACATCCTAATGACTGATTTGGGTACCTTTTATTTCATTTTCTTGCCTAATTGCTCCGGCTGGGCCTTTCAGTACTAGGTTGAATAGAAGTGGTAACATAGGCATCTTTGTCTTTTTACACTTAGGTTCTGGAAAAAGCTAAAAATAAAAATAAAAAAAAATCACACAACACTGGTGTTACCATAAATCATGGTAATATCATCATTAAATTTGACTACCAAATCTTCTGGTCTTTATCTTCAGAATACCTCCTATTTCACAGAGAAAGTAGAATAAATGTTTATCACCAACCCAGATCTCAGCCAGTAGCTCCAGACACACATATCTCTTCTTTGATATCCCTCAGACACTTCAAACGCACAATATCTAACACTAAACACCAGCATCCTTCAACAGTCCACCCTTCCCCGCCCACTACTCACCATAATTGGCACCATCATCCAACCAGTTCCCAGGAGAATGTATCATAATTTAGTTAACTAGTACCATGTAAATGGACTGTAACAATTTATACTTCCACCAGCAGTGTGTGAGAGAATTCCTGTTTCTCTAGCCATGCCAAATAGTTTATCATAACACTTTTTGTTCTCTGCCTGTTTGATGAATGATGAATGGTATATTATATTTTTAATATAGCTTTTCCTCAGTTTCCCATTGTATTGATGGTATTTTTCTCCTTACAGGAACTTTTTATATAGTAAGGAAAATTTGCACTTTCTTTGTGATATAGTTGTTTAAATTTTCCCCCACATTTTCTTCTAGTACTTTCATTATTTCGTGGTTTTTATCAACTCATCTATAATTGATATATGTATCCTATGTATGTAATAGGAATTTTACTTTTGTCCAGATGGTGCCAACTTTATTTTTGTCCAGATGACTAGCCAGTTCCAGTAATGTTTATGGAATAATTGGTATCTTTTCTATAGCAATTTGAACTGTCTTACCATAGTCTCAATTCTTTTATGTATTTCAGTCTATCTTGGGGGCTTGTTCTTCCATTCCATTGCTCTGGTTTTCTGTTCATGTATTTGTGCTACACTGTTTTAAGTATTATAGCTTCAAAATATATTTTTAAATCCGGTTGGGCAAATTCCTTCACTACTCATTCAAAATACTTTCTACTATTTTTGCTCATTTATTTTTCTGTGTAAATTTCAAAGTCATTTTTTCAACATCCAGCTTTCCCCAACCACTATTACCACTAAATTAAAACAACAAAGAAAAAAAAAAAAACTGGCCAGATGTGATGGCTCATGCCTGTAATTCTAGCACTTTAGGGGGCTGAGTCAGGAGGATCACTTGAGGCCAGGAGTTTGAGACCAGCCTGGGCAACATAGTGAGACCCCATCTCCACACATTTTTTTTTAATTAGATGTAGTGGTGGGTGCCTGTAGTCCTAACTACTCTGGAGGCTGTGGTGGGAGGATCACTTGAGCCCAGGAGTTTGAGGTTACAGTGAACTATGATTGTGCCACTGCATTCCATCCTGGGTGACAGAGCATAAGACCCTGTCTCTAAAAAACAACAAAACAGTTTTTTGAACCAAACACATTGTTTGGAGGTATTGTATATGGAAATATCCCCAAGTTAGGCATTGCCTGAGGTTTTTGCCTTGCGGATTTCTTACGTTCTATTTGTTTGGATAGTGTGAGACAAACAATCCAAAAACTATAGGTGGCTTTATAGAACATTCTTTACTAAACACTAAGCTTTAATGCAAAGTAAAAGTTCCGTGTAGGTTTTTAGGACGGATCTGTTAGAATTATATGCCTGCCACAATGTTTTCCTTTGTATTCACATGACCATTGTGTGTAGCCACCAGCTTTGATTCTCTTTTGACAGTCATAATCTATACAATCTAACTTTAGTTAATGGGTTGCTTTTGGCTTTTCCAGTTTGAGTTGCTAACATGCTTCGAAGTCAGAGGGCTTCTGGAGATTAGCGCTCAGAATAACTCTTTTGCTTGTAATATCTTCTTTGGTTTTGTTATTGAAAACGCTTTTCAAATATAGACAATACAAACATAATAAATGGAAGGAAAGGTTCATCTCCTCATGACTCTATATTTCTTAAACAACATTATTATTGACTGGCCTATTGGTTGCCAAAAAGGAAAATCAATTTTATTGGAAGTATTTGCTTGGCCACAGATCTTGGTACTAACTCAGCACAGACAGTCTGATGTTATCAGCTATCTGAAGACTAATTTTTACCATTAGTCTGAAACGAAGCAGTAATTAGAGATATGTCAAAGTCTACTCTGTGTTTTCCTGTCATTTTTTACCCTTCAGTCTATCTCATACATTTTTTTTTATACTGCGGCTTCTATGTTGTGTGACTGTGATGGAATTGAAGCTTGAAATTTTATTTCTAAGAAAGATGCTGTATAGATTTCATTTGTTATCTGACAGTATTATGGATACAGTTTTGTCTCTTCCACTGCTTGGTATTGATTTTTAATTCCACTCTGGAAGTTAGGTTCTTGCCACATTTGGGATTAGGATATGGCTTACGGGCGTGCGCACGCACACACACACACCCTTCTCTGACTTCTTGAGTAACTTTGATTTTTCAAGCCCTGAAGAAAGATTAAAACTACCCCCCAAAGCACATTAAAAGGTATTTGAATGCTGAACATTTATTGGTAGGAGGAGTAGGAGCATCTGTGGTGTATGTGTCAGTACTGTGTACTGGTGTTATGCAGTTTAAAAGAAAAACATTTTGTTTTAAGTGGTACAGAAATGTGTAAAGGCTTTATGACATATAAATTGTATAAGCTTACGGTTTATAGACTAGCCCTGCGCCCTCTCGGTGAATACCTTGTGCCTGTCTGTGTCTTATAAAAGATTTCAAAAACATGAGAAAAGTATAAAGCAATAAATAAAACCATCTGTAATCCCATTACATAGTATGTATCTGTGTGGGGAGGGGTGGGTTGGGTAGGATATAACAAGTATTTAGTGTTTACTATGTGTCAAGAATTTTATGTGCATTGTCTCTTTTAGTCATTGCATCAATGCCATAATGTGCATATATTATGCTCTACATTTTACTGGTGAAGAAGCAGGAGCCTAAAGAAGTTATAGAGCTAGTGAAGGCCAAAGCCTAGATTTGAATATTCTGACTCCAAAGCCCAAGCTCTTAACCTATTCACTGTAAAATTTGTATATATTTCATTTTCATCTTTTTTCTACTTACATGTATATATTTTAAAGCTATTTAGTATAATATTGTACATAAAGTTTTTTCTTCATTATTTAAAATTATTAAGTCTAAAATAAATTCAGTGAGGTAATGTACACAAATCTTAAGGATACAGCACAGTGTGTTTTACATACATACACACACACACACACACACATCTATACACATACACATACCCTTGTGTAACTACCACCTATTTCAAATTAGAACATTCCTGGAACCTCTAGAAAGTTTGTTCCCTAAAGTTACTTCCTGTCAATATGCATCCTTCACTTCCACCCTGAGGTGACTATTATTCTGAACTTCTGTGACCCCTGATTAGTTCTAACTCTTCTTAAAATTCAAATATTTGGAATAATAAAGTATATATACTTTTGGATTAAGCTTATTATGTTCAACATAACATTTGTGAGAGTCATTCATGTTACATGTATCAATTGTTCCCTTATTGCTGTATAACATTTCATTGCGTGTATATACCAGGATTTTATCTGTTCTGTTGATGGACATTTAGGTGTCTTTTTTTTCCTTCAGTGTCTGGCTATTATGAATAAAGGGGCTGTGAGCTTTCTTGAATGTAGACATATACACATATATTTTCATTCCTCTTAGGTGTATACCTAGGAGTAGAATTGCTGGGTCATAGCATAGCTCTATGTTTAACCTTTTGAGGAACTGCTTGTTGTTTTTCAGAGAGGCTGCACCATTTTATATTCTCAGCAGTGATGTATGAGAGTTCTAGTTTCTCCACATCCTTGCCAATACTTGTTATCATCTGTCTTGTTGATTATAGCCACCCTAAGGTATGGGAAGTAGCATCTCACTGTGGTTTTGATTTTCATTTCCTTGATGGTTAATGATATTGAGCATCTTTTCATGTACTCATTGGTCATTTGTATATGTTCATTGTGGAAATTTCTATTCAGATTTTGTGCTTATTTTTAAAATTGTGTTATTTGTCTCTTTATTATTGAGTTATAAGAGTTATATGTTTTGGATACAAGTCTCGTTTCAGATGTGTGATTTGCAGATACTTTCTTCAGTTCATTGAATTGTGTTTTTACTTGCTTGATAGTGTCCTTTAAAACATAAAAGTTTTAAATTTTTATGATCTTATTTATTTTTGTTGTTGTTGTTTGTGGTTTTAAGAAATCATTGTCTAATCAAAGATCATGATGATTAAGCCTTTTTCTTCTAAGAATTTTATAGTGTTATCTCTTACATTGAAGTCTTTGATTATTTTGAGTTAATTGGGTAGAGTGTGAAGTAGGGGTCTAACTTCATTCTTTTACATATGGATATCCAGTTGTTTCACCACCATTATTGAAAAGACTGTTCTTTCCCCCATTAAGTCATTGTAGCACTCTTGTCAAAAATAAATTTGTTTATAAATATGAGGGTTTATTTCTAGATTCTTAATTTTATTCCATTGATCAGTATGTCTTTCCTTATGTTAATACCACACAGTCTTGATTACTATGGCTTTGTAGTTAAGTTTTGAAATTGAGAAGTGTTATTCTTCCGCCTTTTTTCAAAGTTGTTTTGGCTATTCTGGGCCCCGTGAATTTCCATGTGAATTTTAGGATCAGTGTGTTCATTTTTGCTAAAAAGGCAGTGAAGATTTTAATAAGAATTGTGTGAACTCCCATTCACAATTGTTTCAAAGAGAATAAAATACCTAGGAATACAACTTACAAGGGACGTGAAGGACCTCTTCAAGTAGAACTACAAACCACTGCTCGATGAAATAAAAGAGGATACAAACAAATGGAAGAACATTCCATGCTCATGGGTAGGAAGAATCAATATTGTGAAAATGGCCATACTGCCCAAGGTAATTTATAGATTCAATGCCATCCCCATCAAGCTACCAATGACTTTCTTCACAGAATTGGGAAAACCTACTTTAAAGTTCATATGGAACCAAAAAAGAGCCTGCATCTCCAAGTCAATCCTAAGCCAAAAGAACAAAGCTGGAGGCATCACACTACCTGACTTCAAACTATACTACAAGGCTACAGTAACCAAAACAGCATGGCACTGGTACCAAAACAGAGATATAGATCAATGGAACAGAACAGAGCCCTCAGAAATAATGCCGCGTATCTACAACTATCTGATCTTTGACAAACCTGAGAAAAACAAGCAATGGGGAAAGGATTCCCTATTTAATAAATGGTGCTGGGAAAACTGGCTAGCCATATGTAGAAAGCTGAAACTGGATCCCTTCCTTACACCTTCTACAAAAATTAATTCAAGGTGGATTAAAGACTTAAACGTTAGACCTAAAACCATAAAAACCCTAGAAGAAAACCTAGGCATTACCATTCAGGACATAGGCATGGGCAAGAACTTCATGTCTAAAACACCAAAAGCAATGGCAACAAAAGCCAGAATTGACAAATAGGATCTAATTAAACTAAAGAGCTTCTGCACAGCAAAAGAAACTACTATCAGAGTGAACAGGCAACCTACAAAATGGGAGAAAATTTTCGCAACCTACTCATCTGACAAAGGGCTAATATCCAGAATCTACAATGAACTCAAACCAATTTACAAGAAAAAAACAAACAACCCCATCAAAAAGTGGGCAAAGGACATGAACAGACACTTCTCAAAAGAAGTCATTTATGCAGCCAAAAAACACATGAAAAAATGCTCACCATCACTGGCCATCAGAGAAATGCAAATCAAAACCACAATGAGATACCATCTCACACCAGTTAGAATGGCGATCATTAAAAAATCAGGAAACAACAGGTGCTAGAGAGGATGTGGAGAAATAGGAACACTTTTACACTGTTGGTGGGACTTTAAACTAGTTCAACCATTGTGGAAGTCAGTGTGGCAATTCCTCAGGGATCTAGAACTAGAAATACCATTTGACCCAGCCATCCCATTACTGGGTATATACCCAAAGGAGTATAAATCATGCTGCTATAAAGACACATGCACACGTATGTTTATTGCAGCACTATTCACAATAGCAAAGACTTGGAACCAACCCAAATGTCCAACAATGATAGACTGGATTAAGAAAATGTGGCACATATACACCCTGGAATACTATGCAGCCATAAAAAATGATGAATTCATGTTCTTTGTAGGGACATGGATGAAATTGGAAATCATCATTCTCAGTAAACTATCACAAGGACTAAAAACCAAACTCCGCATGTTCTCACTCATAGGTGGGAATTGAACAATGAGAACGCATGGACACAGGAAGGGGACATCACACTCTGGGGCCTGTTGTGGGCGGGGGAGCGGGAAGGGATAACATTAGGAGATATACCTAATGCTAAATGACGAGTCAATGGGTGCAGCACACCAACATGGCACATGTATACATATGAAACTAACCTGCACGTTGTGCACATGTACCCTAAAACTTAAAGTATAATAATAAAAAAAAATTGCATTGAATCTATAGATCAGCTTGGGGAATAGTACCATCTTAAAATATTAAGTCCATGAATACATGATGCCTTCCCATTTATTTAGGTCTTATTTAATTTCTTTCATTTGATGTTTTATAGTTTTCAGTGTACAAGTCTTACACTTCTTTTGTTAAATTTATTACTAAGTATTTTATGTTTTTAATGTTATAAATGAAATTGTTTTCTTCATTTCCTTTTCTGATTGTTCATTTTTAATGTATAGAGATACAATTAATTTTTGGCCAGGCATGATGGGTCACACCTGTAATCCCAGCACTTTGGAAGGCCAAGGCAGGAGGATCACTTGAGGCCAGGAGTTTGAGACTGGCCTGGGCAACATAGTGACTCTGTATTGCTACAAAAATTAAAAAAAAAAAAATTGATCTGTGTTTATTGATCTGTATCCTGCATTCTTTCTGAATGCTTCTATTAGTTCTGACAGTTTGTTAGTGGATTCCTTATAATTTTTATATACAAGATTATATCATTGGCAAATAGAGATAGTTGTATTAGCTGCATAAAACCAGATGGGAAATACTCCTTTATTCTCTGAAAGAGTGCATTTAAGATTAGTATTAACTATTCTTTAATGCTTAGATGAGGGGTCTTCAGTTCCTGATAAGACTTATTTCTGCCTGTTCTTCCTATTCAGTTCAGATTTAAAACCCTGGACATACACAGCAAATAAACATAAGAAGACTAAAGGGTTAGAAGAAGAGAGCTGACTGACTAGGGACCTCAAGAATTGAGAAATGACCCTGTGGTGATTTCTCTGGGTTTTCTTTTTCTTTTTTTTTTTTTTTTTGAGACGGAGTCTCGCTCTGTCACCCA
Source organism: Homo sapiens (assembly GCF_000001405.40). NCBI lineage: Eukaryota > Metazoa > Chordata > Mammalia > Primates > Hominidae > Homo > Homo sapiens. The sequence continues at coordinate 180,388,149 of NC_000001.11, read as the reverse complement.
GGCTGGAGTGCCGTGGCGCGATCTTGGCTCACTGCAAGCTCCGCCTCCTGGGTTCACGCCATTCTCCTGCCTCAGCCTCCCGAGTAGCTGGGACTACAGGTGCCCACCATCACGCCCGGCTAATTTTTTTGTATTTTTAGTAGAGACGGGGTTTCATCATGTTAACCAGGATGGTCTCAATCTCCTGACCTTGTGATCTGCCCGCCTCGGCCTCCCAAAGTGGTGGGATTACAGGTGTGAGCCACCGTGCCCGGCTTCTCTGGGTTTTCTTTTTGTTTCTTTATAAGCTGAAGTGGGCTCTGGAGAAGCCCACAACCCAGAAATACCAATGGGTGCAGATAAGAAAAGCCTGTTATCTCTTGCCAAAGGACAGGAAAAGGGGCAATCTAAAAGAACAGAACTTTTCAACAACAATACCACCCTACCCCAGCCAAATACATGGAGGAAGAATATGCCACCCCCTTGCTTGGAGGCTGAAAGGGAAGCCTACACATCCTCTGGCTGGTGGTAGCAAGCAGTGCTTCTCTTCCCCATCAAGGTGTTATCAACAGATGCTGAATGAGTACCCTGAGCTTTCAGTTCCTGCCCAGTGGTAGCAGGGAGTGATTTCCTTTCCTCACCAGGGTGGTGCCAGAAGAGGCCAAATGGGAAGCCTAGACTTTCATCTCCTGCCCAGAGGTAGCAGATGATACTCCCCTTCTGTCGTAAGTGTGGTGTCAGTGGAGACCAAGTGGTAAGCTTGGATATCCATCACCTCCCACCCTGGAATTAAAAGCAATAATAAGGTAGTACTTCTCCCCTTCCCAAATAGGGAGTGATGGTGTGGGGGAGAATTTTAGAGAGGAGGGAGCTGGAGAAAGCAATGCTTTAAACTTGTATGTAGAGTCCTGGAAAGAACCCAGAGTGACTCGTACATTATACTGACCAAAATTAACATGACAGAAGGGTTGAGAACTGAACTACAGTGTGGAATAGTGCCTACATTTTCACATTGACCTCTAAGTAGCACACAAGCAAGGCAGACCCAAATAGTACTGTAAGGGCTCTGAAAATGAAATTATTATTGGAACTACAACTCCTAAAAGTAGATCAGGAGCTGCACAAGAAACCCAAATAGAGAAACTGCCTGCTAAACTAGAAGATTTAAATAGAATACAGATACGCATACTCAAAACTGAAAATTACTCATCATACCAAGAACCTGGGAAATCACAACTCGAATGGTAAAAGGAGGTCAATATACGCCAAACAGTGAGATGGTGAAATTATCTGACAAAGATTTTAGAGCAGTCATCATAAAAATGTTTCAATGAGTAGTTACAAACATTCTTGAAACAAGTGGAAAAAACAGAAAATCTCAGCAAAGGAATAAGAGATCTAAAAAGGAACTAAATAGAAATTATAGAATTGCAAATATAATAGCTGAAATAAAAATTCACTGGATGCACTCAATACTAGATGGAAATGATAAAAAGATCAGTGAACTTAAAGCAATAGAAAGTATATAATTTGAATAACAGAGAGAAGTAGATGGAAAAGAAATTAACAGAGGCTCCAGGACTGTGGGACAATTGTAAAAGATCTAACTTTTTTTGTCATCAGAGTGCTAGAAGGAGAGGAGAAAGAGTGTGGAACTACAAGAAATATTCGAAGAGTTACTGGCTGAAAACTTCCCAAATTTGATAAAAGGCATAAACCTATAGATTTGAGAAGCTGAGAGAACCATAGACAGATATACCTGACAAAATCCACAGCAAGACACATTAAAATCAAGCTTTGGAAAATTAATGAGAAAAAAACAACAACAACATTGAAAGCAGTTAGAAGGAAAAAGTACACTGCAGATGCTCCTCAACTTATGATGGGCTTACATCCTGATAAACCCATCATAAGTTGAAAATATCATAAGTTGAAAATACACTTAATACACCTAACTTATCTCATAGCTTAACTACTGAATGCGGTTTTTGTTTGTTTTTTGAGACAGTGTCTAGCTCTGTCGCCCAGGCTGGAGTGCAGTGGTGCAATCTTGGCTCACTGCAACCTCTGCCACTTGGGTTCAAGCTATTCTCCAACCTCAGCCTCTAGAGTAGCTGGGGCTACAGGTACGCACCACCATGCCTGGCTAATTTTTGTATTTTTAGTAGAGACAGGGTTTCACCATGTTGGCCAGGCTGGCCTCAAACTTCTGACCTCAAGTGGTCCACCCGCCTCGGCCTCCCAAAGTGCTGGGATTACAGGTGTGAGCCATTGCGCCCAGCCTTTTCTATCCTTTTACTTGTACCCTATGTGTATGTGTTAGTCTACTTGGTCCGCTGTAACAAAATACACAGACTGAATAGCATAAACAACAGACATTTATTCCCACAGTTCTGGAGGTTCTAAATCAAAGATAAAGGCGCCAACAGGGTTGATTTCTGGTGAGGCCTCTCAACTTGGCTTGTAGATAGCCACCATCTTGCTGGGTCCTCACGGGCCTTTCCTCTGTGCTCATATATGGAGAGATCTCTAGTGTCTCTCTCTCTTCTTGTAAGGGAACCAGCCCTATCACGTTAAGGCCCCACCTTTATAACCTAATTTGACCTTAATTAGCTCTTTAAAGGCCCTATTTCTAAATATAGTCATATTGAGTGTTAGGGCTTCAACATAGGAATTGGGTGTGGGGGAGCACAATTTAGTCCATAACACTGTATCTTTATATTTAAGGCATGTCTCTTATAAACAGTGTGTAGTTGGGTTTTGGTCTTTATCTAGTATGATAATCTTTGTCTTTTAATTGCAGTGTTTAATTCATTTACATTTAATGTAATTACTGGTATGGTTGTGTTTAAGTCTACCAGCTTGCTATTTGTTTTCTGTTTGTCCCATCTGCTCTGTTTCTCTATTTTTTTCTTTCCTGACTTCTTTTGTGTTTATAAGTATTTTGTTGCATGTATAGAATGTGTAATGATCAAGTCAGGGTATTTGGGGTATCCATAACCTGGAGAACATTTCAGGTTCTCTCTTCTAACTGCCTTGAAATATACAATGCGTTGTTGCTAACTGTAGTAAAAGCCCTACTCTGCTATGAAACATTATACCTTCTATCTAACTGTATGTTTATACCTATTGATCAAACTCTTTTCATCACTACCTCCCACCAGCACACTTTTTCCAGCCTCTGGTATCAGTCCTTCTACCCACTACCTTCATGAGATCAACTTTTTTAGCTCCTACATATGAATGAGAACATGTAAAATTCGTCTTTCTGTGTCTGGCTTATTTCACTTGACATAAGGGCCTCCAGTTCTATCCACATTGCTGCAAATGTCATGATTTCATTCTTCTTCATAGCTGACTAGTATTCCATTGTGTATGCATACCACATTTTCTTTATCCATTCATCTGTAGATGGACACTTCAGTTGATTCCATATCTTTGGTATTGTGAATAGTGCTACAGTGAACATCAAAGTGCAGGTGTACCTTTGATACACTTATTTCTTTTCCTTTAGATAAATACCCAGTAGTGCGATTGCTGAAGTGTATGTTAGTTCTGTTTTTAGTTTTTTATGAAATCTTCATACTGTTGCCCCATAGTGGCTGTACTAATTTACATTCTCACTAACCATGTATAAGAGTTTTTCTCTGCATCCTTGCCAGCATCTGTTAATTTTTAATCTTTTAATAATAACCATTCTAACTGGGATAAGATGGTATCTCGTGGTCTTGATTTACATTTCCCTGATGATTAGTGATGTTAAGCATTTCTTTCATGTAGCTGTTAGCTATTTGTTTGTCTACTTTTGAGAAATGTCTATTCACATCCTTTACTCATTTTTTAATAGGATTATTATTTTTTTAACTATTGAATGGTTTGAGTTTCTTGTATATTCTGGATATTAGTCCCTTGTCAGATAATTTGCAGATATTTCTTCACATTCTATAGGTTGACTCTTTACTCTTTTGATTGTTTGCTGTGCAGAAGCTTTGTAGTTTAATATAGTCTCATTTAGCTATTTTTGTTTTTTTTTTTTAATCTCTGCTTTCAAAGTCTTAGCCATAAAACCATTGTCTAGACCAAGTTCCCTATGTTTTCATCTAGTAGTTTTATAGTTGCAGGCCTTGTATTTAGGTATTTGATTCATCTTGAGTTGATTTTTATATATGGTGAGAGATGGGGATCCAGTTTATTCCCTTGCATATGGATATCCAGTTTTTCCAGCACCATTTATTGAAAAGGATGGCCTTCCCTCAATGTATATTCTTGGCATCTTTGTTGAGTATCAGTTGACTCTAAATACCTAGATTTACTTCTGGATTCCCTATTCTGTTCCACTGGTCTGTGTGTCTGTTTTTATACCAATACCATGCTTTCTTGGTTACTATAGCATTATAATATATTTTGAAGTCAGACAGTGTGATGCCTCCAGCTTTGTTCTTTTTGCTCAGGATTGCTTTAGCTATTTGGGCTCTTTTCTGGTTCCATACACATTTTACAATTATTTTTTCTATTTCTGTGAAAAATGACGTCAATATTTTGATAGGGGTTGCATTGAATCTGTAGATTACTTTGGGCAGTGTGGTCATTTAAACAGTATTCTTCTAACTCATGAGCATGGCATGTCTTTCTATTTTTTTGTGAATTTCTTTTGTCAGTTTTGTAGTTTTCCTTATAGAGATCTTTCACCTCCTTGGTTAAATTTATTCCCAGGTATTTTTTTTATAGCTATTGTAAATGGGATTGCCTTCTTGATTTCTTTCTCAGCTAGTTCATTATTGGGGTACGGAAACCCTACTGATTTTTTATATGTTGATTTTGTATTCAACTCGACTGAATTTGTTTATTAGATCTAAGAGATTTTTGGTGGAGCCTATAGGTTTTTCTAGATATAAGATCATATCATTGTCAAAGAAGGACAGTTTGACTTCAAGTTTTCCTGTTTGGATGGTTTTTCTTTCTTTCTCTTTCCTAATTGCTCTCACTAACACTTCCAGTACTGTGTTGAATAGGAGTGGTGAAAGTGGGCATTCTTGGCTTGTGCCAGTTCTTGGGGGAAAGGTTTTCCGATTTTTCCCCATTTGGTACGATGTTAGCTGTGCGTTTGTCATATAGCTTTTATATGTTGAGGTATGTTCCATCTATGCCTAGTTTGTTGAGTGTTTTTTGAAGAGATGTTGAATTCTATCAAATGCTTTTTCTGTGTCTGTTGAGATGGTCGTATGGTTTTTGTCCTTCATTTTATTGATGTGATGTATCACATTTATTAATTTGTGTATGTTGGACCATCCTTACATCCCTGGGATAAGTCCCATTTGATCATGATGTATTCTGTACTGTTGGATTTGGTTTGCTAGTATTTTGTTGAGAATTTTTACATTTATGTTCATCAGGGATATTGGCCTGTAGTTTTCTTTTTTTGTTGAGCCCTTATCTGATTTTGATAACAGGTAATGCTGGCCTTGTAGAATGAATTAGGGGGAATGCCTTCCTCTTTAAGTTTTTTTTAAAGAATGGTTTGAGAACTGGTGTTAGTTCTTCTTTGAAAGTTTGGTAGAATTCAGCAGTGAAGCCATCCAGTCCTGGACTTTTCTTTGTTGAGAGACTTTTTATCACTGATTCAATCTCATTACTCACTGTTGGTCTATTCAGGTTTTATTTTTCTTCCAGATTCAATCTTGGCAGTTTGTGTTGTCCAGGAAGTTACCCATTTTCTCTAGGTTTTCTAGTTTTTTTATTGTGTAATTGTTCATAATTGTCTCTGTTGATCCTTTGTATTTCTATGGTATCAGTTTCAATGTCTCCTTTTCGTTTCTGATTTTGTTTATTTGGGTCTTCTCTCTTTTTTTCTTGGTTAGTCTAGCAATTGGTTTATTAACTTCTGTTTATCTTTTCAGAAAACCAACTTTTCATTTTGTTGATTCTTTGGTTTTGGGTTTTTTGTTTGTTTGTTTTTTAGTCTCTTGTTTAGTTTTGCTGTGATTTATTATTTCTTATACTAAGTTGGGGTTTGGTTTGTTCTTGTTTCTCCTTTTCTTTTCTTTTTTTTTTTTTTTGAGATGCAGTCTTGTTCTGTCACCCAGGCTGGAGTGCAGTGGTGCAATCTTGGCTCACTGCAACCTCTGCCTCTTGGGTTCAAGCTATTTTCCTGCCTCAGCCTCAGCCTCCCTGGTAGCTGGGATTACAGGCATGCACCACCACGCCCAGCTAATTTTTGTATTTTTTAGTAGAGATGGGGTTTCACCATGTTGGCCAGGCTGGTCTCAAACTCCTGACCTCAGGTGATCTGCCCACCTCGGCCTCCCAAAGTGCTGGGATTACAGGCCTGAGCCACTGCACCTGGGTGTTCTTGTTTTTCTAGTTCCTTGAGGTGACTTGTTAGATTGTTCATTTGAAATATTTCTACTTTTTTGATGAAGGTTTATATTGCTATAAACTTCCTTCTTAACACTGTTTTTACTGTATCCCATAGGTTTTGGTACCTTGTGTTTTGATTTTCATTTGGTTCAATAAATTTTTTTTATTTCCTCCTTAATTTTTCTCTTGACCCAATGGTGATTCAGGAGCATGTTGTCTAATTTCCATGTATTTATACAGTTTCCAAAGTTCCTGTTGTTATTGATTTCTAGTTTTATTCCATTGTGGATTGAGAAGATACTTGATATGATTTCAGTTTTTTAAAATTTGTTGAGACTTGTTTTGTGACCTAATGTATGGTCTGTCCTGGAGAATTTTCTGCATGCTGATGAGAAGAATGTGTATTTTGTAGCTGTTGGACAAAACGTTCTGTAAATATCTCTTAAGTCCTTTTGGTCTAATGTGCAGTTTAAATCCAGTATTTCTTTGTTGACTTTCTGTCTAGATGATTTCTGTCTGGTGGCGAAAATGGTGTATTAAAGTCCCCAATTGTTATTGTATTGGAGTCTATCCCGCCCTTTAAATCTAATAATATTTGCTTGATATAATATCTGGGTGCTGCGATGTTGGGTGTATGTTTACAATTGTAACCTCTTTCTAAATTAATCCTTTATTATTATATAATGACCTTCATTGTCTCTTTTTACTGGTTTTGACTTAAAGTTCATTTTGTCTGATAAAAGTATAGCTACTCCTGCTTGCTTTTGGTTTCTGTTTGCATGGAATATCTTTTTCATCCTCTCATATTCAGGCTGTATGTGTCTTTACAGGTGAGATGAGTTTCTCGTAGGCAGTATATAGTTGAGTCATTTTTAAAAGCCATTCAGCCACTGTGTGTCTTTAAAGTGGAAAATTTAATTTACTCACATTTAAGGTTATTATTGATATATGAGAGCTTATTCCTACCATTTTATTGCTTGATTTCTGGTTGTTTTGTATATCCTTTGTTCCTTTATTTCTCTCTTATTTTTTATCATTGTAGTTTAGTGGTATTCTGTAGTGGTAACATTTGAGGTTTTTCTCTTTCTTGATTTGTGTGTTTGCTCCACCAGTGGTTTTTATATTTTCACGTGTCTTCATGATGGTAGTTATTGTTGTTTCACTTCTGGGTGTAGGACTCCCTTAACCATTTTTTTTTTAACTTTTAAAAACCTATACAGCATGTTATTATACTGAGTATCCCTTAAGCATGTCTTGTAGGACCAGTCTAGGGCGATGAATTCCCTCAGCTTTTGCTTGTCTGGGAACAACTTTATTTCTTTTTCATTTCCAAAGGATAATTGTGCTGGGTATAATATCCTTGGGCAATTTTTTTCCTTCAGGACTTTGAATATATCATCCAATTCTCTCCTGGCCTGTAAGGTTTCTACTGAGAAATTTGTTGTTATTCTGATGGGGGTTCCTGTATAGGTGATTAGATGCTTTTCTCTCTCTGGTTTTAGAATTTTGTCTTTGATTGTTCTTTGTTTGTTTGTTTTGTTTTGTTTTTGTTTTTGTTTGTTTTTGCCACATGATCTCACTGTGTCACCCAGTAGCATGATAATGGCTCACTGCAGCCATGATTTCCCGGGCTCAAGCAATCTTCTTGCCTCAGCCTCCCAAGTAGCTGGGACTGCAGATGAGGGTCACCATGCTCAACTGACTTGTTTATTTTTTGTAGAAATGGAGTTTCACCATATTGCCCGGGCTGGTCTCGAACTACTGGGTTCAAGTGATCCTCCTACCTCACCTCTCAAAGTGCTGGAATTGTAGGCATGAGCCACTATGCTTGGCCTGTCTTTGACTTTTGACAGTTTGACTATAATGTGGTGTGGAGAAAACATTTTTACATTGTTTCTATTTGGGGATCTTTGAGCTTCCTATATCTGGATGTCTAAATTTCTTGCTAGACTTGGGAAATTTTCACTTATTATTATAGTTTTTCTAACCTTTTGTTTTCTCTTTGCCTTCTGGGGTTCCAATACTTTGCCTATTTGGTCATTTTATGGTGGCCCATATGTCACAAAGGTTTTACTCATTGTTTTTTTGTTCTCTTTTCTTTATGTTTGTTTGGCTGAGGTATCTGCGAAGACCTGTCTTCAAGTTCTGAGATTTTTTTTCTTCTGTTTGATCTATTCTGTTGTTGAAGCTTTTGAATATATTTTGTATTTTATTCAATGAATTCTTCAGTTTCAGAATTTCTGTTTAGTTCTTTTTTATTATATCTACCTCTGACAAATTTCTCATTCATATCCTGAATTGTTTTTCTGATTTCTGTGTGTTGTTTTTCAGAATTCCCTTGTATTTCACTGAGCTTATTTAGTATCAATTTTTTGAATTCTTTTTCAGGAATTTCATGAGTTTCTTTATGATTGGGATATGTTGCTGGAGAATTATTATGTTCCTTTGGAAGTATCATATTCCTTTGCTTTTTCATGTTTCTTAGGTCCTTACATTGATACCTGCAATCTGTTGTGACAGTCACTTCTTCCAGTTTTTGAATTTGCTTTTGTAGGAGAGAACTTTTTCCTACAGATATATCTATGGTGTTGGGTAGGTAGGGCACTTTGGTTTTCATTCTGGTAGTGTAATTTCTGGATGATTTCTTCAACTGTAAATAGCATCAGTGTTACCTGTGATTTCCTTGGTGGCTTAGCATACAGTTGTTAGTGAAGTTTTTCTGGGGACTGGGATGCCAAGTGGGCCAGTCTTTAGACCCCAGGGTGGTGTACCCTGGCATTGGTATTAGCAGGTCCAGGCAGGCTGACTTGTAGGCTTCCAGGTAACTTACTTGGGTGCCAAAAATGGCAGTGGTGGGTCAGTCAAGTGGGTGTGTTCTCGAGCCCCTAGGTAATGAGTGTGACATGGGCAGTGGCAGTAGCAGTGGTGGGACAACCCTCTGGGACCCAAGCAGAGGGTCCCCACTGGTGGTGGTGGTGGCTGTGATGGGTGGAGTGGGCCAGTGCCCAAATCTGCAGGTAGCACATGCTGGGGGGTGCCATCTATGGTGGCAGTGGTGGGCTGGGTGGGCCCAACCTCAAACCCCAGCAGGGAGTGCTCAGGTGCCACTTGTAGTGGGCTGGGCTGGGGACATTCCCTAGGCCTCTGGAGCTATTTCCTGCTTTCTGTCTTGAATCCAACATTAACAGTTTACACTGGAATTTTTTTCATTTTTTATTTGGAAATAATTTTAGACTCTACAGAAAAGTTGCAAAAGCAGTGCAGAGTTCCTGTATACTACTCATCTAGCTTTCCCTAATAATTAACTTCTTGTATAACCATAATATAACTGTCAAAATTAGGACATTAACATTGGTATGATACTATTGTTTAAATTACAGACCTTATTTGAATTTCAACAGTTTTTCTACTAATATCAAGAATGTTTTCTGTTCCAAGATCCTATCCAGTATTGTAATTTGGATTTAGTTATTCAGTTCCTTAGTCGTTCCTTATACTTTAATTATCCTTATGCTTTTGAAGATAACTAATTAGTTTGTAGAATGTTCCTCACTTGGGTTTGTCTGATGTTTTCTCTTGATTGGAATTAGGTTATGCATTTTTGGCAAGAATATCACAGAAGTGATATGCCCTTCTTAGTGCATCATATTAAGGGATTCATAATATTATGTCTGATTACTGGAGATGTTAACCTTGATCACTTCGTTATGATAGTGTCTGCCTGATTTCTTTACTGTAAAGTTGCTGTCTTTTCTTTGTAGTTAATAAATATGGGGTGGAGTGAGATACTTGAACACTATGCAAATCCTGTTTCTCCTCAAACTTATGGCTATTATTATTATTATTATTATTATTATTATTATTTTGAGACAGAGTTTTGTTCTTGTCGCCCAGGCTGGAGTGCAGTGGAGCAATCACGGCCCACTGCAACCTCCGCCTCCCGGGTTCAAGCGAATCTCCTGCCTTGGCCTCCCGAGTAGCTGGGGTTACAGGCATGTGCCACCATGACCAGCTAATTTTGCATTTTTAGTAGAGACGGGGTTTCTCCATGTTGGTCAGGCTGGTCTCAAACTCCCGACCTCAGGTGATCCACCCACCTTGGCCTCCCAGAGTGCTGGGATAACAGGCATGAGCCACCATGCCTGGCCTATGCCCATTAATTTTAGCGTCCATCAATGAGTTGTGTCTCCAACAGTTGTTATTGTGGTATTTGCCTAATGGTGATTTTCTGTTTTCCTCTTTTCTTTTACATTTACTAATTGGAACCCTCTATAAGGAAGAACTGGCTATTTCCCCCGATTCTAGGTTCATCTTATATTTTCCCTACTCTAGTCCTGGCACCAACCATTTCTCCAAGGATCACTGGTTCCCTTTATTAGAAAATGTGTTTAAAAACTAAGAGCTGGACACTAGATGTGCTCAATCCTTTTGGAACAGTATTGTTTCTTGGTTCTCTTAATGGCCAGAGCTACAAAATATATGTATATGTAGAAAATGTATGTATGTATACTAATCCATGCAAGTACACATACTCTATTTCTGTATCTCTGTATCTGTATTTGTATAGAATATCGTGTGTTTACACTGATACTTTGATTATAATCAAAAATTACAGGGTTTAGTTTAGCCTTTCCTTATTTATAACTTTTTCTCACAGAAACTCAGCTCTTATTATTTGCAGTGTTTTTTTTTCTGTTCAACTCTAGTATATACGCATAAAGGAGTTTCAGAATTGTTAACTCATACCTCTGTGTGAAACATTTACTAACTATGTTAAAACATTTATGTATATTTCATTTTGCCATTAGCCTTACGGTTTCCACTCAACATACTGTTTTCCAAAGTTACTTATGTTTGTTTCTTCCCCACTCCCTTCAGTATAGTTATGTTATTCAGGTCAGGTTCATTTGTGGGTGTTTGTATGCGATTTTAGATTCACTTCAAATACATGGTTGGCTTTAATGTTTTGTTTATTTGGGGGGTATCTGAAACATTACTATAGATATGAGCATCAGAGGCGTATAAATAGATGTACACAGAGATTGTTATTTTTCCCCCGTTCCTGCTACCTGAGTGCCATCTCTGTCTTTTCAGTCCTTTTTCACCCACTCCCTACAGGTAACCAGTCTCCTTTGTTTCTGATTTATCTTTTCTATATTTATTTTGCACTAGTGAGAGAGTATGTGCACATTTTCATATCCCATTTTTTTTACATGAAAGGTAACATACTAAAGATACTCTTTTGCTCATCACTTTTTCACCTAACAGTGTATCCTAGAGTTACTCCATATCACTTCATGAAGATTTTTATTTACAGCTGCATAGTACTCCCTTATGTGGATGTACCATAGTTTATTGAAACACTCTCCTATTCTGTGGGCATTTAGGTAATGTCTAACGCTTTGCAATTACAAACAGTGCTGCAACTAATAACCTTGTACATATGTATTTTCATGTTGTTGGAGGTGTACCTTCAGGATAGATTCCTGTAAGTGGAATTACTGGGTGAAAAGGTAGGTGCATATGTAGTATTTTGTTAGATGTTGCCAAATTTCCCTCTAGAAGGGTTTACTAATTTATATTCCCACTACCAGTTCATAAGAGAGCCTGTTTCCTTATAGCTTTTTCAATAGATTGTGCTCTCTCACATTTTAGAATTTTTGCCCTGATAGAGAAATGGCATCTCAGTGTTGTTTTAGTTTTCATTTCTCTAATTATGAGTGAGTTCTTATTTTTATGTATTTCAGGGCTATTTTTATATCCTGGTTTTGGTGAACTATCTGTTCACATTTTTCCCCATTTTTCTATCAGGTTTTTGGCCTTTTGTGACTCAGTTTTTTCAGAGTTCTTTATATACCATGGATATTAACCCTTTGTGGTATATGTTGTAGATATTTTCGCCCATTTTTGTTTCATTTGTCTGTTGATTTTGTTTATGGTATCTTTCATCATGCAAGAACTTTTTATTTTTATATAATCAAATTTATTAGTCATTTTATTGCCTCTGGATTTTAAGTCATAATTAAAAGCCTTTTCAAGAGAGATTCCATATTTTCTTCTAGTACTCGTATGGTTTCATAGTTTACACTTAGATTCTGAAATGTATGATTGGAGATGTGGATCTAATTTTGTCTTCTTCCAAGTGGCTTACCTGTTGTCCTGGCACCATTTATTTAAAAGTCTATTCCAGCTGGGCACAGTGGCTCACGCCTATAATTCCAGCACTTTGGGAGGTCAAGGCAGGATGATCCCTTGAGCCTAGGAGCTCAAGAACAGCCTGCACAACAAAGCAAGACCCCATCTCTACAGATAACAAAAAAATTAGCCAGGCATGGTGGTGTGCACCTCTCGTCCCAGCTACTCATGAGGCTGAAGCAGGAGGATCACCTGAGCCCAGGAGATCGAGACTGCAGTTAGCTGTCATTGTGCCACTGCACTCCAGCCTGGGTGACAGAGACCTTGTCTCAAAAAAAAACAGTCTGTTCCCTCATGATTTGAGATGCCACCTTTGTCTTATATTGTATTTCCTTATGTTTGGGGTTTAATTTTGGACTTCATAACCTCTTCCACTGCTTCTTTTGTGCATGTACATTATTTTAATTAAAAGGCTTTATAATAGGTATTAATGTCTAGAATAGGTATTTCTCTTTCATAGTTTTTCTTTTTAAGTGTTTTCCTGGTTATTGCACTCTTTGAAATATGAAGTTTCATAATAGTTTATGTAACTCCATAAAATAGCTTATTGGTATTTTTATTGGGATTGCATTGAATTTATAAGTTAGGGAAAACTGACATCTTTATAATATTGAGTCACCAATACAAGAATATAGGGTGTCTTTCCATTTGATCTAGTCTAATTTGCATCTTTCAGGAGTTTTACATTTTTTTCTCATATAGGTTTTACACATTTCTTATTAAATTCTTAAATGTTTAATATTTTTGCTATAAAATGTTTACTGTTTTTAAGTTTTTCATATGTTTGAGGTTTTTAGATCTCTAATTTCTATACTTCAATATAATTCTTACACCATTTATATGATGTTAAGTCATTGTCTATATTTCAAATATTTTATCTGTAAGTGAAGGTGTAAATATGTTTCCTGTTTTCCGTCACATAGTGTCTTTGTGATTTTAATTCAAGAGTCTTTTGAAAAGTCTGGGCTAATGTGTTAAGTCACCTGTTGATTTTCTAAAGAATTACTTTAATTCCACTTAAGAATAGGCAGGTCAGGTGTGAAAACAGAAGCTCTTTACCAAAAACACAATACATTTTGTCAGTTGATCTTCTTTTTCTGCTGAGTGGATAATTGTGAAAACACTCTTAGCCTTCAAATTATTTTCTTAATCCTTGATTCTCTCACACATTGTAAACAGTCTCTCCATATCAGTTTTACTTCCTTCCTAGATTACTACTATGTTTCAGGTACTGAGGAAGAAATGTTTACTAGCACTTGAGTGTAGCACCTTTCCATAGTAAAATACTAAACTCTTCTCTAAAATGAGTGAAAGTTTTACATACTCTGCAGCGAGTGTGCATGTGAGTGTAAGGGGGGAGAGGGGCATGTGGAGATTAAATCCAGTTGCTGTACTTAAAAAATATGTAATGGTTTATTTTTCATTATGGGAATCACTTTCATGCATGCCAGTTTCTTTTCTACAAAATTATTTGATGAGAAAACTTCCATTTTTAGTGGTTTGATAAAACACTGATTTATTATGTTGTGGCATATCTTTTTGCACTAAGGATGTGCCTTCCAAATATACTTGTAATTCTTGCCAATTTAAGGGCAGAGTTTATGTGTTAATTTTGCATTGCTTTTAATATTGAAATCACTACCTGGGCATTCTAATTAAATATTTTCTTTATGTTACCTGGAGCCAATCAAAAATTAGAATTTCAATAAATAAATAAGTAAAAGGGTTTTTACTACATCAAAAATATCAATTGATAATGTATATGGCTTTAGGATTTTCTTTACACTTTCTAAAAATTTTATAATTTCATTATCAAATACCAAAAACTATGTCCCAGAATGCAAAGATTCTTAAATAATATTCTTTACATTTTTAAATTACTTTTTTTAATGTCTGGAGGTTAAATAATAAATGTCTGGAGGTTAAATAATAAAATTAGGACCATATAGTATATTTAGCAATTTCTGATCCCACTAGTCATTGTTAGTATCAACATGATTTAGAATTCCCACTGGCCAGTATGTAATCTGGTCCCAATGGATTATGGGTTAAACATAAATGTGTTTTACACATTCTTGTTCTTTGTAAGCTTGGATATTGCTCTTGCAGTGACATTCTATTTGTCTGCATTTTATGCATTAGCCAGCTATAGGAAAAGTGCATTTAGGTAAAGGCTAGTACTCTTTTCCCTAGATGATGATATGTTTTTTTCTTGATGCTCTTAGATTATTGAATGTTTTAAGTTACATTTTTGCAAATGACTGCTTTGATGAGTTACTCTCTAATGAAACTCTGAAATAGCAGCAAAGTGCTAAAATGGCAAGTACTTTGATTTTTGTATTCAAAGAACATGTTTGGAAAGCTGAAATTAGGAGAAATTTCAGTGAATGAAAAGAAATAAAAAATAAATGAGGTAATCAAAGTCAGAGAAATTGATATTGGCAGGTTCTGAATGATGTTTCTAGATGAGCAATATTTCAAAATACTTCTTGTACATTGCTGCTATTCCTTTATTTATTATTAAAATAACATGATCCATGAGGAGCTCGGGGTGACTCTCGGCCTAGCTAATTCTAATTAATCCAGTCAGGGAGAGCAGTAGGGTAAGTGGAGCAGTCTATCGGATTGAAATTCATAACTTAATTGAGGTCAAAGTCCCGGTCTGGGAGAACAAAAGTCTTTTGCTAGGACCAGGCAGATCAATAGCAATAAATATCTGGCTTGGATACAAGTAGCTTATAGTGACAGATTATCTGACACTGGCCAGAGGTCTTGGTTCTGTTAAGGGCAAAGTCTTGAGCATGCCATGGTTCTTGCTGATGTTCAGTCTGTACCCATGACACTTGGAAAGAAGTAAGTGATACTCTCAAGAACACTGGAAAATCTTATGGAAGCACTATGTATGAAATTCCAAGTGACTTCTACTTGTTATCAAATGAACATTCTCTAAGGATGCATTTTTTACATGACAGAGGAGCTTCTCTCACATTGCCGGTAAAATCCAAAGGATTTGCGACGTTGATTAATCTTGAGAACTAACTTTCCCACTAATAATTCAAAAATAATGTATAGAATTGCTTTATGGGAGAAAAATAACAGGCCTATATTATCATGATTTATATGTAACCATAAAAGTTAAGAGGACCATGTAACATTAATTTCATGGAATTAGCATTAAGTCTTTTAGGTGTAACAATGGTATTGTGGTTACATAGGAATATGTTTTTGTTTTTAGGTGCATACTGATATATTTAGAGACAAGATGTCATGATGTCTGTAACTTATTTAATCTACTTCAGCAAAGATAAATAGGACAGAAAGTTAATTGTTGAATCTGTGTAATAGGTGTCTACTTTTCTGTATATATAAATATTTATATAATAAAAAGTAACAACAAAAGAACCATGTGTATTAAAACCATTAGGCTAGTATGTTACTAGGAAAGGTTTCCCTCTGTCCCATTCTGTTCATAACCTTAAATTCCTATTGAGTTATCAAAATCTTGGTTGTTCTTTTATGTGGTATATTGTTGTTTATCCATCATCATCACCATCGTAACTTAATTAGTATAACACTTTGGTATTCTGTTTATCATTTGATAACATTATTGCCACTCAGGTTCAACTACCACGTGACTGTGGGGAAAGGAATTCTTGTGATCTGCAGTTGTTGACCTTGTAAGGTGTGAAGAGCTTCGTAGTAAATATTCCACTCCTGTTGATACTTCACTAGTCCAAACTATCATTTCTTCATGTGTGAATTATTGTGGCAACTTCTTATGTGACTTTTTTTAATCCTAAATAATTGTGACAGATTAGTCTTCCATAAACTTCATTGTCTAGATTCCACTTCATATCTAAATGATTCTGTGATCAAAAACCTCTAGTGGTTTTCTTCTCTATGAATCATTTCTCAATTTTTATGATTAACTCTCAAGGCCCTACCTCTTATGACCAAACATTTTTATCCAGTGTTCCTCACTTTGGTGAAATTGGTGAGCTTACTTTGTATATCTCAGAAGTTCTGAAACCTGGATCACCAAGAGTCGACTATAGATCTTTTAAAAAAGTAGGCCCCAACTCCAGAAATTAGGACTCAGAGGGTAGGTTAGGAGAGAGCTGTCGGGAAGATGAGAATTTCAAAATTATAAAATATCCACATCTAATTTTGTGGTATCAGGTTTGTAATTCTAAACTCTGTATCTACCTGCCAGACCTTCAGTGCTTCCTATCTCAAGTAGGAGTTAGGAGAAAAACAATCAGGTTAAACTGATTCATTCGTGTGATGAATCACTAACAACTGTCTAGAATTCCCATATACAGTTGTATTTTTAAAGAAAAGATGCAAATTTAGATATAATCCTATTGGCTGAGCACTTGTTATTTGTAAAATAATTGTACAAAATATATATATATATTTGATCTCTTTTTTCCTTATAATCATCTGTGAAATGTTTTTTTCTTTATAAAATAACCCAAAGTCACAGAGCTACTATACAGTCAAGATTCAAATCCAAGTTTTCCAATACCAAATGATCTATGATAAATTTTCAGTTTATCAATTTTCAGTTAGTTTGTCAAAATAAAGTGAAAAAAATTAAGGCATTTTAGAGAACATTTTTTAAACAGAACTAATAAACAAGGCAGTCCAACATCAGATTGTTTTTCAGCATGTTTTCTTTTTAAACAGTTTCTGCCCTTTATTTGTCTTGGAACCCACATGTTTTCCATAAGTTTGCATACACATTAAAATAATAATAAAACAACTCCTCTCTGATGGCAAATTGGAGAACATAGGTGGAGTTTTTTAATGGGTCATTTGGAAGCCAAATGAAGTCAGAGACTACATTTGTATACCTGAGTTTGAGAAAGCATAGTAGAAAATGTATAACTAAGTAATTTAAAATTTAGACAAGCAACCTCTGCTCTCAGAAACACACACACACGATAGTTCCATAATACAGAACTGTTGGAGAATGATATATGTGAATACACTTTATATGTATATAATACTTGTGTAAATGTATATTTGTACAAAAATATAAAATCTATATTTAACTAATGTTACTGTATTATATTTACTTCATTGTCCACTTTGTGTTGTCTTTCCAGTGGATTGTAAGTTCTTTGAATGCAGGGACCATGTTTTCTGTTTCTTCAATATTCCTAGTGGTCTCTTGTGTAATGTTTGACATACAGTATTATAAAATATGCAAAATGATTGTTCCTTTATAGATAGATACTCCCTCAGCCTAAAACACATGTACATGTGCATATGCACACACACAAACACACAGTTCTTTTCCCCATACCCTCTTTACTAAAGTTATCACCTTTCTGAGGAAGACCCTGACCTAACCTCACTCCCTTTCCTCTAACTACAACCTCCCTTTAAACCCCCCTCTTTTGTGCTTCTGTGATATCCTTTGTTTAATCTGTCTTGTAATTTATCATTCTTTATTACAGTTGTCTCCATCTATTAGACTCCAGGGTCCTTGAGAATAGGGACTTTGATATTTTTCCTTTTCTTAACTCCTAACATACTACTTGGCACATCACTTAATGTGTTTGATATAAGCTAAGAATACTTAGAGTAGAAATAATATTGCCTCAAAGAAATGATGCATCCAAATTTATGGAAAAGAAAAAAAGAATTCAGATTATGAACACTCAGTCTTAAGTTTATTTGAATGCTTCGTGACTTTCTTGATATATCTGGTCAATATGCTTATTTGTTCTCTAGAAACTTGTGTGTGGCAGGAATAAATAAGTATGCTGTAACACATATATCAGATAGACATTCTTGAGTGGTGGATGCTAAATACTTTGTTCTAAAGATAAATTTGATGTACTCTTAGATGAAGGTTATGCATTAGAGACCACAGTGCCCATGTTGACATGACTTACTGCTCAGAAATCTCTGCAATGGACTGATTTTGTTTCATGCAACTGTTACTTGTCTAACAGTTTTTTATTTTTTAGAAATTTTTTTTATTTTAACATTTTAAAAACTGAGTAAGTTGAAGGAAATATAGAGAATCTCTTTAAACTGTAGTAGAAGGTATTAGTTTAGAGATGGAAGAAGAAAGCTGAGGTATACGATAATCATCTCTCTGTGTCTCTCTTTTATTTCTCCCTTCCGAAAATATAAAATTTATAGCTGCTTAGTACTTTTAAAATCACATCTTCCATCAGTTATGCAGTGGACTTTATATAGAGACCAGTCCAAATGACCCAGCTCACTCTCAGGATCAACCAACGGCAGATCTTGCTGTTGATACATGTGCCCCTAGGCCTGAAGGGTGGCCAAGGGGCAAGTGAGCGAAAGGTGAGGGAGTGTGTTGCATTTGGACATGTAAACTGAAATGTCTATACTCACGTCTGTGAGGACCTTTGTGATATGGGTTGGAGCCCTGCGTAGGCTGCTCCGTTTATACTCTTGCCCCAGGCCCACACAAATGTTGGGGGAGGCCTGCCTACCAGCGTGGTAGTTTCAAACTGTTCTGTGAATTCCTACAGAGATGCCTAAAGGTTTTCTTCCTTTGAACATTCTTCCTTGAACCTTTACTTATTTTTAGATTAGACTTCTGAATAAGATTTGTTTTTAAAATGAGTTCCCTATAAAGGATTATAAACTCCTTTTTTAAGGATTGAGATTATGAAGGTAGATACTAAATCTAGTCCTCACTGTGTGCAGTAGCCTTTCTTATCCATGGTTTCACTTTCTGCAGTTTCAGTTACCTGTGATACAGCATAATAAGATGTTTTGAGAGGAGAGGAAAGGATACCACATACACATAACTTTTATGACAGTATGTTGTTATAATTGTTCTATTTTATTAGTGATTGTTGCTGATCTCTTACTGTGCCTAATTATAATTTAAACATATATATATATATATGAAAAAATAATATATGTAGGATTTGGTACTATCCACCATTCAGGCATTCACTGGGGATTTTGAAATGCATCCCCCTGAAAAGACTTCCTATTCAGTAAATGGTGCTGGGATAACTGGCTAGCCATATGCAGAAGATTGAAGTTGGACCCCTTCCTTACACCACATACAAAAATTAACTCAAGATGGATTAAAGACTTAAATGTAAAACCCAAAACTATTATAACCCTGGAAGACAACCTAGGCAATACCATCCTGGACATAGAAACTGGCAAAGATTTCATGATAAAGACATCAAAAGCAATTGCAACAAAAGCAAAAATTGACAGATAGGATCTAATTAACTTAAGAGCCTCTGCACAGCAAAAGAAACTGTCAACAGAGTAAATAGACAACTTATAGAATGGGAGAAAATATTTGCAAACTATGCATCTAACAAAGGTCTAATACCCAGCATCTGTAAATAACTTAAATTTACAAGAGAGAACCCCATTAAAAAGTGGACAAAAAAACAGGGACAGACACTTCAAAAGAAGACATACATGAAGCCAACAAGCATATGAAAAAAAAGGTCAATATCACTGATCACTAGAGAAATGCAAATCAAACCCACAAGATACCGTCTCACACAAGTCAGAATAGCTATTATTAAAAAGTCAAAAAATAACTGATGCTGGCAAGGTTGTGGAGAACAGGGAACATGTATTCACTGTTGGTGGGAGTGTAAATTAGTTCAACCATTATGGAAAGCAGTATGGCGGTTCCTCAAAGAGCTAAAAGCAGAACTACCATTCAACCCAGCAATCCCATTACTGGGTATATACCAAGAGGTACATAAATCATTCTACCATAAAGACACATGCACGTGAATGTTCACTGCAGTACTATTCACAATAGCAAAGACATAGAATCAACCTAAATGCCCATCAGTGACAGACTAGATAAAGAAAATGTGGTACATATACATCACAGAATACTATGCAGCCATAAAAAAGAACAAGATCATGTATTTTGCAGGAACGTGGATGGAGCTGGAGGCTATTACCCATAGCAAACTAATGCAGGAATAGAAAACCAAATACTGCACGTTCTCATTTATAAGTGGGAGCTATATAATGAGAATTCATGAACACAAGGAAGGGAACAATAGACACTGGGGTCTGCTTGAGGGTGGAGGGTGAAGGGTGGGAGGAGGGAGAGGAGAAGAAAAGATAACTGTTGAGTACTGGGCTTAATACCTGATGAAATAATTTGTACAACAAACCCCTATGACACGAGTTAACTGTGTAACAAACCTTCACATGTACCCCCAAATCTAAAATAAAAGTTTTTTTAAAAAGGAAAGAAATGTATCCCCCTCGGATAGAAGGGGACTGCTGTACCAATACTTTAGTATTATTTAAGTCCTGGAACTTGGAGTCATTTTGTAAGTATTTGTTGACTAATGAAACAAATTTATTCATTCCCTTATGCAAAGAAATCTCTACATCTGCAAAAACATAGGCAGAGTTTCTGGGCTAACAAAAAGACAAATGCCAATGCAAAGGAAGTCTGAAAATTGTGAACAAAGATTATTAAACCAGTATTTACAGATCGAACATTTTAATCACGTTTCTATTCTGCAAAGTATGTTTTTCTGTATTAGCTCATTTTATCCTTACAGGAATCTGTGTAGCATTATCTTCATTTTACAGTTGAGGAAACTAAAGCTCAGAGAGGTTATGTGAATTGCTTGAGGACACAAAGCTAGTAAGTGGTATAACCAGGGTTCACAGCCCCCTGGTATTTTCACTGCAGATTCCACCCTTTTTTTCCTGCATTGTGTTGCCGTCATAGTTTATCATACTGACTCAGTGCTTCTAGAATTCATAGCTATCGGATGCATTTTATGAGGATATAGTAATAAGTTCCTCATATCTTCTATATTATATATAATGAAATTCATATATGTAGATGACATTTTATTCATCAGGCTTTTCCTTTCAGTGTAACTTTTAACCCATATTCCTATTCACAATTTTGTTTAATCAGTTATTTCTCTGTCATTTTTATATTGAATAGTCACTTCCTTTGCTAAGTTTATATCTGAGAATGAACAGCTGGCTCACAGTACAGTGTGAATCAAGTTCAAATTACTCTGAGTTCAGAGAACACCCAGTGTCATCTTATTTTTACATCTAACTGAATTATAGGACACTGTCAAAGTGTTATGACCTGCTATAGTAAATTGCTCCTTCTTAATGGTCCCCTGGCTACATTCTCTCTTGGTACTGCTATTAACCAGAAATTGTTGACATTTTGCACTATTGTAAGCTTGAAAACAAAAGAATTAGTTTTTATCCCCAGGAAAACCTACCGTCTTCACCATAAAGGTTTCTAAATGTCTAAGCTACCTACAACTGAATCATAACATTTTGTAGTCTAAAGTTGATGGTACCCTCAGAATTGAATTAATTCTGTAATTCTTTCAATTTTTAAAATGTCAGGCAATTCTTCCTCATTGAATTCAGGAAATTAGTTAATCATCTGCCTTAAAAGAACTAACTTGTTTGAATGTTGAACTGGTGGCTCATTGATGGTTTCTGAGATGTACTATTTAAATAAGTATGTGCATGTTATAAAATATATTTGGCTATGCCTAGTGTTGCTAAATTTTAAATGTTCTTTTAAATGTAACATTATAAGAACCAATTAATGATGAAGGAATTACACAGAATAACAAAATGCTTGCAAATGAGACCAAGCAATTTGCTTAGTTATACTAAGTAAACAGAGTAAGTTCTAGAAATGGTCAATATTGCTTTTGATCAAACTGATATACTCAGAGTGATTAATGCCTGAAAGATGGGAAAAAGATAAGAAAAAAAAGACTCTTCAAAGAAAAGTAATTTTTCCGTGAAATAATTATAGAATATGGAGCATATTTAAATATACTTATGGACCATATGCATGTATACATGTATAGAGATTGTTTATGCACAAATATCATCAGTAGAAAATTTGACGGCTATTGTGGACCGTAGGTAAACAATGAGATGGCAATGTAGTGTTGCTCTTACAAAGCAAATTTACTGCTGCCATTACAGTAATAGGAATATAATCTATAAAGGCCAGGGCAAAGTACTGTTATATACATAGCAATTATTAGGATGTAATTAATATAAAACATAAAGCTTAGATTTTTGTATTTCAAAAAGGATGTTGATAAATTTGAAGACTCCAGAGAAGGATTTTTTAAAATCAGTAGTTTGGAAATGGAGTTTTTGAGTAAAGTCTCATGGTCACAAAACAGTATAAGTCATGTGCAGCCCATAGATCTGTTTTTGTTTGACACCTGTAGTGTTAGTCCACAATTTATTTATAATTAACTGTCAGTTAATTTCATATAAAAGTACAGATTTTAGACTTCTCTTGAAAAATCTGCAAATATGGCAATCGTGGGCACGTTCTTCTATCAACTAGAGCTGAGTACCTACTGCCCTCTGTTGACAGGCTTTGAACTCTTCAGTTTCCCTGACCCAGTTGACCTCAGTCTTTTATATTTTTGCCTGAAGACTTTTGAGGAGTTTATAACCTTGTGTTTGGAAAGACTGTGTTTGGAGTCACGTTACCTGAATTCCAATTTCTATTCTGCCACTAACTATGACCTTGAATAAATAATAATTGTAAAATCTTAAAAGTAGGAATTGGCCAGGCGCGGTGGCTCATGCCCGTAATCCCAGCACTTTGGGAGGCCAAGGTGGGCGGATCACGAGGTCAGAAGATTGAGACCATCCTAGCTAACACGGCGAAACCCTGTCTCTATTAAAACTACAGAAAATTAGCCAGGCGTTGTGGCACACGCCTATAGTCCCAGCTACTCGGGAGGCTGAGGCAGGAGAATCACTTGAACCCAGGAGGCAGAGGTTGCAGTGAGCCAAGATCGCGCTACTGTACTCCAGCCAGGGCGACAGAGCAAGACTCCATCTCAAAAAAAAAAAAAAAGATAGAAAGGAATTTAAAGATCATCTGGTTCAACTCCCACCTAATGCAGGACTCCTCTCCACTAAATTTCCAAAAGATGGTTAAGCCAGCTAGCCTGTCTGAAGATTTCTGTTTACTTCACAAAATAGCCTATTCTGTTTCAGAAAGTGCTAATTATTAGAAATTTCTCCTACCTGTTAAATCTATGTCTGCTTACCTATAACTCACTCTCGTTTTAGTTCTGACTCTTAAAACTATGAAGAAAAGTTGTATCTCCTCCCTTCCAGGTGTCAACCGTTCTGTTATTTGAAGACAGTAGACATTTTCTTCCTAAGTCTTCTCCAGACTAGTTTCACCAACCTAGTGGCTCATTACTGAATCAATGTCCCTTTTTAAACATGTAACACTAAAAATGTACATTATATAAGATGTCTTATCACTGGTAGGGAACAGAGTAGAGCTGTAACTTAATAGATGTGACATCAAAGGCAAGGTGTCTGCCTTTACTGTTCCTCTTAAAGTGTAGCTTATTTGTAAAATGTGCTAGGCCATCAATAAGTGAATGGTTTTATAGCAAATCACTGTATAGATGTAGATATTATATTAGCCCAATATTAGCCAGACAAGTTATAGAGTTTCTTTGTAGACTTAGTGCCCAGTCTTTATTGTAGCATTGTTTTAAATATTTGCCATCCCTTTTTTTAAAAAGGTAAAGAAAAAGCAGGAAAAAAGGCTTAGACACATCTTGTATTCTTGTTGGTATCATGGCATTTGTCAGTGTGTTCATACTTTTTAATTTTCTAGTACTTGCCGACTTAATCCCATGAGCTTACTTCTAATATCAGTAAAGGGTATGAGCTGTCTATGTGGTTCAAGCTGCCACTTGAGGGTTTCTCCATTTTGTGGAGCTTTCTAATGGAATTCAAGGTTCTCTCTAAGGATGAGCATTACAAAGCCTTCCCTGGCTGCTGTGGGAGGAGGAAGTGCACCATAGGTTCAAGGACACATGTGAAGTTTAATGTGCACAAGCATGCTCCCGCTCCTGCTCCTGCTCCTGCTCCTGCTCCTGCTTACTCTGATTGGCAAGGTTAACTCTGAGAAGCTGCTGCTTTTTTAAGTGATTTGATTAGACCCATCACTTCATTCCTTTCAGTCCTCCCTCCCAAGGACCAAACCACCACTGTCTTTGCAGTCTTTGCTTTGCCCGTTACATTTTCTCTCCTTTTTTCCTGCTTTTTCATCAACTTTTAACATTTCGTAAAACAAAATAAGGAACTCAAAAGTAAACTAACTTGCCTCACTGAAAGCTTTGACATGAAAAATTTCCATACTTTTGTTTTCTACACTTGTAAATTACAAAACTTTTATTTCATTTTCACTTAGCTCATAAGGAAAAATAGAATTATTATTCACATTAGTTCACTTAGATAATTCCACAGTCCTCTATCAAAATTTATTTTGTACATAATGAATTCTTTCCTCACAATCGTTTTAAAAATAACCTTTTAATTACAAAAACTTCAACGAGGTACAAAAATAAAGAGAATATCTAGTTTCAGCAATTACCAATTTGTGGCCAATCCTGTTTAATCTGTACTGCTATCTCACAACAGTGGTCTTTAACCATTTTAGGAAGAATATGAGGAAAGTTATGAACACCAGAGAAAAAGGACCTACATGTTAAATTTTTGCAAAATATGTTAATAAGTTAATACATTTGCCAGAGCCCGCCCTTGGCTATCCTAGGAATGCAAGAATTCAGAGTGAGAATCCCTGCATCCCAGCAAAGAGAATATTAAAGTTTCTCAACTTCTCTAGTCACCTGAGTGTTGGGATTTGGGATTAGCATAGGTTCTATGCCAACAGTGATGAAGTTAAGCCAATGGCAGGCTCTTTGTAATGATTAAATATTCATTACATAATCGCTTTTCTAAATATACTTCCTTCCATGTTTAGCTTCTTTTCCCTTTGGTTGCTTATTAGTTTGTCTTTTTAAAATTAGTAGTATTTTTACCAGTGTTGATAGATTTGGTGACTTTGAACCATCTCAACTTTTAAGGCCTAACAACTCAGAATTTTATCTGGAGCTTCTGAGTTGTCATTGCCAACAGCTAAGAAAGAAAAACTACATCTCTCTATGTATGAAGGATAGAATGATTAATAGTGAATGCATTAGGAACTTAAGTAGTAAAGCTGGGGTTTCCATAAAAGAACATACTAGCACTTGAATATGAATTCTAATTATTAAAGCATATTTATTTAAGGTATAGGGATAGCTGATTGTTACATGACAAAACAGTCATCTTTTTTTTCCCATCCTGTTTCACCTTCTTTTGTCAGTTGGCATTTGGTCTCCCTCTGGAGCAGCTGTGGTCATAGGGTGGACTCAAAACATAGCAGTTAGTAAAGTGGCACTAGCAGCCTGAGGATTTCCCTGTAGAACTATGTCATTGTTGAATCTCATACCATCTGGCCCTGTTGTGAGCTAAAAGTACTTTTTAAATGCACGTAATAAAAGAATAGTTGATATAACTTAATTATTCATTATTCCATTTGAAAATACTAAGTATTTTGCCCTTAGCACAGTTTCTTTTGTCCCTCTCTCCCTCTCTTTCTCTTCATTTGGTGTGGGGAGCTAGGGAATGGATAATGTACATTTCTCTCATTTTAGTATGATTAAAGATATTTCTATTAAGGTGATGATTCAGGAGAGGAACCACCTTCATTTATAGATAGTCACGTGTCTATCTCAGAATAGATTCTCATTTTTTAAAAGTTCCCTATTGTGTTCCCTCTATAACATTTTGTGGTTGGCAGTACTTTTAATATTTTATTGAATGGGGGTGGGGGGAATCAACAGCAACAATATAAAACCTAGAATGTTCAATAAATACAGCAAAATAAATATATGTTCAGAGAAAGTAAGTGTAAACCACCTCTTTATTATGTTTCTAAGGATGTATGTAATCCATATAACATATAAATAACCCTGGTTTTATTGATTGATGTTTCTGTGGTATTTTGAAAGTTGTAAAATGTGGGGTTTTACCCCATTATAGGCATTTATCTGCATGGCTTGGGAATACAGTATCTGTTTTTGCTAGATACTGTCTCTATTGGAAGGCCATTGAATGCCTAATCTCTGTGCTCTCCTTTGAGGGTTGGCTTTCTTCAAGACCAAATCCCGTAAGAAATTATTCAAGAAGCTCAACAGAGAAGCATCACTTATAGAATTACTAATCATTACTTTTAATACATTTTAAAACATTTTCTTTTAAAAAAGTGTCTATAAAATTTGTTTGAAATATTTTACAGATTCCATTATGTGTTTACAGATTTTACAGATACTTTACAGATTCTATTATTTGTTTGTTATTTGGACTGAGGTCTAGTTCTCTGCTCTTTAAGGTAGCGCCCTGACATCCTCTCAATATAAAGAAGCCTAAGCATATCTAAGCACCTGTTTAAAAAAAAAAAAAAAAGGAAAAAAAAAGTTGCTTGTAACAAAAACTATCCCCACCTACAATTTATTAAACCTTGACATACTGCATTACTTAAGAGTTCTCAGAGAAAATTAAAACCCTTTTGACTGGGCTTTGCAAAGCAGGGAAATTTTTAGTGACATTTAAAAGGTTTCTCTTGTGTTCCTCTAATGGGATAAATAAAAAAGGCTTGTTTTAGCCCAGCAAATGGGGGGACAATCCAATTTCCTTGATTCCATCAAGACACTCTTAAAGCATTAGCCTGTGCAGTAAAAAAAATTCAACTGACCCCCCTTTGCGTGATGGCTTTGAAAAGTGTCCTGATGTGTAGGTATTTGCCCAACACAGCATACTTGGTTATTACTCTTCCAACACATCCGTTGATGGAAAAACCTTATGTGAAGCTCCAATAAATGTCAGTTTATGTTATAGAACTATAAAAACAGTGTACCAGACTATAATGCTCTCCTTAATGGGTAGCCTTTCACTTGAAGATGAAAAGAAATTCTGCCAAGTATGTTTAAATTTTAAAATTAAGGAATAAGATAATATTATTTAAAATAATATTTTAATAATTTTTTTGTCACATTTAATTACTTCACAAAGGTTGACTTCTGTTTGTCCAAAAGATAGTGCTCCTTTACAGAGAATTTACTAGCATAGGGCAGTGGTTCTCGAATGTTAGATTCCATTAGAATTACATAGAGCTTGTTAAAACAAATTGCTGGGCCCCACCCCAGAGTTTGTGATTCATTAGGTCTCTGGTGGAGCCTGAGAATTTCCATTTTTAACAAGTTCCCAGGTGAAATTGATACTGCTGATCTGGGACCCACAGTTGGAGAACCACTGGCCAAGGGCATGTGTGAAAAGAGATACCTCTGGATTAGTGGTTCATATTTTGAATCAAATCAGTTAGTTCTGAAAGTCATTAACATCTGAGAGCATCCTAATAGGTGAAAAATGTGCTGATGGATACCAATACAGTCTTGAGTGGATGGGCATTTTTTGGACGTTTGTCTCCTTAATTGGCAGTTTTTAAAACCCAGTCTGAAGGGGGGAAATAACATGAAGATAGAACTTTCATTTTAGAGAAGGTGCAGAAGAGAAAACTTAGGTCCCTGTGTGTTCTTTAAAGAATAGAAACTGAATGTGTTTTCTATAACCAATTGCATAATAAAGCTGTTGTTTATATCCTATTAAAAAAGTTCTTTTTATCAAAACTTCTGCCTTTATCTATGTAAAAACCCAAAGTACCTTGTTATTCAATAAAAAATTAAAAAGTAAGTTTGATATTCTGATTTTTTAAAATTATTTTTGCATAGTAAATAATAATGTTATCTGGAATATCTCACTTTCTATGTCTGTAATATTTTACTTAAAAATACTTAGAATTGACATAATGGTCTTCTCTAGAGTCTAGAGTTACATGCCATTTATTCATCTGTTCTTAAAATGCACTTTGGAAATAAATAGGAGACAAAAAAAACACCATTATTTGACAAGAAGAAATTCTAAGAGAGGGATTTGTTGACTTATCTAAAAGTCATAACAGCAAAGCAAGAATAAAAGAGGCTTAGGACCCCACTGAAAGAAGGTAGTGCAGCAACCAGTCTCATTTTCTTCTGGTGGAAAAATACATATGATGATGAGTACATGTATATCTTCTAAATGTCTAAATGCTTGGTAGTAATTCATAATTTTCTTTTGTTTAACACTTTTCTTCCATCAATCCAAGTAAATTCCATCCTAACAAATCCTTTTCATAAAATAATACAGGCATCTTATATTTGCGTGACACTTTATATTTTTACAGGGGGTTTTAGATACATTGATTTCATGTCATCCTCAAAGCTATTTTTTTAATGGTTTCCTTCTAAAGTCCTGGAAATACTGTATAATAGCGATAGAGGGGGGCCAAAAAAAATCCATCTCACTCAGTATTATAAATATTTTTGTTTTATTTATTGGCACTGTCACCTTTTAAAAAATATACGTTGAATTTGTGGCTAGCTTTCAAGTAAAATAAATGTTATTTTAAAAGAGTTATCAGTCGCTTTGTGCTTCCTTTGGGATTAAGGGTACTATCTGCATTACTTAAAACTCAGTTTGAAAATAATTAAAGGTGACTTTGAAATTGCCGTGGGTTAAATGAATGAAATCAGGTAATCAGCACTTTTCTGGAGCCGTTCTGCATTTCCCTAGAGTCCTTGGAGCCCTGTATTTTGTGATTCCCTTCCAGCACCACCTTTCTTCTTTTTTTTATCCTCAGCAAAGGATAGGTAAATCAAGTCAAATGATAATTTTCCACATTGTACTGGTATTATTAAGCTAAAGTTTACTTCTGGTGCAGTAAGTACTGAAGATGGAGTCCAGAGAAGACTGCATAGAGGAGGTCAGTGCAGAAGTGGTAGCAGTTAATCTCTCCACTGCTCTGATATCCGACAGCTGGTCTGACATGGGCCTGGTGCCAGCAGTGTCTTTACAGGCTTTGTGGCAGAGATTATTCAAAGGAGATTAATCCCTCTAAACCCCTTATATTTTAATTATTTCTGTATGTATTTATAAAACCTGCAGTCTGCTAGTTTCAGGACACAACTGTTCAAGCCCTCATCTTTAACCTGGTTTCCATAATCAGACAAAATATATTTCTTTTACCACAAAGAGTACATCATTGATTTGATTTTGTTATTAAAATTGTTTTTCTTTTGGGGTTTTTTTTGGGGTTTCTGTATGATATTGCTAATGTTACTTTTTTTTTTAAGGATAACCAAAGTTAATATGACTTATTTTAGAATACATGCTAAAATGCTGTGAGGTTTTTTTTTTTTGTTGTTGTTGTTGTTGTTTTTGAGACGGAGTCTTGCTCTGTTGCCCAGGCTGAAGTGCAATGGCACAATCTCGGCTCACCGCAACCCCCGCCTCCTGGGTTCAAGCAATTCTCCTGCCTCAGCCAACTGAGTAGCTGGGATTACAGGCATGCGCCACCATGCCCAGCTAATGTTTGTATTTTTAGTAGAGACAGGGTTTCACCATGTTGATCAGGCTGGTCTTGAACTCCTGACCTCATGATCCGCCCACCTCGGCCTCCCAAAGTGCTGGGATTACAGGCGTGAGCCACCGCACTCGGCCCTAAAGTGCTGTTTTTGTATTACATGATAGAAGTCTAAAGTTGCAGACATGTAGAATGTGAAAACCTCTTTGTTAAAAACAACATGACTTTCAAGGAATTTTTCTTTTTAATGGCTACCATACTTTCCAGCATTGTTAGGCAACTTTATCCCTGACCAAAGTATCCAGAACAATGATTTCTGTATGCCCAATTTATGTTATTGAGGGCTATAAAATTTTACCCCAAATTCAAGAGTTAACACAATATGAACGACCAAAGAATTACAAGAGCTTATGAAATAAGCTCTGCTGGCAAGAGCATCAAGTCTCTAGCACCATGAAAGTCTTGCCAAGTCTTTCACCTGTAGGGAAGCAGTTCTGCTTCTTCATGCACACTGTTGCTCCTTCTTTCATATACTGAGAAGAGGAAGACTTTGAGGATCATCTTCCTGAAGGTCTTCCAGCTTCTAGGGAACCTCTACTGAGACCTGTCTTGATGTGTGCTGGTGATAGAATGTGTTTGTGATATTTGTATCTTCAAAACACTTGTTTTAGATCATTTAATCTTAGTATAAAGTTACCTTTTTTGATTATTGAGGCTGTCCTTTCTTCTCTTAGTTGGATTTCTTCATGCTTATCTGAATGAATGTCAGCAGCATATTTGGGGCAGGGATGCAGAGGGATCTTGGCTAGCCAGAATATTAGTAGCTTGTGTTTTATTATCCAAATTGAACAATAACTTTTGCTTGTGCTCTAAAAATGGGAATTAGACATTAATATCTCAAGACTTACCGTTTCTTTACTTATTCCATTTGTATCGAGGAACATAAATTTAAGCCCTAACTCTGCTGTTTGGCATGCTATCATTTGGGGGCAGGTCATTTAATCTTGTTGAACTTGAGTTTCCTTATCCACGAAATATAGCTACTATTACCTACCTTACTTATTTCAGGATGTTAGTTTCAAATAAGTTGGCACATATAAAGTGTTGTGTAAAAAGATATATAAATATGTTTTAATTTTCTTAAAGAACAGCATGTCTGAATCAAGAAAGATCTGTGGAAAGCTCAGTAGTGTCATTAAAAATCTTTTATGCTGTCGATATCTTGTGAATTATTTTTTAAATTGGTGTTAGTTGAGCTTTTTCCTTGTCTCTTTCCAAATAATGTAATCTTCTCTTCCTGTCAGTCATTGTTAGTTTTCAAAAGTGTCTTTTACTGTAATGGTTATGATAGAAGTGTAACCATAAGGAATTAGATTATAATATATAATATCATAATACCAAATATAAACAATCTTTGTTTTTTTTTTTCTTTTGAGACAAGGTCTGGCTCTGTTGCCCAGGCTGGAGTGCAAGTGGCTCAATCTTAGCTCATTGCAACCTCCGCCGCCCATGCTCAAGCCATCCTCCCACCTCAGCCTCCCAAGTAGCTGAGACTACAGGCACACACCACCACAACCTGGCTAATTTTTGTATTTTTTTTGTAGAAATGGGGTTTCGCCATACTGCCCAGGTTGGTCTTGAACTTACGAACTCAAGCAGTCCACCTGCCGCGGCCTCCCAAAGTGCTGGGATTACAGGCGGAAACCAGCACGCCCAGCCAACAATCTATTTTCATTATACGATATATTATCATATTTGAACTGATCTAAACTTCCTGTATATACGATGTTAATTTAAAAAATAATAACAATAGGCCGGGTGCAGTGGTTCACACCTGTAATCCCAGCACTTTGGGAGGCTGAGGCAGGTGGATAGCTAGAGCCCAGATGTTCAAGACCAGTCTGGGCGACACGGTAAAACCCCATCTCTACAAAAAGTACAAAAAATAGCTGGGCATGGTGGCACACACCTGTAGTTTCAGCTACTTGGAAGGCTGAGGTGGCAGGATCACCTGAGTCCAGGGAGGTCAAGGCTGCAGTGAGTCGTGATCATGCCACTGCACTCCAGCCTGGGTGACAGAGTAAGACCCTGTCTTAAAAATTGTAACAATAGGCCAGGCACGGTGGCTCACGCCTGTAATCCCAGCACTTTGGGAGGCCGAGGCACATGGATCACCTGAGGTCAGGAGTTCAAGACCAGCCTGACCAATATGGTGAAACCCCGTTTCTACTAAAAATACAAAAAAAAAATTAGCCGGGCGTGGTGGCGTGTGCCTGTAGTCCCAGCTACTCGGGAGGCTGAGACAGGAGAATTGCTTGAACCCGGGAGGCAGAGGTTGTAGTGAGCCGAGATCACGCCACTGCACACCAGCCTGGGCAACAGAGCAAGACTCCGTCTCAAAAAAAAAAAAATTATAGCAATATGACAGATTCTGTTCAAAGCTAGGGAAATCTGTAGTTAGAAATTCTTGTATGACTTGAAGACAGTTGGAATAAGCTTCAAAGTTTTAAACAGAGTAGTGGCATGCATAAGACAATGCTTGCAAAAGGGATGGGAGACTACATAAATTATTAAGGAAGCTCTTGTAGGAGTTAGTGGATTAGGAAGTGAGGGCCTGGATAGAGTTCATTACTGTGGAAAAAGAAAGAACCAGAGATATATATAGTACAGAAGGAGAATTCAATCAACCTCACTTGATGAAAGATAATATAAAAAATAAAAGAGAAGTTGAACATGACTTCAAAGCTATGGGCAAAAAAATAATGAGCTCTGGTTTTGACATGGCTAATTTTAGTGAGCTATTATGACATCCTTGCTGAAATGTCCTAAAGAAAAAGAAAAGTCAGTACAGGACATGCACTTAAAGATGTTTTCCCAAAAGAATGGTAACATACTCAAAGAGAAGAATGAATCTTAAGATTAGAATACTGTAAAACCTCCATATACGTATGAAGATACACAGAGAAACCCATGAAATCCCAGTCATAGTTAAGAGCATAAGGTTGGGAGCCAGAGACCTTCTAAGTTCTGACTCTGCCACTTACAAATCATGTGACCTTGGACAAGTTACTTAACCTAAGCGTTAGTTTCTTCATTTGTGAAATGAGATAACTTAGTACCTATTTCATAAGGTGGTTGGATGAGATTAATAAAAGAACTCATGTAAAAATTGCCTAGTGCGGTAAACAGCATTAGCCACTACCATCATTGTTTTTACTCACAATTGACATAAATCTTTTTTGTTGTTGTTACATTGACAGTATACAGCATGCAGAAAGGTATACAAAATAAGGTATTATTAAAGCCACCTGGAATACTGCATCTTTGTGTGCTTTACTATTCAGAGACAATGTTGCGTATGTCTTTATTATAGAATTCTAATTCATAAGTGACTTGGAGGACGTGTTTTATTCTTATTTTTTAAAAACTATATCAGAAATAAGACCTTCTTATTTGGTTCTTAGTTGCACAGTCATACACAAAAGTTGTTAAATTACAGAAGGGCTGGTAGATAGAGGTGCAGCAGGGGAATAAAACTAAAGCTAACATTTATTGAGAATCTATTCCCTTTAATACAGTCATTCATTCTCCTTAAAACCAGTCACTTATACTAGAAAAAATAGCTCAAAATAGTTTTATCTTTGAATGCATGGGTTTTGTTACTTTTCTTTCATCGGCAGTCCTACTTTATCGGGGCCCTAAATAAAACAGCTTATTTAACTTTTTTTTAGGAGACCCAGGAAAGAATTTAGGCGGCAAGACTAATGTGTACAGTAAAAATTGAAATAAAAATCTTTTCATGTTTTTAAACATTTTTTAAAATTACCATATCCCCTAGTCCATGGCAAGTGTTTAAAAAAAAATACCATAAAGGGGGATGAAAGCTTGTGGGTGGTGATGAAACCACATTTGATAATATTTATAGGCAAATAGTTATGAATAAATTACAGTACTCAAAACTGACATTGTAGCTTCAGGGTAAATAGAGGGTTAAATCTCTGAGCTGTAGAAGCAGATTGTGTTTTCCTTTTGTGATCTGGGCTGACAAGACATCAGTATTCTATTCATCTGTTGGGAATTAGGCTGTTAATCCAATCAATGACTCTTGAGTGAGCTGTGGCCTACCTCCCCCACTGGGGAACAATCGGATCAAACTGCAGATTGTTTAAGAGCACAGTGCTGTCCTCATGTCAGGTGGAATTTTCAAATGTTCCCTGGTGAATTGGGGATAGGGAAAGCTGTCTTGGCCCATTTATCCTGCTCCTTAAATAACCAGGTATCTGCCTCATCCATACGAAAGCATTTGGTAGTAGTGACAACAGGAATGCAATAGAAATCCATTAACTTTAGCTCACAAAAGTGTGGATGAAAGGGAGGAAATGTTTTCAAACACTCACAAAATTATCTATATTAAAATGTTTTTGCTTTATTAATATTTTTTCTTTTCCTTAAACCTTAAATCATTTTCTTTGCTGGGCTTTTTTTTTTTTTTTTTTTTGTGGTTGTTAACTGTTTTATGTCATTGAATTTTTTTAACCACCACAAGCTCTTTTTGTATCTTTACCCTGCCCTGCATATATTTTTGTAAGTCAGCAGGATACAAATAAATTTTTAATATAGATTATGGGAACACTAATTAAATAAAATTTTAATTTTAAAATATATTTCTCCGAGGAATGCTAATTAAATACAATTTTAATTTTAAAATATCTTAGTCTGAGCATACATAATTCTGACATCTTTTGCAGCCTAGCAAAATTTGATTTCTAATTACTGATTTAATAGGCCATTAAGTACATTTGGAAATTATTATTGAACTGATTGGATAGATGTTCAGAGTTGCAGTTGTCTTCTATGAAATGCTGCCCAAATTTTTTCTGTTAACCAGTAAGGTGACATGGGCTATCACAGAGTAAAACATCTAAAATGACAAAAAGAAATTCTCAAGAAGTATTTACTAACCAATCTCAGTGAAGAAAAGCTTAAAGAATAATTTTATTATTTTCTATCTACATTACATAAGAATATTCCAAAAAGAATTTCCTAAGTCAGCCAAATTTATCCATTCATTCTGTGGATATTTAGTGTCTACCTTTTATGTACCCCATACCTCTTCTAGGCATTAGAATTATAGTAAACAAGACAAGATTCACGTTCTTTTGGAGCATACATTCTAATGAAGAAAATATGCTAAAAACAAACAAGATAATATCAGTTAAGTTCTAAGAAATAAAATAGTGGTGGTTACTTTAAACAGTGATCAGGTAAGACTTTACTGAGAAAGTGACAAGCTGAGAATTCAATGAAGAG
Source organism: Homo sapiens (assembly GCF_000001405.40). Taxonomy (NCBI): domain Eukaryota; kingdom Metazoa; phylum Chordata; class Mammalia; order Primates; family Hominidae; genus Homo; species Homo sapiens. The sequence goes on along the minus strand of NC_000001.11, from coordinate 180,352,973 downwards.
AAGTTGCTATAAGTCGTAATAAAAAGGTCCCTGAAGTAGGAATGAGCTTGACATACCACGAACAAGCTACTTACAGGTACACTATTCTCTGGGACAGTAAGTTTCAGACCTGGTAAAGTATTGAATTTTCTTGGGAACTTTGTAAAAATAAAGGTATCTGAGCCTTCATCCCTAGATATGCTGATTCAGCAGGGCTGAATGGGATGTACTCTGTGTATAAAGTGCAGTGAACAGTATTGAAAGTCTTATCTCTAGTTAATGTAGTTTCTTTCCTTGAACATATCACACACTTGTTCCATCTGTGCCTTTGCTCATGTTTGTTCTTTACCTGTATTGTTTACCCTTACTGTCTCTCACATGCTTCCATCCACACTGTCTCAAATGCCATCTGCTTTTTAAGGCCCCCTCTCAGTAGGAAGCAGAATAATACTTGTATTCTTCCAAAAAATGTTGAACCCAAATCTAACAAAACCTATAAAAAATATGGCTGGGTGCGGAGGCTCACACCTGTAATCCCAGCTTTTCGGAGGCTGAGGCGAGTGGATCACCTTAGGTCAGGAGTAAGAGACCAATCTGGCCAACGTGGTGAAAACCTCCTGATCCTCAGGAGCCTAAGGCAGGAAGATCACTTGAGCCTAGGAGTTTGAGGCCAGCCTGGACAACATAGCAAGACCTCATCTCTAAAATAATAATAATAATATTAACAATAAAGCATTCATTTATTCATCCATTCACATTGTTGTGCAATCATTACCATCGTCTATCTCCAGAACTTTTTTATCTTCCCAAACTGAAAGTCTGTGCTCATTAAACAATAAATGCCCGTTATCCCCACCCCGCCTCCTGGCCACCATAATTCTACTTTCTGTCTCTCTGAATTTGACTACATGTACCTCATGTAAATGGAATTGTAGCATATTTGTCCTTTTGTGTCTGGCTTATTTTATTTAGCATAATGTCTTCAAGGTTTATGTTGTAGCATGTGTCAGAATTGCATTCCTTTTTGAGGCCAAATAATACTCACTTTGTATGTATATACCATATTTTGTTTATCCTTTCATCTGCTGATGGATATGCATATTGTTCCCACCTTTTGGTTATTGTATATGATGCCACTGTGAACATGGATATAAAAATACCTGTTCAAGTCCCTGCTTTCAATTCTGGAAAGTGGAATTACTGGATCATTCTCTGTTTAATTTGTTGAGGAATTGCCAAGCCATTTTCACAGCAGGTGCACCATTTTACATTCTCATTAGCAATACTTGAAGGTTCCACTTTCCCCAAATCCTAGCCAACACTTGTCATTTTCTGTGTTTTTGATACTAGCCATCTTAATAGAGATGTGAAGTGGTATCTCAATGCCCTATCAAAAAAAAAAAAAAAAAAAACGTAATATCGGGCCAGGCACAGTGACTCACACCTGTAATTCCAGCATTTTGGGAGGCTGAGGTGGGTGGATCACAAGGTCAGATCGAGACCATCATGGCTAACACAGTGAAACCCTGTCTCTACTAAAAAATACAAAAAATTAGCCAGGCATGGTGGCACGCACCTGTAGTCCCAGCTAGTCGGGAGGCCGAGGCAGGAGAATTGCTTGAACCCAGGAGGCAGAGGTTGCAGTGAGCCGGGATTGTGCCATTGTACTCCAGCCTGGGTGACAGAGCAAGACTGTCTCAAAAAAAAAAAAAAACGTAATATCTGGCAGGTAACTGACAGCACCCAGATTAAAGGGATACCTGAAAAGTAATATAAGCTATAGAATGACATAAAGATGTCTAGATTGAGAATAAACCTATATATTTTTATCAGTTTTCTATGGAAATAGATATCTGCAATTCACCTATATTATATTTCATAGGATTATTTATTATGGTTAAGAGTAGTTACTAGAAATTCTGCATACAGATTACCATAAGAATAAAATCAGCAATATAAACATAGGAAAAGTAACAGCCCTGAAATTATTAAATTTAACTCAAATATTTTATTAAATACTTACTCCATGACCTGGATGCAACAAGACATTAGGAGACACAAGAGGTACAAACTGTGGTTCCTGCCCTGACATCGCTTACTATCTGAGACAGTAGAAAACTCGTTAAATTATTAAAGAACAATTATGAGCCAGACTATAACCAAATCCCATAATGAGAGATCATCTGCAAGTGCATTGGAAGAGGTAATAGGAAAAAAAGGGAGAGATTACTAGGGAGCACCGTAGTTGGAGACATCTTCAGTTATGAATTGTGGCCTATCTTGTACTGTAAAGGCTAGGTGATATTTGAAGGATGCTGAGGTGTGGAAAGGGATAGGTAGCAGAAACAGCTCGGGCAGACTATGGAAGCCATAAATACTCAGAGTAAGGAATTTGGGTGAGTGTGGGTGTGTTTTAAATGAGGACTATAAGGAATTTTTTAGAGTGATTAGTAACAGTGTACTGTTACTAGGGAGAAAGGGAATAGGAAGGAATACCAGTGAAGATACCCTTGTATTAATTTTGGTTATTGATGTTGAATTGACCAAGGATTTGTGTTTCGGTAACAACAATAGAAAATATAGATCGATTTCTCAAATACCTGAACTAGGGTCTCTTAACACATTGAGTGAAATGCTGGGAAGAAATCAGAATTAGGAGTCGGCCAGGCATGGTGGCTCACACCTGTAATCCAAGCACTTTGGGTGGCCAAGGTGGAAGAATCGCTTGAGCTTAGAAGTTGGAGACCAGCCTGAGCAACATAGTGAGACCTTATCTTTTCTATTAATACAAGTAAAAAATATTTAGCCAGGCATAATGGCCTGCATTTATAGTCCCAGCTACTTTGGAGGCTGAGGCAGGGAGATCGCTTGAGCCCAGGAGATCGAGGCTGCAGTGAGCTATGATCGCACCACTGTACTCCAGCCTGGGCGACAGAGCAAGACTCTGCTCAAAAAAAAAAAAAAAAAAAAAGGGTCACTGGAGAGGACTGAAACACCTTTAGTTGTACTATTATTGTGTAGCCTGGTTGATTACATCAAAATTATGCAGTTGTTAGGAGGAGGAAATTAGAATACAAATAGAAAAAAAAATATTTACGTGATTTTATGGTAGCTTAAAGGTTTCAAGACTTGAGAAAAAAATCAGTTTTACAGTGACATTTAGAGGAAAAACCAAAGAGGATTTGAAACATTAATAAAAACTCTATGCAGGATAGAAAGAGAAGCTAACAAGAATAGGAAGTGATTTATTTCAGGATAAAACAATATTAAAGAGAAAGGCCCACTAATAAACAAGGTCATACGACTCTAACAAAGCCCATCTTTAATGGAAAAATTAAATCCATTTTTAAAAGCTAACTTTAGTGGTTGCTTTGGCAACACATAAAATTTATTATACTAAAAAAAATTTTATTTATTTTTTTATACTAAAGAAATTAAAAGGCTGGGCACGGTGGCTCACGCCTGTAATCCCAGCATTTTGGGAGGCCGAGGCAGGCGGATCACGAGGTCAGGAGATTGAGACCATCCTGGCTAACACGGTGAAACCCCATCTCTACTAAAAATACAAAAAATTAGCCAGGCGTGGTGGCGGGTGCCTGTAGTCCCAGCTACTCCGGAGGCTGAGGCAGGAGAATGGCGTGAACCTGGGAGGCGGAGCTTGCAGTGAGCCGAGATCGCCCGCGAGCCAGCCTGGGCGACAGAGCGAGACGTTTCCAAAAAAAAAAAAGAAATTAAAATTTTTTATTTATATTTTTTATTATACTAAAAAAATGGAACGATACAGAGAAGATTAGCATGGCCCCTGACATGCAAGTTCGTGAAGCGTTCTATTTTTTTATAAGTAAATAAAAGCTGACTTTATAAGAAAAATTAAGTTAAATAAAGGATACAAAGTTATATTAAACAAGTGATACTGCTCTCGCAACATCCTAAAATGGGTTAAAAAAAACTCAGGAAAAAATTGCCCCTTCGCCTATAAATGCTGTGAATAACATTTTTAGTGAAAAGGGTAATATTCTGTTATATTTTTGATTCCTAATGATATTTTGTCCTATTAACCTGAGAGAAAAAAATTATAAGAGCAAAAAGAAAGCTTATTCAGATTTTATTTGTTGATATGTTGCCTAATAAGTTTGTCATAAGTTCTTAGTAAAAGCAGTTGAATAAGTAGAAAATAAAGGTTTAGAAGGCTATGGAATATAGCAGACAAGAAATAAGGAACATTTGTATATCAAAAAAATGAATTAGACTGTTTAAAAATTGATAGCTGTTTGGACTGGATTTTTAATTAATGGAGGGGCAGGCTTACAATTTACTTCTCCATTCTATCTAAAGCTATCCTTATTCAGACACTTCAGCATTCATACTAACACCTACCAATCCTTGGTCTGTGAAAACCCCTCAACCCTGGCTACATTCATTTATACTCCATTTTAACTTACTTGAACACTTAACATCTTTGAGCTTGCTTCCTGTCACAACCTCAAATTCTGAAACTTCTCTAGATCTTAATACTCTTAATAGCTCCCATTTCCTCAGTTCTCCTGATCCTACACTTCTTCCTGCCTCAACATGCCTTCTAACTCAGCCTGAACCCCAGGACTGATCATTTCCGTTCATTTTTTGGACCAAAAGTGGTAGTGCCAAGACTGAAACTCACAGTCCAGAGCTCTTGTCGCTTCTCTATGTTGATTTATTTGCTACAAAAAGACATACTTCTTTCTCCCACAGATAGCCGCTGCTACTTTCATTGCCATCAAGGTTTTATTTTTAATTTGCCCAAAAGGAGCATTAAAAGGCAATTAGATCGTAGGATATTAATATTCTCATTTTTTCTTTCATTATATTTTTCTTTTGTGCATTTATTCATTCAACAAATACTTATTGGCTGCCTACAGTACACTAGGCACTGCAAATATTTATGCTGTAAATAGAAGTACCTCTTTATACACATACAGTATTTAAAGATGGAAATGCCTAAGAGAGAGACAAGATTATTAATCAGGCCATCTAGAAATGCTTAGAATCTCTTTTTTTTTTTTGAGACGGGGTCTCGCTGTGTCACCCAGTGGCGCAATCTCGGCTCACCGCAAGCTCCGCCTCCCAGGTTCACGCCATTCTCCTGCCTCAGCCTCCCGAGTAGCTACAGGCGCCCGCCACCACGCCCGGCTAATTTTTTGTATTTTTAGTAGAGATGGGGTTTCACCGTGTTAGCCAGGATGGTCTTGATCTCTTGACCTCGTGATCCACCCGCCTCAGCCTCCCAAACTGCTGGGATTACAGACGTGAGCCACCGCACCCGGCCTAGAACCTCTTTATATGTGTCTGCTTATCAGTCGTGCATCTAAGCTTGAAAATTTTCAAGGATAGGGAATTGAAGGAACATTAAGGTAGCCGTTTTAAGTTTGAAAAGATCTTTCTACCAGCTGGGCCAACATGGTGAAACCCTGTTTCTACTAAATTAGCTGGCCATGATGGCAGGCAGCTTTAATCCTTGCTACTCGGGAGGCTGAGGTAGGAGAATTGCTTCAACCCCCGGGAGGGGGAGGCTGCAGTGAGCCAAGATCACGCCACTTTACTCCAGCCTAGCCGACAAAGCATGACTCTGTCTCAAAAAAAAAAAAAAAAAAAAAACTTTCTGTTGAAAAATTAAGTGTTTGACTCCCTATAATTTTCTCATACTCTTCCTACTTCTAAAATGTGTAGCCGTATAGAAGCAAACAGTTTTATTGTTTTCAGATATTTCGTCTTTCGTTCCTAACATGACATGATTTCAAGTTACTTTACCATCCAGCCAAAGCCTATTTCAGGCTCTTTATGTATATCTTTCAAGGTACTTTTCACCCACAGCTCTTTACTACTAACACTGCAGGAATTATCTGACCCTAGAAAAGAATAGCTCTGTATTAGTTTGGGTTTGGATTTTTTTCGTTTTTCATTATTTTTGTTTTGTTTTGTTTTGTTTTGTTTTTTGTAATTGAGACAAGGTCTCACTCTGTCACCCGGGGTGGAGTGCAGTGGCATGGTCACAGCTCACTGCAGCCTCGACCTCCTAGCCTCAAGCAATCCTCCCACCTCAGCCTTCCAGGTAGCTGGGACTACAGGTGCACACCACTATGCCTGGCTAATTTTTGTATTTTTTGTAGATGGGGTCTTGCCATGTTGCCCAAGCTCAAGTGATTCTCCTGCCCTGGCCTCCCAAAGTATTGGGATTACAGGCATGAGCTACCATGCCCAGCCTGTATCAGTTTTCTATTGCTGCATAATAAATTACCACAAATTTAGCAACTTAACACACTTTTGTTTTCTCACAGTCTCCATGGGTCAAGCATTATGGCATGGCTTATCTGGTTCCTCTGCTCAAGGCTTCATAAGTCTTCATTCTCATCTAGAGTTTGCAGTCCTCTTAGTTACTTGAGGCCCTCATTCCTAGACACCATCCCTCTCCTTAGGCAGTTCACAAAATGGTCAACATGGCTATTTGTTTCTTTGAGGCCAGCTCTCTCCATTCCATCTCTGCCCTCCATCATGAAAGTGGTTTCCCATCACATTCACTGGTGCCACCGTCACTCAAGGCAAGGGAATTATACAAGGGCCTGGGTCATTGGGGCTTACTTTGGATTTCTGCCTACCACAAGCACTATCACTTTCCTCATTCTAATAGTATGTACCTATTAATATATTTCTAAAATTTAATTTGCTTTTGAGTAGCTACATCAAAATTCACTGAGCTCACACTCTACTAAAGCCCCTAAATCTTCTATTTATGTTTCTCCTAAGATTACTCCACGATGTAGTTTGTGACTACTTGGTCCTTGGTACGGGATCTTTTCTCTATGTCTGTTAAATTCCATCTTGTTAGATCTAACCGATCTAGCCTGTCAGCACTTGCTACCTATATCCCTCATCCAGTATGCTTACCATATCTCTCAAGCTGAATGGGATTTCTAAAATTTTAGCTTCAGAATTTCAGATCTCCAGCACTTGCTGCTGGTTTTCAGGGAGCTGCTACAGGCTAGGGAGCTGCTACAGGCTAGGTTTTGCTACATTGTAAAACAATGTAACTTTAAAATTTCAAGGTTTTAAAAATTTTCATTACAAAGATAGCACTTGTTCATAATAGAAATATCAGAATATACGGAAAAGTTAAAAAAAACATATAGACATACTGTTTACATTGTGGTAGGTTTTTAAAACATTTTTAAATATACAGTGCTTTTTGGTTTAATTGCTTGCTTTATATAGTTTAGATCTTAGTATAAAAACATTTTTTATAATTCCATTTTACATTAATAATATTGTAATGATGTTCTAAGTTATAAATGTTTTATGACCATCATTTGAAATTGCTGCGTAATAATCGACTCAACTTTCCCTGTGTTGTTGGACACTTAGATTGTTTCTAATTCCTTGCTATTCTGGATAATACTGGAATAAACTTTTTTATAAGGTTTTTTTAAATATTTGAAGTATTTTTAGGATACCTTTCTAGAAATGCTAAGTGAAAGGAAATGATTTTATTTTTTCTAAAAGATTTATAAATCTTTTCATTTTCTAAATGATTTATACTAATGTATGCTCCTAACAACTAATGAAAGTGCCTATTTCATAGCACCTTCTGTAGAGGAGGAACTGTTTTGTGGGCCTAACAGACTATGTAAATTTTCACTGTAAAAGTGAAAGATGAATGAGAATATGAATGAAAATAATTATTTCCTGGATTTCTCTTTTTTACTTCTGGTCATTCACCATCAAGGGATTTAGAATAGAGTGGATTAAGGTATATTGAGTTTTTACTGAATAGTGTTATAGAAACAGTATGCAATAAGCAAGACACCCTTCAAAGAGTTTGGCTTTGTTCTTATTTACCTAACTTTGAATGCTAGACCAGCTCGGTAAATTAATACAAATATAGAGACTAAGCTCCAGCTTCTCAAAATATGTATAACTTGAAAAAGTATAGCAATCAACTGATGCAGAGGTAAAGAAGAGTGTATAGTGTTGAAGAGTAAGATTATTCACTCTCTGATGATATGTCAGTTTTGAGATTTTGGTAATAGGAATTACACAAGCATGCTGTATGTGATACCATAACTTAGGCCACCTATTGTCTTTAACCTGAAAAAAATAAAAAATTTTAACTGCATTTCTTTTTATTTGTATTATCTGTGTTGATTCTCCTTTCTCTTTTCTAGTAGCAGAGTTGAGAAAATACGGATTGTGTTGTTAGAAGGGCCTGGGACCTTAGGCAAGTTATATAATGTCTCTGAGCATCATTTTACTCATTTTGAAAATGGGAATAATAGTGTTTACATAATAGGGTTGTTGTGAGAATGAAAAGAAATGATGTTTGTAAAATTTCCAGCACACAATGGGTATTCGGTCAATGTTTGCTCCTTTTTCTTTACTGCAGTGAAGTCTCAACTCTGTAGCACTGGAAGGTTAAACATTCTAGATAAGTGTTCTTTTCAGTTAGCTGAACAGTTACATTCTGCCTTTTATTTTTTAACTGTTTTTCTACAAAATACTTTTTTAAAAATATATTCCATACTTCATTACTTCCTTCTTAAATCATTTTACTATACCATGGGTGTTTATAGCTGGTGTGAGACATAAGGCTGAAGCTTCTCTTTCTCTCTTGCAATTGCTAAAACCTACTGGTTGGCATGCAGCCCAGTCCTCTTTATGGCTGGCTATTCTCTGTGGTCTAAAATGTCTACAAGTTGCCACCTGTGTCATAGCTTCTAATTTCTGCTGCCTGCTACTGTTGCTACCCCATTCCTTCTAATTACCATTAGGCTCTGCTGGCCTCTTACCCATTTATGCTCTTTATTCTTTGCTGTTTTTTAACTGTTCAGTCTCTTTTTCCTCTGTTGCATCTCATATTTCATAGTCAAAGACAGGCCTTTCATTGCTTTCTCAGACCAGCTAGAATTCTTCTTCTATACAGAGCCAACTGGTCACAATGTGTCTAATATGGTCCTCATCAGCACTTTTTCCCTACTCTGGGCCCTATTCCAGGTACTTGAAAATGCCAAAAATCAAGAAAGCCAACTATATTTACTTTTCTTGCAAGTAGTTTATTTTCTTTTGAGATAGGGTGTCTTTCTGTCACCCAGGCCGGTCTCAAACTCCTGGGCTCAAGCGATTCACCTGCCTCGGCCACCCAAAGTGCTGGATTACAGGCGTGAACCACCACACCTGGCCTGTTTGTTTTTGTTTTGTTTTGTTTTTATGCTTACTTTTACTATATGCAAAGTTTTGTGCAGATACAAAGGATAAAAGAAATCGTAGTCTATAAAGTTAAATTATACCATGATCCTTACCTTCAAAGGAGCAGAAGAACACAAACATAATACAGTTAAAAGATGAAGGAGGTCGTGGGAGACAGTTTTAAGTAAGGATTGTGAAGGATGAAGGTTCTGCTTAAACTTATAAAGAGGAGTAGCTGTTTTTGAATCCAGTCTCAAAGTATTGGGTGATAGTTTAGAATCCTATAAGTCAGAACAGAGAAAAACAGGCCAAATGGAAGGGAGCTTCCATGATTCTCTACCATTTTAAAGGTATGGTAAAGAATCATTTAGGAGGATTATGGGTACTTCTTGCCTTTCCTTGTTTGAGAATCTGAGTCTTTAAACTTTGTATATTATTTTATCATTTATGTATATTGCTTATAGGTTTTTAATATTTATTTGGAAACAGGATATGGAGGTGGAATAAACTCTTTTTTTATAAGATTTTTTAAATATTTGAAGTATTTAGGTTATGTGTTTTTATGCTTTCATAGCTTCAATTTTAAGCATGCTTGAATTTTTTTACATTTTAACTCTATTATGTAATTTTGTTTATTTTTAATTCAGTTGGGTATTTTTATTTTACCCTAATGTTTCATCTATTTAAAAGATTTCAAACATATAACCTATTTTAATTCATTAGAATAGTTTCTGCTGCTGTTTATAACAACTTCATATTGATTAAATTTGAACATTTCCTTTAAGATAAACAGAAGGGAAAAACATAAATAATCATGACAAACAACCTTTTCTGGTGTGGTCATTTGAAATGAAACAACAAAAAAAATTCAATCAATTTAAATCTAGAAAAATTAGCTGATATAAGTTGTAAACCAGATGAGTAAAAGCTTTCACTTATTCATTCTTGACATTCAATTCCATTTATTCTTTGTAATATATTTTAAAACAGAATGTCTGCAAAGACTAAGGTTTAGGTTCCTATATTCTATTCTGAGATTATTGAGAAAAAATGTTTGGGCTTATACTCATGCTTTAATATCAATTCCATTTTAACACACAAAGAAGACTAATAGAATAAAGATTTTATAGAGACATAGTGATGTGGTTTATTAAGGCATCATAATTATAATAGTAAGTGTATTATAGTAGACTTAAGATAATTATTAATAATAATTTAAAGCTGAACAGACTTTATATTAGTGAGTCATAATCATTCCAAATAATTATGTTCATGATTGAATATTTCTTAAGTGCCTATTGTATGCTAGGCATACAAAAAATGAGTAAGAGAAGAACAACTTACATTTGGGTCCCTAAACACTACAATTGGATTAGATAATAATTTAAGATAATTGTCTTTTCTTTGTTTCACTCAAATACCTATCCTTTATCAAAGTGCTTAGACGCATACAAACAATTCAGAGTTGAAAAATCTTGATATCTTTTTTAAAGACTGATCCTTTTCTCTACTACTCTTGGAAGGCAGAATAGATAATCTAATTAGAGGACAGTCTGGTTGGCCTCCTGTCTTTCTATTCCCCACTTGCCAGTCAATTCTGTAATTGGAGTCATGGTTCTTATGTTCATGTCCTTGCTCTAATTGATTTCTAGGTAGACATTCCCTAAATTGAAAGATCAAAAATCTCAACATTTCACATTAAACAGTAGAACACTTCAGCCCACAGCATCTGAACACAAAAGCTCCAAATTAGGCATGGTGATCTGAGGAACACAGCAAACAAGAAATGGATTGGGAAGTGGTAGGTAAGCCTATCATGCTTGTAATTGTAAAGAGCTACTTATAAGTAACCATGATTTTAGTCGGTTTGATGAGTTTTTCCTTGGAACAGCTAAGTAATAATTAAATCACTGAAGAAGTTTGTAAGCGTGTAGATGGTATTCCAATTCAGAGAGTGTACCAACAATACCATGACCACAGAGAGCATAAAAATAAATTTTAACTGTAACTTTTTCTTATTACAAAGTAATAATGTATTTTATAAATTTTTACAAAAACAAGTGATTGGTTTTCCTGAAATAACAGGAAGAATAGTGGAAGTGAACATCTGATTCAAGTGGGTTCAAGAGATAATGGGAAGGAGGAATTAGAGTATAGACAACGCTTTCATGAATTTTGCTGTAAAGAGGAGAGAAATGGGGCATTAGAGGGATGGTTAAGGTTTGGAGAGATAGCAGCATATTTATATCCTGATGGAACCTATACAGAAAATAGGGAAAACTGATAATGCAAACAAAAGAAAATCTTTGTCATCTATAATATTATCCTCAAGATAATCCCTGTTTTCATTCTCATGTTTTTAAAATCTTTTTCCTGTAGGTAGAGATACAATTTTAAAACAAAAATGGGACCATGCTCTACATAGTTTTATAACCTACTTTATTATTAATATTTTCTCTTATCCATATTCTTTTTAACATAATTTCTTATGACTACCTAGTATCGTATAATATGCCTGCAGTATACTATACTTGTAGCCATTCCACTGTTAAGATATATAGGTTGTTTCTATTTTGCAATATGTAAACTACGTTGTAAACTCCATAAAGGCAAAGACTGTAACTTGGCTTGTTTATTGCTTTGTCCCTGGTATATAGTAGACTTTCAGAAAGCAGATATTTAAATGAATTCTACTCTTCCAAACCTCCACCCAAGCAGCTAAATATGGCTGGAAAAAAATACACAACCATGCTCACTCCATGTTTATAACCACTAATCTCAGCAGTGACACTACATTTCCTTATCCCATGAACTCTACCAGTTAGATGACTTTTTCATATTTTCTCTTCTCTCCTCAAAATTTAGATATCTCGATCCTCATCATCATTCTGTGCTGGTGACCTTCCTTCCCGTTTAACTGATGAAACAGGAGCCATTAAAAAAGAACTTCCGCAAATTCTCACTACCATATCTACTGACTTACCTGCATCTGTGCTTTTATAGTTCACTTTCCTTTGTATTAGTGTGGATGAACTATCTGGGCTTCTGGTTAAGGCCTTCCCCTCTGCTTGTGTACTATATCTCATCCTGCTCAAGGATCTTACTCCATATTTAAACCCCCCACCCCTGTTTTTGTTTTTTTGTTTTTGTATTATCAGTTTTCTCTCTCTTCTGTGTAGATTTCCATCAGGATACAGTTATACTGCTATCCTCTAGCCCCTTGCCCATTTATGTAATGCCCCATTTCTTTCCTCCTTTTTACAACAAAATCCCATGAAAGAGTTCTTTATACTCTAATTCCTTCTTTCCCATAATCTCTTGAACCCACTTGATCTCAAATGTTCACTTCCACCATTCTTCCTGTTCTTATCAGGAAAACCAGTGACTTCCACTTTGCTAAATCCAGTGACTATTTCTTAGTCTTTACCATACCTGACCTATCAGCAGCATGTGGCACAGTTGATCACTCCTTCTATTTTCAACCTAGCAGCCAGAGTGATCCTCTTAACCCATAAGTGAAGTCAAGCTATTCCTCTGCTCACAACCCTTCAGTGGTCTCTCACTGAATTAAACATAAAAGCCAAAATCCTTAGAATGGCTTACTAGGCCCTATGCCATCTGGCCCTTTATTACCTCTCTCTCCCCTCATCTCCTATTACTAATCTAACTTCCTTTCATTGCTTCAGTAACACACTGGCCTCCTCTCAGTTCCTCAGACATGCTGGGTACATAACCATTTCAGGGTCTTTGCACTTGCTCATCTTGTTCCCTCCTATTGCTTTTCCCCCAGATATTTAGACAGCTTATTCCCTTACCATCTTCACGTTTTTCTCCCCTAGTTGTCTCAGTAAGGTCTACTCTGCCTTCCTTATTTTAAGTTGATACCCAATCTGCCCTACCTCCCAGCATTCTGTATCTTTCTTTCCTGCTTTATTTTTCTCTGTAGCACGTACCATCATCTAGTATACTATATTTTACTTAGCTTGTTTTCTGTTCCCCCTCTCCCAATTAGGGCGAGATTTTTGTCTTGTTTGCTGTCCTTAGAACAGTGCCTAACACGTAGTTGATACTCAATAAGTATTTCTTTTTTTCTTTTTTTAATTATACTTTAAGTTTTAGGGTGCATGTGCACAACGTGCAGGTTTGTCACATATATATACATGTGCCATGTTGGTGTGCTGCACCCATTAACTCGTCATTTACATTAGCTATATCTCCTAACGCTATCCCTCCCTCCCTCCTTCCACCCTACAACAGGCCCCGGGGTGTGATGTTCCCCTTCCTGTGTCCAAATATTCTCATTGTTCAATTCCCACCTATGAGTGAGAACATGCGGTGTTTGGTTTTTTGTCCTTGCAATAGTTTGCTGAGAATGACGGTTTCCAGCTTCATCCATGTCACTACAAAGGACATTAACTCATCATTTTTTATGGCTGCATAGTATTCCATGGTGTATATGTGCCATATTTTCTTAATCCAGTCTGTCACTGATGGACATTTGGGTTGGTTCCAAGTCTTTGCTATTGTGAATAGTGCCTCAGTAAACATACGTGTGCATGTGTCTTTATAGCAGCATGATTTATACTCCTTTGGGTATATACCCAGTAATGGGATGGCTGGGTCAAATGATATTTCTAGTTCTAGATCCCTGAGGAATTGCCACACTGACTTCCACAATGGTTGAGCTAGTTTACAGTCCCACCAACAGTGTAAAAGTGTTCCTGTTTCTCCACATCCTCTCTAGCACCTGTTGTTTCCTGACTTTTTAATGATTGCCATTCTAACTGGTGTGAGATGGTATCTCATTGTGGTTTTGATTTGCATTTCTCTGATGGCCAGTGATGATAAGCATCTTTTCATGTGTCTTTTGGCTGCATAAATGTCTTCTTTTGAGAAGTGTCTATTGATACCCTTTGCCCACTTTTTGATGGGGTTGTTTGTTTTTTTCTTATAAATTTGTTTGAGTTCTTTGTAGATTCTGGATATTAACCCTTTGTCAGATGAGTAGATTGCAAACATTTTCTCCCATTCTGTAGGTTGCCTATTCACTCTGGTGGTAGTTTCTTTTGCTGTGCAGAAGCTCTTTAGTTTTTAATTAGATCCCATTTGTCAATTTTGGCTTTTGTTGCCATTGCCATTGGTGTTTTAGACATGAAGTCCTTGCCCATGCCTATGTCCTGAATGGTATTGCCTAGGTTTTCTTCTAGGGTTTTTATGATTTTAGGTCTAACATTTAAGTCTTTAATCCATCTTGAATTAATTTTTGTAGAAGGTGTAAGGAAGGGATCCAGTTTCAGCTTTCTACATATGGCTAGCCAGTTTTCCCAGCACCATTTATTAAATAGGGAATCCTTTCCCCATTGCTTGTTTTTGTCAGGTTTGTCAAAGATCAGATAGTTGTAGATGTGTGGCATTATTTCTGAGGGCTCTGTTCTGTTCCATTGGTCCATATCTCTGTGTTGATACCAGTACCATGCTGTTTTGGTTACTGTTTGTAGTATAGTTTGAAGTCAGGTAGTGTGATTCCTCCAGCTTTGTTCTTTTGGCTTAGGATTGACTTGGCAATGTGGGCTCTTTTTTTGGTTCCATATGAACTTTAAAGTAGTTTTTTCCAATTCTGTGAAGAAAGTCATTGGTAGCTTGATGGGGATGGCATTGAATCTATAAATTACCTTGGGCAGTATGGCCATTTTCACGGTATTGATTCTTCCTATCCATGAGCATTTGTTTGGATGTTCTTCCATTGTTTGGATCCTCTTGTTCTTCCATTTGTTTGGATCCTCTTTTATTTGATTGAGCAGTGGTTTGTAGTTCTCCTTGAAGAGGTCCTTCACATCCCTTGTAAGTTGTATTCCTAGGTATTTTATTCTCTTCGAAGCACTTGTGAATGGGAGTTCACTCATGATTTGGCTGTTTGTCTGTTATTGGTGTATAAGAATGCTTGTGATTTTTGCACATTGATTTTGTACCCTGAGACTTTGCTGAAGTTGCTTATCAGCTTAAGGAGATTTTGGGCTGAGACGATGGGGTTTTCTAGATATACAATCATGTCATCTGCAAACAGGGACAATTTGATTTCCTCTTTTCCTAATTGAATACCCTTTATTTCCTTTTCCTGCCTGATTGCCCTGGCCAGAACTTCCAACACTATGTTGAATAGGAGTGGTGAGAGAGGGCATCCCTGTCTTGTGCCCATTTTCAAAGGGAATGCTTCCAGTTTTTGCCCATTCAGTATGATATTGGCTGTGGGTTTGTCATAGATAGCTCTTATTATTTTGAGATACATCCCATCAATACCTAATTTATTGAGAGTTTTTAGCATGAAGCGTTGTTGAATTTTGTCAAAGGCCTTTTCTGCATCTATTGAGATAATCATGTGGTTTTTGTCATTGGTTCTGTTTATATGCTGGATTACGTTTATTGATTTTTGTATGTTGAACCAGCCTTGCATCCCAGGGATGAAGCCCACTTGATCACAGTGGATAAGCTTTTTGATGTGCTGCTGGATTCGGTTTTTCAGTATTTTATTGAGGATTTTTGCATCGATGTTCATCAGGGATATTGGTCTAAAATTCTCTTTTTTTGTTGTGTCTCTGCCAGGCTTTGGTATCAGGATGATGCTGGCCTCATAAAATGAGTTAGGGAGGATTCCCTCTTTTCTATTAATTGGAATAGTTTCAGAAGGAATGGTACCAGCTCCTCCTTGTACCTCTGGTGGAATTCGGCTGTGAATGTCTGGTCCTGGACTTTTTTTGGTTGGTGAGCTATTAATTTTTGCCTCAATTTCAGAGCCTGTTATTGGTCTCTTCAGAGATTCAACTTCTTCCTGGTTTAGTCTTGGGAGGGTGTATGTGTCGAGGAATTTATCCATTTCTTCTAGATTTTCTAGTTTATTTGCATAGAGGTGTTTATAGTATTCTCTGATGGTAGTTTGTATTTCTGTGGGATTGGTGGTGATGTCCCCTTTATCATTTTTTATTGCATCTATTTGATTCTTCTCTCTTTTCTTCTTTATTAGTCTTGCTAGCAGTCTATCAATTTTTTTTCAAAAAACCAGCTCCTGGATTCATTGAGTTTTTGAAGGGTTTTTTGTGTCTCTATCTCCTTCAGTTCTGCTCTGATCTTAGTTATTTCTTGCCTTCTGCTAGCTTTTGAATGTGTTTGCTCTTGCTTCTCTAGTTCTTTTAATTGTGATGTTAGGGTGTCAATTTTAGATCTTTCCTGCTTTCTCTTGTGGGCATTTAGTGCTATAAATTTCCCTCTACACACTGCTTTGAATGTGTCCCAGAGATTCTGGTATGTTGTGTCTTTGTTCTCATTGGTTTCAAAGAACATCTTTATTTCTGCCTTCATTTCGTTATGTACCCAATAGTCATTCAGGAGCAGGTTGTTCAGTTTCCATGTAGTTGAGTGGTTTTAAGTGAGTTTCTTAATCCTGAGTTCTAGTTTGATTGCACTGTGGTCTGAGAGACAGTTTGTTATAATTTCTGTTCTTTTACATTTGCTGAGGAGTGCTTTACTTCCAACTATGTGATCAGTTTTGGAATAAGTGCAGTGGGATGCTGAGAGGAATGTATATTCTGTTGATTTGGGGTGGAGAGTTCTGTAGATGTCTATTAGGTCCTCTTGGTGCAGAGCTGAGTTCAATTCCTGGATATCCTTGTTAACTTTCTGTCTCATTGATCTGTCTAATGTTGACAGTGGGGTGTTAAAGTCTCCCATTATTATTGTGTGGGAGTCTAAGTCTCTTTCTAGGTCTCTAAGGACTTGCTTTATGAATCTGGGTGCTCCTGTATTGGGTGCATATATATTTAGGATAGTTAGCTCTTCTTGTTGAATTGATCCCTTTACCATTATGTAATGGCCTTCTTTGTCTCTTTTGATCTTTGTTGGTTTAAAGTCTGTTTTATCAGAGACTAGGATTGCAACCCCTGCCTTTTTTTGTTTTCCATTTGCTTGGTAGATCTTCCTCCATCCCTTTATTTTGAGCTTATGTGTGTCACTGCATGTGAGATGGGTTTCCTGAATACAGCACACTGATGGGTCTTGACTCTTTACCCAGTTTGCCAGTCTGTGTCTTTTAATTGGAGCATTTAGCCCATTTACATTTAAGGTTAATATTGTTATGTGTGAATTTGATCCTGTCATTATGATGTTAGCTGGTTATTTTGCTCGTTAGTTGATGCAGTTTCTTCATAGCCTCGATGGTCTTTACAATTTGGCATGTTTTTGCAGTGGCTGGTACCTGTTGTTCCTTTCCATGTTTAGTGCTTCCTTCAGGAGCTGTTGTAAAGCAGGCCTGGTGGTGACAAAATCTCTCAGCATTTGCTTGTCTGTAAAGGATTTTATTTCTCCTTCACTTATGAAGCTTAGTTTGGCTGGATATGAAATTCTGGGTTGAAAATTCTTTTCTTTAAGAATGTTGAATATTGGCCCCCACTCTCTCCTGGCTTGTAGAGTTTCTGCCGAGAGATCAGCTGTTAGTATGACGGGCTTCCCTTTGTGGGTTACCTGACCTTTCTCTCTGGCCGCCCTTAACATTTTTTCCTTCATTTCAACTTTGGTGAATCTGACAATTATGTGTCTTGGGGTTGTTCTTCTCGAGGAGTATCTTTGTGGCATTCTCTGTATTTCCTGAATTTGAATGTTGGCCTGCCTTGCTAGTTTGGGGAAGTTCTCCTGGATAATATCCTGCAGAGTGTTTTCCAACTTGGTTCCCTTCTCCCCATCACTTTCAGGTACACCAATCAGAAGTAGATTTGGTCTTTTCACGTAGTCCCATATTTCTTGGAGGCTTTGTTCGTTTCTTTTTATTCTTTTTTCTCTAAACTTCTCTTCTCGCTTCATTTCATTCATTTGATCTCCTATCACTGATACCCTTTCTTCCAGTTGATTGAATCGGCTACTGAGGCTTGTGCATTCGTCACGTAGTTCTCGTGCCATGGTTTTCAGCTCCATCAGGTCCTTTAAGGACTTCTCTGCATTGGTTATTCTAGTTAGCCATTCGTCTAATTTTTTTTCAAGGTTTTTAACTTCTTTGCCATGGGTTTGCACTTCCTCCTTTAGCTCAAAGTAGTTTGATCGTCTGAAGCCTTCTTCTCTCAACTCATCAAAGTCATTCTCCGTCCAGCTTTCTTCCATTGCTGGTGAGGAGCTGCGTTCCTTTGGAGGAGGAGAAGCGCTCTGATTTTTAGAGTTTCCAGTTTTTCTGCTCTGTTTTTTTCCCATCTTTGTGGTTTTATCTACCTTTGATCTTTGATGATGGTGACGTACAGATGGGGTTTTGGTGTGGGTGTCCTGTTTGTTAGTTTTCCTTCTAACAGTCAGGACCTTCAGCTGCAGGTCTGTAGGAGTTTACTGGAGGTCCACTCCAGACCCTGTTTGCCTGGGTATCAGCAGCGGCGGCTGCAGAACAATGGATATTGGTGAACAGCAAATGTTGCTGCCTGATCGTTCCTCTGGAAGTTTTGTCTCAGAGGAGTACCCGGCCGTGTGAGGTGTCAATCTGCCCCTGCTGGGGGGTGCCTCCTAGTTAGGCTACTCGAGGGTCAGGGACCCACTTGAGGAGGCAGTCTGTCTGTTCTCAGATCTCCAGCTATGTGCTGGGAGAACCACTACTCTCTTCAAAGCTGTCAGACAGGGACATTTAAGTCTGCAGAGGTTTCTGCTGCCTTTTGTTTGACTATGCCCTGCCCGCAGAGGTGGAGTCTACAGAGGCAGGCAGGCCTCCTTGAGCTGCGGTGGGCTCCACCCAGTTGGAGCTTCCTGGCCGCTTTGTTTACCTACTCAAGCCTCGGCAATGGCAGGCGCCCCTCCCCCAGCCTCACTGCCGCCTTGCAGTTTGATCTCAGACTGCTGTGCTAGCAATGAGCGAGGCTCCGTGGGCATAGGACCCTCTGAGCCAGGCACGGGATATAATCTCCTGGTGTGCTGTTTGCTAAGACCATTGGAAAAGTGCAGTATTAGAGTGGGAGTGACCTGATTTTCCAGATGCCGGCTGTCACCCCTTTCTTTTGACTAGGAAAGGGAATTCCCTGACCCCTTGCGCTTCCCGGGTGAGGCGATGCCTTGCCCTGCTTTGGCTCACGCTCAGTGCGCTGCACTCACTGTCCTGCACCCACTTTCTGACACTCCCCAGTGAGATGACCCCGGTACCTCAGTTGAAATGCAGAAATCACCCGTCTTCTGCGTCGCTCACACTGGGAGCTGTCAGTATTTCTTGAATGAATGAATTTAAGCCATGAACATCCTTGCAGATAAATATTTACATAAATCTATGAATCATTTATTCACTCAGTGAAATTTTTTGAGTGCAGCAGGTCTATGAGGTCAGGATTATTTTATAATTCCAAGACATTATTTGCCTTTTTCATACTCATTGTCATGAGCATGCAATAGCATATTTCAAAAGCTATATCACTTGTGTTGTCACAACAGATTGAATGCAGAACTAGATATGCATATCCAATTATTTTCTATTTAACCAGGTATTAAAGAAATTTGCAAAAATCTAAAATGATACCACTCTTCTCATTGTGTTTTTTTTTAATCTGGAAAAATATTTTCATTTTTAAAATTATGTTACGTATAATTTATGTTAAGTGTAAAACATGTAACATGTTTTTATGTTATATGTAAAATATATAGTAACATGATGGTTTTTAAATTTACTGGCATTAATTTCTAATATGGTAAATATTGATAGATTTAAACCACATAAACAAAAGTTCTTTGAGGTCCTCAGTAATTCTGAAGAGTAACTCCAAAGAGTTACTATAAAGGGATCCTGAAACCAAAATGTTTTAAGAACTGCTATTCTAGGCCATGGTAAGAGTTTTGAACTTTATTCTAAAAACAGTAAGAAGCTGTTGAAGGATTTAAAAGCAAGGTATGACATAATCTGGCTTAACTAAGAAAAGGTCATTTATCTAACTCAGTGGTCCCCAACCTTTTTGACACCAGGGACAGGTTTCGTGGAAGACAATTTTACCATGGACTGGGGTCAGGGGGATGGTTTCAGGATGATTCAAATGCATTACATTTATTGTGCACTTTATATTATTATTACATTGCAATATATTATGAGATAATTATACAACTCACTATAATATAGAATCAGTGGAAGCCCTGAGCTTGTTTTCCTGCAACTAGATGGTCCCATCTAGGGGTGATGGGAGGCACTGTCAGATCATCAGGCATTAGATTCTCATAAGGAGCATACAACTTAGATCCCTCATATGTGCAGTTCACAATAAGGGTTGGCATTCCTGTGAGAATCTAATGCTGCCACTGATCTGACAAGAGGCAGAGCTCAGATGGTAATGTGAGTGATGAGGAACAACTGTAAATACAGATGAAGCTTTGCTCACTTGCCTGCCACTCACCTCCTGTTGTGTAGCCCAGTTCCTAACAGGCCATGGACAGGTAACAGGGATTGGGGACCCCTGTTTTAACTGCTGTCTGAAGAACAGATTGTAGTGGGGAAGGGGAACAAATATGAAGTTACTGCCTTTGTCTAGGTAGGAAATGGTGGAGGTTTGTACTGATGTGGGGTATTAATTTCCTAGGACAGCTGTAACAAAGTGCCACAAACTAGGTGGCTTAAAACAACAGAAATGTATTGTTAGCAGGGCCATTCTCCCTCTGAAACCTGTAGGGGAGAATCCTTTGCCTCTTCGGGCTTCTGGTGTTTGCTGGCAATTCTTGGCATTCCTTGTGTGTTTCCAAATAAGGTACCCATTGTGAGGTACAAGGAGTTAGAACTTTAACATATTTTTGGGAGACACAATTAAACTCATAACAGGTAGTAACAATGAAGTAAAGAGAAATGGATAATTAGACATCATATATTTTAGAATATACTCTCTAGTAGGAGTTGTTTGTGGATTCAATATAGAGGATGAGGAAAGTAGAATTCAAGGATGGAGCCCAAATTCTTGACTTGAGCAGCTGGGTAATAGAGCCAAATGACATACCATTTATTAACATGAAGTCTTGGGGTTGGGACAATTTTCCTTGGGGGAAAAATTTACAGAAGTGGAATTGCAAAGTCCCCTATTTCCTTAAATATCCTCATGCATCTCTTTGTCCAGATATGCTGTAGCATTGTTATATTGTTTTAGTATTATTCTATCAGATCCCCCTGGTTTAAACAATCAGATGTAGCAAAATATATTGTAGCCCAATTCACTTAGGTATACTTACGTAAAAAGAAAATAACAAAGGAACAAGGAACATGTGCTGTGGGAGAAATTCTTATAGTCAAAGTGGAACAGACAGAGTTGGCAAAGTCCTATGATATCCCCAAAGTATTTCAAATTAAACTTCGATATGGAAATTCTGATTATATAAGTTTGATACCATATTAGGATATTGACTACATTTTCCCCTGCTGAATGAAAATCTGGCTTTAGATTAAAATGGCTATCTAAGTTATTTGGTAACCTGATGGGGTTAAGGATGTTAGTTATATTACTAAGTAACATTATGACAAAAATGACCCCTTGATTGGTAAATTAATTTGGACTGGGAAGAACTGCAAAGGAATGATAAATACCTGATGGGGACACTGTACTTTGGAATGTCCTGAGTTACTTGTAATTGGCATACCCCTTGTGTGACCCTAGAAGCTACTGTTATATTGTGGCACTTGTGAAGTACCAGGACTTCTAAGCCAAGATAGACCCCACATCTGCTGATATGGATCTCTTCCCCTAATATCTGAGTTATATCTCCTGGAGAGAAGAAACCTCCTGGGTGGCTGGATAAGCTGTCACATGAATTACCTCAAGGACTCCAGTCTGACACTACCCTGATGGCAAATTTGGAATGGTTTCTGTCTGAAATATTTCCGAATAATTGATGCTAATTGTACCCAACAGTAGTTTTGTGAGTCTGAATGATTAGAAGACCACCGTGTGGATAGAGCACATATATTATCCATTCTTTAGGTTCAACTGCTTGTTTACACTGTACCTATTTTACTCCAATTCCTCTCTCTCCAGCAATTTTAATATGATGTTAAAGTAAATGTAGTTGTTTTAGCTGCAGTTCCCAAAGCAAACTTGCTCTTAAGAACATCTGTGTAGATGTACATTTGATCAGTTGCCTTAAAAGGGATGAATAATCAGTAATACTGCCTTTGATTGTTTTCCTTTTAGTTGTTTGCTTGTCATGTTTACAGTAGCTATTTATCAATTTGGATATCATCTATTTAAGTTAGCTTTTACTGTTGTAGCCCATGTGGAGAAAGAGTTTGAAATGCCCATTTATATTTGATCACAGATGTATGGTTTTTCAAATAAGGTTTTTTTTGTGATTTTGGTTTGGTTTTTTTGTTTGTTTGTTTGTTTGTTTGTTTTTGAAACAGAGTGTCACTCTGTTGCCCAGGCTGGAGTGCAGTGGTATAATCATGGCTCACCACAGCCTCAGTCTCCTGGGCTCAGGAGATCCTCCCACCTCAGCCTCTCAAATAGCTGGGACCAGAGGTGTGCACCGCCACACCTGGCTTTAAAAAAAAAAAAAAAATTCTTATAGAGTCAAGGTCTCCCTAATGTTGCCCAGGCTGATCTCAAACTCCTAGGCTCAAGCAGTTCTCCCACCTCAGCCTCTCAAAGTACTAGAATTAGAGTCATGAGCCACCATGCCCAGCCTTCAAATGAAGTTTTGATCCTTAATTATTGCTTACACCTAATAAGAAAGACGTCCAGAGAATCAAGTCCTTGTATTTTGCTGTATTTTGTCAGCTTTTTGGAATAT
The DNA here is from genome assembly GCF_000001405.40 of Homo sapiens. Classification (NCBI taxonomy): domain Eukaryota; kingdom Metazoa; phylum Chordata; class Mammalia; order Primates; family Hominidae; genus Homo; species Homo sapiens. The sequence goes on along the minus strand of NC_000001.11, from coordinate 180,330,023 downwards.
ATACTGTTACTTTCTGGTTTTTATTCATAGAGAAAACTTAAGAAAACTGAGGAGTGGGCTGGTCAGAAAGTTATCTTGTAACTATTGATTAACAAGTTAGTTCCATTATTTTGTGGAGGATTAGACAAATGTCCGGAAACAGAAAGACAGCCAGTAAAAAGAGTTACTTCTAACTTGTCCAAAGACATGTTACCCATTTGTGGTGACACTGATGGCAACTGGTAGAGAGGCAAGAAGGCGAAGTGTGCACGGGCTACAGATCACCACCCAGAGCAGTGCCACTTTAATGTTGGCTTTATTTACTTGTCATTCCAGATTCTATTTGAATACAAGCTTCCATAGAATGTTAAAAAAAATTGAAAATCACTGATTAAGAATATAGTCTATGCTTAGAAATGCTCCCCAAAAGTTTAAAAAAAGAATATAGCCTAAAACCAAGATAAAACCAACATGAACATAAAATACACAGATCTATAATAAAGCTTTCTACAAATCATGTTGTGAGACCATTCCCAGACTATCAGTCAGAGACAGTTTCCCAGTTTTAGACACAGCTTGAGGAACTTGCTTGTCTGATTTCCAATCCTTAGCAGATGAGAGGTAGAAAATTTTAAAGAGTTCAGGTACACTGATAATAATAAAGGATAAATGAATATCCTATGGCTGAGGAAAAGCTGCTTAAAAAAGGAAAAGACAAAAATCAAACTCAACAAAAAGCAAAAGTAGTCTGGGTCCATTTGGTGAAAGACCAAATAGCCTTATATACCTTAGTGCACTGTAAAGGCATCTTTTATAGTGTGTACAGTAAATGATGTTTTTGTTCAATCATATTCCCAGACATTTACTTGGTGCCAGAAATTGAGGGATATAATCAGTTTGTGATGTTGACTGAGAATCGTCAGAAAAAGGTTAAATCATTGTCCATGTTCTCCATATAGAGTAATGAGAAGTAAGATGTGTTAGAAATAATTATATGCAAAAGTTTACAGGGATGATGTTTTTAATTTTTGGATGCTGAAATGTTAATGATCCAATTATTTGAAAAATCTACTGATATATACTCCCTCATTCCATAAAGATGCCAGTTAAATAAGATGTTACTGTATCTACATTGTTTCCTAGAAAGAAAGGAAAATACCTAGAACCTGCAGCTGAAAGCTTAACTTATATATATATATAGAAAAATAATCATAAAAGGCATTTGCAAGCTTCTAAATTGTCAGATTAATCATCTATTATAGAGTCACAGATCTCATAAGGAGAGACAGTACATTCCAGGCTTAGAAATACTATTAAAATTTACCTAAAACTATATTACTAACTCAAAATTTTTTATTACTACTTCGAATTTCTCACAGCCAGTTTGCTTGAGTGCCTCACTTATCATACATTCACTTGAAACACTGTTTTTTAAATAAAATTTATATTTTAAGTAAATTACTGGATATAACAAAATTTTCTCGTTAGCCATATCATGGGAAAATCTAGCCCCTCTATGCAGCTTTGTTATTACTCTTGTATCTTTAGAGCTGACATTAGTAGAGATGGTAGATCAAGTGTGAATTGAATTAGAGCATCAGAATCATGGTCAAAAAAAAAAAATCCAGTTACACTGAAGAGAATTTTCCACTTGGAATATATATGTGTGTATATATACATTGCCTGTATATATACAAGCTGTAAGAACAGCTTGGAATATGTATGTGTGTATGTATGTGTGTGTGTGTGTGTACATATATATACACACACCTGTACAGGAATATACATATATATGTATATATACATATATGTGTGTATATATGTATGTATCTTAATCTAGGAATATGGCTCTTGATTCAGTGTGATAAAATGTATTTAGCAGTTAAAAACCAGGGGCTACACAATTTTATGCAGAAGAAACAGCAGTGTTACCAGTGGCTTAGTGTTAAAGAGATAAAATAAATGATAGTTTCCTTGTACCAATCCTGAGCTATGTATTTAATATTTTCGTCAACACCTCATTTGGTAGAATAAAAGCATACTATATTTGATGAGGCACACAATTTGGAGATACAAGAAAACTCAGTCCTTAAAGGAAATATTCCTAAAATGGAGACATGATCAAAAATAAGAAAGAATTGCTGCAGAGTACATGTGAGGAAAGAAATAATCTGTTTAACTTCAGGAGCACATGTGGAAGAAAAAAGAATCCAGAAATCAAACAGAATATAGTAGTGATTTTGCAGCTAGTAACTATAAGCTAAATATCCTGTTCATCATTGTTTAGACCTTCATTGTATTATCATGTCTGTCATTGCACTCCACACTGTAGGAAATAAATGGGAACATTCTTCTAAAGGGTTTAAGTAAAAGGAAAAAGGTTAAATTAAAGACTAAAATTAATTAGTCTTTAAATTGGTTTAAATAATAAACTGAATGTGGAGCAAGATTGCCAAATAGGCCCCTCCACCAATTGTCGCCCCAGCAGGAACACCAAATTTTAACAAATAACTACACATAAAAGAGCACTGTCATAAGAACCAAAAATCAGATGAGCAATCACAGTACCTGGTTTTAACTTCATATTATTAAAAGAGGCACTGAAGAGGGTAGGAAACACAGTCTTAAATCGCTGACACCACCCCTTCTCAATCCCGCAGCAGCCCTGTGGCGTGGAGAGAGAATCTGTGCACTTGGAGAGGGAGAACACAGCAACTGGGAGATTTGGCATTGAACTCAGTACTGCCCTGTCAAAGCAGAGAGCAAAGCCATGCAGGGCTCAGCCAGCACCCACACATAGAAGGAGCATTTGGACTAGCCCTAGCCAGAGGGTAATCGTCCATCCGAGTGATAGGAACTTGAGTTTTGATAAACCTCACCACTGCGGGCCAAAGATATCTGGGGTCCTAAATATACTTGAAAGGCAGTCTAGGCCACAGGACTGTAATTCCTAGGCAAGTCCTAGTGCTGCGGTGGGCTTAGAGACAGTGGACCAGGGCAGCACATGACCTAGGGAGACATCAGCTAGGGCAACAAAGGGAGTGCTCGTGCCATCCCTCTGACTCCTTCCTTCTGTTTGAGAAGAGGAGAGCAAAGAGTAAGGAGGACTTTGTCTTACATCTTGGATACCTGCTCAGCCACAGTAGGATAGGGCACTGGGCAGAGTCTTGAAGCCCCCATTCCACGGCCTACCTCCCAGATGACATTTCTAGACACATCCTGGGTCAGAAGGGAACCCACTGCCTTGAAGGGAAGGAGCCAGTCCTGCAGGATTCATCACCTGCAGACTAAAGAGCCCTTGGGTCCTCAATAGCCAACAGCAATGCCCAGTTAGTATGCTGTGGGCCTTGGGTGATACTCTGAGATGTGCTGGCTTCAGGTGAGACCCAGCACATTCCCAGCTGTGGTAGCTACAGTAAAAGACTCCTTCTGCTTCAGAAAAGTAGAGGGAAAAGTAAAGGGGACTTTACCTTGTACCGTAGGTACCAGCTCAGCCACAATGGGCTAGAACGCCAAGCGGGCTGTTGGGGTGCCTGATTCCATGCCTAGGCTCTTGGACAGCTTTGGACCAGACAAGCCTTGGATAGCCTTCTGGACTTGTCGTGGGCCAGAGGGGAGCCCACTGCCCTGAAGGGTGAGTTCTGGGGTTGGCAGCATTCACCACAGCTGACTGAAGAGCACTTGGGCTTTCAGTGAATATCGGCAGTGGCCTGGCAGAGCTCTCCATGGGCTGGTGGTGGTGGTGGCAACTGGGAGTGGGAGAGGCTCCTCTGCCTGTGGAAAAGGGAGGGAAGGACTGACTTGTCTTATGGTTTTAGGGCCAGCTTAGCCTCAGTAAAATAGAACACCAGGTAGATTTCTAAGGTTTTTTCCTCCAATCCCTAGCTCCCAGACAGCATCTCTGGACCCACCCAGGGCCTGGGGTAACTTGCTTCCCTGAAGGAAAGGACAAAAACCTGGCTGGCTTCCCCACCTGCTAATTGTAGAGCCCTAGGGCCTTGAGTAAAGATAGGTGGTAGCCAGGTAGTGATTGCAGTGGGCCTTGGGCGAGACCCAGTGCTGTACTGGCTCCAGATACAACCCAGTGCAGTCCCAGTGGTGGTGGCCACAGGGTTTTTGCATCACTCCACCCCAGGATCCAAGTGGCTCAGCACAGGAGAGACTCCATTTGTTTGGGAGAAAATAAGGGAAGAGAACAAGAGTCTCTGTCTGATAATCCAGATAATTCTTCTGGATCTTATCCAAGACTACCATGTCACTACCTCTATGAGTTTTCAAGAACCACAGTGTTATTCGGCTTGGGACCCAATTCTCTTCCAATACCTGGAAAACCTTACCAAGAAAAATGGGCACAAACGTGCCCAAATTGCGAAGACTACAATAAATTCTAACTCTTCAATGTTTAAACGCCAATGACTATCCACAATCATCGAGATCATCCAGGGAAACACAACCTCACCAAACTAAATAAGACACCAGGGACCAGTCCTGGAGAAAGAGATATGCAACCTTTCAGAGAATTCAAAATAACTGTTTTGAGGAAACTCAAAGAAATTTAAGATAACACAGAAAGCAAATTCAGAATTCTATCATATAAATATAAAAAAGAGATTGAAATAATTAAAAAGAACCAAGCAGAAATTCTAGAGTTGAAAAATGGAATTGACATAGTGAAGAATGCATCAGTCTCTTAATAGCAGAATTAAGCAGAAGAATTTGTGAGCTTGAAGACAGACTACTTAAAAATACACAGAGGAAACAAAAGAATAAAACACACTTAAAAGATCTAGAAAACAGCCTCAAAAGGGCAAATCTAAGAGTTATTGGCCTTAAGGAGGAGATCGAGAAAGAGACAGGGATAGAAAGTTTATTCAGAGGGATAGTGTCAGAGAACTTCCCAAATCTAGAAAAAGATACCAACATTCAAGCACAAGAAGGTTATAGAACAGTTTTAACCTAAAGAAGACTACCTCAAGGCATTTAATAATCAAGCTCCCAGAGGTCAAGGGTAAAGAAAGCATCCTAAAAGCATCAAGAAAAAAAGAAACAACATATAATGGAGCTCCAACACATCTGGCAGCAGACTTTTCAGTGGAAACCTAAACAGGCTAGGAGAGAGTGGCATGACATATTTAAAGTGCTAAAGGAAAAACAAACAAAAAAAAATTTACCCTAGAACAGTGTATCTTGTGAAAATATCCTTCAAGCATGAAGAAGAAATAAAGACTGTCAGACAAACAAAAGCTGAGGGATTTTGTCAGCACTACACCTGTCCTATAAGAAATGCTAAAGGGAATTCTTCAGTCAGAAGGAAAAGTATGTTAATGAGCAATAAGAAATTATATGAAGGTACAAAACTCACTGGTAATAGTAAACACACAAATCAGAATATTATAACACTGTAATTATGGTTTGTAAACTACTCTTAAGTAGAAAGACTAGTTGATGAACCAATCAAAAATAATAACTAGGATAACTTTTCAAAACATGGGACAATAAGACATAAGCAACAAAAAGTTAAAAAGTCAGAGAATTAAGTGAAAATGTTTTTATTAGTTTTTTTTTGCCTATTTGTTTATGCAATCAGTGTTAAGTTGTCATCAGCTTAATAATAATGGGTTATAAGATACTTGCAAGCCTCATGATAACCTCAAATCAAAAAACATATATACAAAAATAAAAAGCAATACATTAAAATATACCAACAGAGAAAACTACCTTCACTAAAGGAAGACAGGAAGCAAGGAAAGAAGAAAGAGAAGACCAGAAAACAAATAACAGAATGGCAGAAGCAAGTCCTTACCTAATCAATAATGACATTGAATGTAAATGGACTAAAAACTCTCCTATCAAAAGACATAGAGTAGGCCGGGCGCGGTGGCTCACGCCTGTAATCCCAGCACTTTGGGAGGCCGAGGCGGGTGGATCATGAGGTCAGGAGATCGAGACCATCCTGGCTAACAAGGTGAAACCCCGTCTCTACTAAAAATACAAAAAATTAGCCGGGCGCGGTGGCGGGCGCCTGTAGTCCCAGCTACTCGGGAGGCTGAGGCAGGAGAATGGCGTGAACCCGGGAAGCGGAGCTTGCAGTGAGCCGAGATTGCGCCACTGCAGTCCGCAGTCCGGCCTGGGCGACAGAGCGAGACTCCGTCTCAAAAAAAAAAAAAAAAAAAAAAAAAGACATAGAGTAACTGAGTGGATTAAAAAATCAAGACCCAATGATCTGTTGCCTACAAGAGACACACTTCACCTATAAAGTTACACACAGACTGAAAATAAAGGAATGCAAAAAGATATTCCATCCCAGTGGAAACAAAAAAAGAGCAGGAGTAGCTATAGTTATATCAGACAAAATAGATTTCAAGACAAAAACTATAAGAAGAGACAAGGTCATTATATAATGATAAAGGGGTCAATTCAGCAAAAGGATATAATAATTATAAATATATATGCATCCAACACTGAAGCACCCAGATACATAAAGGAAATATTATTAGAGGTAAAGAGAGAGAGAGACCCCAATACAATAGTAGCTGGAGACTCCAACATACCACTGTCAGCATTGGACAGATCTTTCAGACAGAAAATCAAAGAAACATCAGACTTAGTCTATACTGTACAACAGTGAATCTAACAGATATTTACAGAACATTTCATCGAATGACTGTACAGTACACATTCTTCTCGGCACATAAATCATTCTCAAGGATAGACCATATATTAGGCCACAAAATAAGTCTTATTCAAAAACTGAAATAATATTAAGCATCTTCTCTGACCACAATCAAATGAAACTACAGAATTTAGTTTGCTACTATTTTTTTGAGGATTTCTGAATCAATATTCATCAGAGATACTGGCCTGTAAATAACAAGAATAATTTTGGAAACTATACAGAGACATGGAAATTAAACAGTATGCTCCTGAATGACCAGTGAGTCAATGAAGAAATTAAGAAAATTGAAAAATTTCTTTAACAATGGTGAAAACGAAATATACCAAAACCTGTAAGATACAGTGAAAGCAGTACCAAGAGAGAAGTTTATAGCGCCTGCATCAAAAAAGAAGAAAAACTTCCAATAACCTAATGGTGCATCCTAAAGAACCAGAAAAGCAAGAGTAAACAAACCCAAAATTAGTAGAAGAAAAGAAATAATAAAATAATAAATAAAATAAAAATCAGAGCAGAAATAAATAAATCAAACTGAAATGAAGGAAAGAATACAGTCATCAAAATGAAAACTTGGTGTTTTGAAAAGACAAATAAAATTGACCAACTTTTAGCCAGACTAAAAAAAAAAAAGAGAAGACCCAAATAAAATCAGAGATGAAAAGGTAGACATTACAGCCAATACCACTGAAATTCAAAGGATCATTAAGTGACTACTGTGAGCAACTAACTATATGTCAATAAATTAGAAAATCTAGAGAAAATGGGGAAATTTGTAGACACATACAACCTACCAAGATTGAACCATGAAGAAATCCAAAACCTTAACAGACCAGTAACACATAACAAGATAGAAGCTGAAATAAAGTTTTCCAGTAAAGAAAAGGCTAGGACCTCGTGGCTTCACTGCTGAATTCTACCAAACATTTAAAAAAGAACTAATACCAGTCCTTCTCAAACTATTCCAAAAAAATTGAGGAGGGAAGACTTCCAAACTCATTCTATAAGGCCAGTATTATCATGATACCAAAACCAGACAAAGATCAAAAAAAGAAAACTACAGGCCAGTATCTCTGATGAATATTGATTCAGAAATCCTCAACAAAATAGTAGCAAACTAAATTCAATGATACATTAAAAAGATCACTCATCATAACCAAGTTGGTTTTATTACAGGGATGCAAGGATGGCTCAACATGTGCGAATAAATCAGTGTGATACATTATATCATCAGAATGAAGGACAAAGACCATATGATCATTTCAATTGATGCTGAAAAAGTATTTGATAAAATTCAATATTCCTTCATGAAAAAATCCTTAACAAGCTAGATATAGAAGGAACATCTTACCTCAACATAATAAAAGTCTTATATGACAGACCCAAAGCTAGTATCATAGTGAATGGGGAAAAACTGTAAGATCTGGAACATGACAAGGAAACCCATTTTCACCACTGTTATTCAACATGATAATGGAAGACCTAGCTAGAGCAATCAGACAAGAAAAAGAAATAAAGGGCATCCAAATTGGAAAGGAAGAAGTCAAATTATCTTTGTTTAATTTATCATAAGATTATAGGATCTTATATTTTGGAAAACCTAAAGACTCCACCGTAAAACAATTAGAACTGATAAACAAATTCAGTAAAGTTGCAGGATACAAATCAACATACAAAAATCAGTAGCATTTCTTTTTTTTTATTTTTGAGACAGAGTCTTGCTCTGTCACCCAGGCTGAAGTGCAGTGGTGCAATCTTGGCTTACAAAAATCAGTAGCATTTCTATATGCAAACAGTCTGAAAAAGAAATTTTAAAAGTAATTCCATTTACAGTAGCCACAGATAAATACCCAGGAATTAACCAAAGAAGTGAAAGATCTCTACAATGAAAACTACAAAACATTGATGCAAGAAATTGAAGGGAACACACAAAGGTGGAAAGATATTCCATATTCATGGATTGGAAGAATCAATATTGTTAAAATGTCCATACTACCCAAAGTAATCTATAAATTCAGTGCAATTTCTATGAAAATACCAATGACATTCTTCACAGAAGTAGAAAAACAATCCTAAAATTTATATGGAACTACAAAAGACCCAGTATAGCCAAAGCTATGCTGAGCAAAAAGAACAAAACTGGAAGGGTCACATTATCTGACTGCAAATTATACTACAAAACTATAGTAACAAAAACTGCTTGGTATTGACATAAAAATAGAGAGATAGATGAATGGAACAGAATAGAGAACCCAGAAACAAATCTATACACCTATAGTGAACCCTTTTTCAACAAAAGTACCAAAAACATACATTGGGGAAAAGACAGCCTCTTTAATAAACGGTGCTGGGAAAACTAGATACCCGTATGCAGAAGAATGAAACTAGACCCCTGTCTCTCACCATGTACAAAAGTCAAACCAAATGGATTAAAGACTTAGATCTGAGATCTCAAACTATGAAACTACTACAAGAAAACATTGGGGAAACTCTCCAGGACTTTGGTCTCTGTAAAAATTTCTTAAAACCCCACAAACACAGGCAACCAAAGCAAAAATGAACAACTGAGATCACATCAAGTTGAAAAGCTTCTGCACAGCAAAGGAAACAATCAACAAAGTGAAAGACAACCCACAGAATGGGAGAAAATATACAAGAGATTAATAACCAGAAGGAGCAAAAAAAACCTAATAATCTGGTTTTATTTTATTTTCATTTTTTTTATTTTTATTTTTTGAGACAGGATCTCGCTCTGTCACCCAGGCTGGAGTGCAGTGGCATGATCTCAGCTCACTGCAACCCCTACCTCCCAGATTCAAGCATTTCTCCAACCTCAGCCTCCCAGGTAGCTGGGATTACAGGTGTGAGCCACTGTGCGTGGCTAATTTTTTTATATTTTTTAATAGAGATGGGGTTTCGCCATGTTGGCCAGGCTGCTCTTGAACTCCTGGCCTCAAGTGATCCATCTGCCTCAGCCTCCCAAAGTGCTAGAATTACAGGCGTGACCCACACGCTTGGCCTAATAATCAGATTTTAAAATGGGCAAATGATTTGAATAGATCTTTCTCAAAAGAAGACATAAAAATGGCAATCAGTTATATGAAAAGGTGGTCAATATCATTGATCATCAGAGAAATGCAAATCAAAATACAATGACGTATCATCTTACTCCAGTGAAAATGGCTTATATCCAAAAGACAGGCAATAACAAATACTGGCAAAGATGTGGAAAAAAGGGAACCCTTATACACTGTTGTGGGAATGTAAATTAGTACAGCCACTATGGAGAACCGTTTGGAGGTTTCTCAAACAACTAAAAATAGAGCTATCATAGGATCCAGCAATCCCACTGCTGGGTATATACCCCAAAGAAAGGAAATCAGTATGTTGAAGGGATATACATACACCGATGTTTGTTGCAGCACTGTTTGCAATAGCCAGGATTTGGAGGCAACCTAAGTGTCCATCAGCAAACGAATGGATAAAGAAAATATGGTACTTATATACAATGGAGTATTATTCAGTCATTAAAAAGAATGAGATCTTGTCATTTGCAACAACATGGATAGACCCTGGAGATCATTATGTTAAGTGAAATAAGCCATGCACAGACAAACTTTGCATATTCTCATTTATTTGTAGGAGCTAAAAATTAAAATAGTTGAACTCATGGAGATAGAGAGTAGGAGGATGGTGACCACTAGAGGCTGGGAAGGGTTGCAGGGGTATAGGGGAGAAGTGGGATGGTTAATGGGTATGAAAAGTAGTTAGAATGACTAAGACCTAATATTTGATAGCATAACAGGGTGACTATGGTCAATAATAATTTAATTGTACATTTTAAAATGAGTACAAACTAAAAGCACAATTGGATTGCTTGTAACACAAAGGATAAATGCTTGAGGGGATGGATACCCCATTTATCATGATGTGAATATTACACATAGCATGCCTATATCAGTACCTCATGTACCCCACAAATATATATACCTACTGTGTACCCACAAAAATTAAAAAATTTTGAGTTTAAAGAAAAACAGTGAGGAAAAATTAAAGTAGTGTATTCATTCTCTCATTTCATGAACATTTATTGAGCACACAGTATATGCAAGACACTGAGCTAGGCACTGGATGAAAGACGTAGTACTTGCCTACAAGAAGTTTATAGTCTCAGTGGAAGAGATAGATAAGAACATAAAGTATGTGTTGTGCCACAGTAGTAGAAAAGAGGAGCACCTAACCGTACTTGAGGAGTCAGGGGAGGTTTCCTTAAGAAGGTGAACTGAGTCTTAAAGGTTGGGGGATTTCATTTTCCTGCAGGATTCCAGACTAATAATAATCTCAAAATTCTCCCACCACAAAACACTCAGAAATGCAGAATAAAATATAATAAGCACCTCTTTAAATGCATAGACAAGCTTACAAAAAAGCAACTCAACTCTCCAAGGGCCAAAATAAGCATAGCTAAAAACAAAATAGGAAGCTTTAAAATAGTTTTTTAAATAAACAAAGCTTTAAAAACAAAGTGGTAAGTTTAAACCAACACTGGGCTGCTCTGAAAGGATTTGGCAGTCTCAATACCTATGGGGTAGAGATCTCAAATAATACCAACCACCCTCAGAGTAGACTGAAAAATTCTACCCACTGACAGAATTGGCATAGAGAGTTTGTCTTAGCCTGTGCTCCAAGTCCGGGGTTGGGGTGGCGGTGAAGGTGGGTTTGCTCTTTTTAAATTTGCACTTCTTAAGTTTTCAAAAATCCCGCTAAGAAGTCAACTAAGTGATCTTAAGCTGATAATATATCTGGGATGCTTGACAGAAACAAAAGCAAAATTATTCTGGAGGGACAGACCCTCAATCTAGGGAGCACAGTACAGATTTTTTCAAAGATAAAACCCCCCTTAAAATAAACTTATAGTCCAGAATCAAAAAGCATATAGGAATCAATAAGTAGGTGTCAGCCAGCACAACAAACATCACTCTGCTTCCCCTCCCTCAGTTCAAATAAAAGAAATATAGGGACTATAAAATAAGTCAATTTAAAATGTTCAAATATATCAAAGAATTTTTTAAACATGAGAAAAGAGCAAGGTTTTATCTTTAAAATGTTGAGGGACAGTTTCCAGACAGAGCAAGGAGCATTCACAGCTATGGGAGTCCAGATAAATATTCCTTTTTTTTCTTTCTTTCTTTTTTTTTTGGGGGGGGGGGGCGGAGATGGAATCTTACTCTGTCACCCAGGCTGGAGTGCAGTGGCGCTATCTCAGCTCACTGCAACCTCCATCTCCTGGGTTCAAGCAATCCCGAGTAGCTGGGACTACAGACACAAGCCACCAACGCCTGGCTAATTTTTTGTATTTTAGTAGAGACAAGGTTTCATCATGTTGCCCAGGCTGGTCTGGAACTGCTGAGCTCAGGCAATCCGCCCACCTTGGCCTCCCAAAGTGCCAGGATTACAGGCATGAGCCACCGCTCCAGGCCCCAGATAAGTATTCTTATAGGAATTGGCAGTCACAAAATTGGGAAGAGAAGGTATTGGGAGAGAGATGAGCAAGGCTTGGTTCATGAAATGCCTTGCATTCTGGGTTAGTGAAGACTCTTGTTTACAAGTGACAAAAAGATCACACTTGTCTAGGGAGTATTTTGCTGTTATTGGCTTACCTAACCAAGAAAAAATATTGTTGAAATGACAAGAACCAGAGACCCTCATTCTCTCTCCATGTCTCACCACTACTTTTTTCTTTGTGAATACTTATTCTCTTCTACTGCAGACTGATTTTCACCCCAAAGTAGAGAACATTGCCACTTGCAGTTTTTGGCTCATACCCTTTTCTAATTTTCTTTCTTTTTTATTGTGGTAAAATATATTTGGAATTTACCATTTTAACCATTTTTACATGTACAGTTCAGTGGCATTAAGTACATTCACATTATTGTGCAGTTATCACCACTGTTCATCTCCAGAACTTTTCCACCATCCCAAACTGAAACTCTGTACCCATTAGACAAGAACTCCCCATGCTTCCCTCCTCCCTGCCCCTGGTAACCACTATTCTATTTCATGTTCCTATGAATTTGACTACTCTAGGTATCTCTTATAAATGGAATCACACAATATTTGTCCTTTTGTGTCTAGCTTCTTTGACCACACTCTCTTTTTTAAAATTGACACATAATAATTGTACGTATTTATAGGGTTGCACCCTTTACTTTTGATCAGAGAGGAAAGAACCTTCTGTGTGCGCACACTTCTATCTTATAGCTCCATTTTGAAAAATTTTGAAAGAAAACTAATTGTCTTGGCTTGAGTAACTTGCATACTTTCAGACAAGGAAGATGACCAGTGCTGTGATTTGCCCATTTTGGGTTGCATGACCACCTTAGTATCTTCCCCAGTTCTCCGTGTAAACATACCTTCTTATAGAGTCCTTTCTATCTAAAATAGCACCCACATCAGTCTCGTCTCTCACTCTGTTTTGATTGTTTTCCAGCGTACTCATCACTTCCTAGTATTAAATATATTTATTTGCTTATTGATTCCCTAGCCACTACAACATAAGATTTATAACATTAGAGACCTCTGTCTCATTCATTTCATTGTTTCCAGTGCCTAGAACAGTGACTGGAACATAATTGGAGCTCAGTAACTATTTTTAACTAATTAATTAGAAATTGAGGTAGAGATATAGATTTAGTATTCACTGGTAAATGTGATTAAAAGAAATAGATTATGCTTTCTTCCACCTCCATAGTCAAGATGAAGAATTAGAAATTGAAAGGAAATGAACTTTAAGTATATATGAACACAGTGATTAAACATGAAAGTTATGCACAAATAGTGAAAGAACTATGCTTTCTAAAGATACATAATTGTGGAAAATACAACCTTGCATGATGGATGCCTAAGTAGAATCCTGAAATTGCAGTAGATTAAGCTTTTTCTGAAATTGCTTCCTAATGCAGGACATTCACATTTAAACTATAAATGTGAATGCATAAACCCATCAGGAGTTTGCATGTATGTGTGTGTGTGTGTGTGCGCACTCACGCACACACACACACACTTTCATTGATTAACATTGGAAGCTGACAAATATAGATATGAGTCTTAAGCCATAATGGTCAGTACTGTTCTTTTGAAATTGCCCTTAGCTTTCCCAATCAAGACAACATTCTCTTGAGCAGAACTTCACATTGTCAGGCTGCCCTGCATAAGAATCACTCAGATACTATTCACTATAGCTGCCTTAGCTCTCTTCCCCTACCTGTCCTTAATCTCAAGGGCAGGGCAGGTCAAAGGGGAGCAAGATAAAGGTTGTATCTAAAAAGACAAGAAAAAAAAGTAGGCAAAAATGATCTCTTGTGTTTCCTGACTTTTTCATGCTGCTTTCCATCTTTTACTTTTCTTAGAGTTTATTATCTTTATGATGCTTCCTGGACATCCCAAACTTAGCATAGTTGCATCTTAGCCAAGTGTACCCTACCCTGACTCCCTGCTAAAATTACTTCTTTCATATCTCCTCTCTCCCATGTAATAAGCACCTTACCTCCAAATCCAATCAGACCTTCATTCCACAGTAGGAAAACAAACTACATTGCCTCAAGGTTGTCCCCCTGCCATGACTTTTTTCTTACTACCTATCTGAACCATAAAATAAGTTCTCTGTGGCAGCTTCTTGCTTTTCTTTCTAGGAGATAAATAGGGAGACCCATTGCCAAAAAGTTCCAGAGCCAACCTCCACCCCTACATTCAGCTGTTAGGAAGTGGGAAAAGCAGATATGGGTACCCAAGAATAGTTTGGCTGGCATAACATCACCCTTCCAAGTTATTCAGATTAACAGTTTCACATTTATTCTCAATTACCAGGGGCATGACGGCCATGCATATTACAAAGTGCTTATGAAGTTAATTACTAAATTGTGCTTTTCACTTGTGTACTTTGATTATTTGTTGCTCATGTAATGTGATTAGCTGCTCTCAGTTTTAAGAGGTGGCATTGCTAAAAAGTACTCAACTGCACTACAATTAATAGTATATATAGTTTTCTTGGTTTTAAAGGAAAATAACTGAAATGTTGGAATTTCCTAAGTATTCTATGGCAACTTTTGGCTTTCTTAACAACTTCTGGGACTTTGTATGCTTTGAAATCACATTACTTTATGATATTTGATCTGGTTATGAAACCCGGTGTTATTAGCCTGGAATTTGTGAGTCTTTGAAAAGGGATAAAAAGCTATCCACTATAAATCACAGAATCGCTAGATAGATTTGGGGACAAGCTTAGGAAAAAAAAAATCCTAATACTGGCCAAGATAAATGAGACATAGTGTCAATTTTTCTGCCATGAACTAGGTAACCAAACTGCCTCACTTTAAGAATTTCTCTTTGGATTATTACCTGCAGATATCTGGAGTAACTGGTCATCCTGTTACTCCATTGTAGCTGCTACAGTGCACAAGTTATCATTCTTTATTCTTCAGGATGGTGAGCTTGGTCAAAAGTTACGGTGAAGCTCAGTTAACTGACTTCTTTTCCTAAGTCTGATAAACCTATGGAACTTTGGTATATCAGATAAATTTGCTACAGTTTATGTACTTTCATACTTTTGCAATTACTTAGACTTCTAAAATGTATTATTTGTTTCTTTTATAGGACAATGAAGGCCAAACAGCTCTACATTATGGTAAGAAGTTTCTAAATTATTAAGTAATCATATTTGAACATATTCTCTATTTGTTTATTTCAACTTTGTCCATTCCTATATAGTGCTTAGATAGGTACCTGGCAGCTAGCAGAGATACAATAACTTTTTGTTCAAAAAAATGTATTAGGCCGGGCGTGAGGGCTCACACCTGTAATCCCAGCACTATGGGAGGCTGAGGCGGGCAGATCACTTGAGGTCAGGAGTTCAAGACCAGCCTGGCCAACATGCTGAAACCCTGTCTCTACTAAAAATACAAAAATTAGCCAGGGCTGATGGCGGGCACCTGTAATCCCAGCTACTCAGGAGGCTGAGACAGGAGAATCGCTTGAATCTGGGAGGTGGAGGTTGCAGTGAACCGAGATTGCACCACTGCACTCCAGCCTGGGTGACATAGTGAGACTCCATCTCAAAAAAAAATATTAATAACTTAGTAAGTTGAAGATGTATTAAAATTCTTATGGTCACATTTATAATAAATTGTTTCTATACTAGCAACAGAAATAGAGACCGTGCTAGCCCCCTTTGAAAATTCATTATTTCATTCTTAGTTCTATTAATGAGTGACAAGAAAGATGTTAAAATCATGGTCACTGTAAAATCTAGCATCTCTCCTACAAGAAATATTTTCTTGATCTAATTGAAGAAAAAGAAATTTGATTTTTTAACTAATTTCTCCTACTAACTGATTAGCTTAAGTAATCTGTAAAATAGAAAAAAATCTGTAAGATGGAAATAATATGGCTCTTAGAGAGCTGCTTGGTAAATTCAGTGAGATAAAAGATATTACAGTATTTTGTAAAATGTAAAGTCCTAGTAAATATGATTTAAAGAGTCTGTGTAGAGTTGGGCGCAGTGGTGCACGTCTGTAGTCCCAGCTACCAGGAGGCTGAGGCAGGAGGATCACTCAAATCCAGGAGTTTGAGGCCAGCCTGAGCAACACAGACCCTGTCTCCAAAGAAAAAAGATTCTATTTGGGTGTGAATATGGCTGAATGAAAGACAGCCATCGGTATTTACACCACATTATGGATCAACCTTTTGGGAAGGAATACACTTGCCAGTCTTGGCAACCTTAGACTGCGATTCAGTAACAAGTGGCTCAAATGACCCTGGACACTTTTGTCTACTGCTTTGGACTTTAAATTTGCACTCAAGTGTTCAAAAATCCCAAGCTAAAAAATCAACTAAGGTATTTCAAGCTGATAGTGTTTCTGGGATGCTTGGCGGAAACAAAAGCCAAATCATTCTGGAGGGATAATGCTGGAGAAACCTCGCTGTGCTATCTAGGAGTCTTAACCTATTGGACTAGCTATTATACTACCTACATATGTCAGCCTAATAATTGAGGTTGAAATGTCTGTCACCAACTGCCAGCCTCAACTCACTTATGAATTTGTCTAGCATAACCTGTTTACCAAAACCAGCAGGAGAAAGGAAAATTGTGAGTCAGTCTTACTTATGAGCATAGATGCAAAAATCTGAAATAAAATATTAGCAAATGAAATCCATCAACATATTTTTAAAAGAAAGAAAGATATGTGCTGACCAAGTTGGGTTCATCCCAGGAATTCAAGGATGACTTAACATTTAAAAAATCTATTAATGTAACCTTCCACATCAGCAAATTAGGTAAAAAAACTGTATGATCAAATCAAATGCAGAAAAAAGCATTTGAGGATGTTCAACACTCATTTTAAGAGTGGTAAAGTAGTTAATTAAGCCTGCTCGTAAGCCAGACTTCTGCGTTCAAATTCTAGTTCTACCCCTGACCTGGGATAAAATACTTAACTTACACTGTACCTCAGTTTACTCATGATGAAATAGGGATAGTAACTTCAGAGATTTGTTATAATGAGTTAATCTGTGTAAAGTGCTTGGAACAATGTCTGACACCTGGCATATACTCAATAAATGTTAGTTAATTATTTTTATGATAAAAGCTCTTAAACTAGGAATAGAAGGAGACTTCCATGGCCTGATTTACTCATCAAAAACCCAGAGCAAACATTATTATTAAAGATGGAATGTGTGAAGCATTTTCTTTAAAATCCGAAACAAGAAAAACATGCATACCATAACTGTGTCTCTTCAATACTGTATTAGAATTGTAGATAACACAAAATGAAAAACAAAATAAATAAAAGGTACATGAGATGGATGAAACAAAATCATCATCATTCTCAAACAATACAGTTAGCTACACAGAAATCCAAGAAACTCTACAAATTATAAAAACTATACAATTTAGCAGGGATGCTGAATGCATTAGTTTTTTTAAGTTTATTCTTAAGCATTATTGTAAAAAGCTAAAAAAAATTTAAAACATTTTTCCAATATTATTTACAATAGCAACAAAATCCTAGGACTCAACCTAACAAAAGGCACGTAAAACCTTCATAGAAAAAAATAGAATTTTTAAAAGACATTTTTAAAGGACCTAAGTAGAAGGAGAAATAATCTACGTTAATGAATAGGAAGACTCGATTTCATAAAGATCATTTCTGCCAAGTCAAACTACAAATTCAGAGAATTTTCATAAGAATTCCAGCAGATACTTTGTGGAATTTAACAAGCTTTGCCCTAAAATTCATATGGAAGATAAAGGAGCCAGGAATATCTAAGGCAATTTGAAGAAAAACAAGAAAGAAGGACTTGTTCTTCCAAATATCAAGATGTTATCTTACAGCTATAATAATGAAGGCAGAGACTGACTTCCAACATGACAATGTGAGAAGCTCCACTGATATGCTCCCTTGTCAAACTGGTGAAAATTATTTTTGGAACTACAGACATTTAATAGCTTCTAGAAATGGTACTAAGGACAAAAAGCAAATGAAGAGACATCTATTCAAGAAAATCTACAAAAATTTGGTAAGAAGGAAAACTTTGTGATATTTGAACCAAGATTACTCCCTCCTTTCTGTCTTCCCAGGTCAGTGATGTGGAGACTCCACTCCACAATGCTGTAGCCAAGAACACAGAGCTCCCTCTCCTCCCAGCTGCTAGTCAGAGGGCTTTCTTCCTGGGAGAAGCAGGACAAACATTTTCTGCCTTGCCTCCAGCTACCTTTTGCTAAGGCTGTCCTGGGCAAATATGGTCCCAACTACTTGAGAGGCTGAGGTGGGAAAATCACTTGAGTCCAGGAGTTGGAGGCTGCAGTGAGTCATGATTATGCCACTGCACTCCAGCTTGGTTGACAGAGTAAGACCCTGTCTCAAAAAAATTAAAAAGTAAAAGCAAAAAAGAAAGAACTATGAATAGTCTGAGATTGTATTTTGCTTACAAGCTAGCAAGTTAGCCTGACAGTTTGATGGTTGCTGGCAAAAGACACAAAACTTTTGGATCAGAGACGAAAGACTTTCTTATCCATGGCACAGCTAGCAGCATGAGCTTCATGTTTTTGTCATTTCCTCTTGCCTCCAAAGTCCCATCAGAGCGATGCAGAGAGGCCCACGTAGATACTACACACACCGTGTGTCATGGCTTAGGAATCCTAATCTTAGGGAACTCTCATCTTTTATAATGGGTTGCAAGCAAACCTTTGCTCAGGAGGAGGTATTATGTTTATTATTCTGGATGGTAAACAAACCTGCCCTCTGTTCTGGAAAGAAACACTATCTCTGTTGTCAAATCTGTTCATTACACAAACATCCTTGAAAGTTAGTCTAGAACAAAAGCTGTCTTATGTCTTCTGCACATCTTATGTACCTTTGTACATAAGACGTGCAGAAACACGAGAGACCCTTCAAGAATTGTCTCCCAACAATAATTAATTGGGGAATGCAGATTAAAACATTTAGATACAACTTCATACCGATCAGATTGGCAACATGTAAATGTCTACAAATATTAATATTAGGCTGTAGAACAACAAGAATTCTCATACATTGCTGATGAGAGTGTCAACTGTTACAGCCATTTTGAGATCAGTTTAGTAAGATTTAGTAAAGTTCAAGGTACACATACTCTACAACCCAGTAATTCTGGTTCTAGGTACATACCAGAGAAAAACTCCTGAACATCTGTATAATGAAACATGATTTAGAACATTTATTGAAGCATATTTGTAGTAGTCAACAACTTGTTTTATTAGCCTCTCTATTCCTCTGCATGCCATGCTTGTAATATTTGTTAATTAAAATTGCACATATATACATATATGCACATACAAATACATATTTTATGGTATCAAATGCCTTTGAAAGAACCATTAAAATGAGCATATAAAATAGTAAAATAATAAACTATTTAATCTGTAAGCCCCTGTCTATAAATAGGCCTCTAGTAGGGTTTTTTTGTTTGTTTGTTTGTGAGTCAGTGTTTCACTCTTGTCGCCCAGGCTAGAGTGTAGTGGCGCAATCATGGCTCACTGCAGCCTTGAACTCCTGTGCTTGAGCAATCCTTCTGCCTCAGCCTCCCAAGCAGCTGGGACTACAGGCACGCACCACTACACCTGGCTAAGTTATTTTGTTTTTGTTGAGACAGGATCTAGCCCAGGCTGGTCTCAAATTCTTGGCCTCCAGCAATTTTCCCACATCAGTCTCCCAAAGCATATGTAGTAGTTATTTTTTTTTATAAATGAGGAAACCAAAACTCAAAGAGATTAACAAGCTTGCCTAAGGGAATTGGAAATTCAAACCCATGTGTCTATATTTACTAGGAAAAGACAGAAAAATTAATGCTTTCCCATACCTCCTTCCACAGCATTCACATCACTTACTCCTCAAACATGTTTATATAGTATTTCTGTCATATGATTCCTCTTGTATTATCAAGAGCTGGCTGTTCTAAACCCTAATTTTCCACCCAGAAAAAAATTTGTCTCAGCCACCCCCACAGCTATGATGGCAATCTGGGATAACCAGGCTTAAGTCAAATAACCGGAGAGTCAAAAAAGAGGAAAAATAAACTCTTCACAGTGGTTGTGAGGCCTTCAGCACAAAATTCAAGGCTACTCATTTTTCCTGATGCCTTGCTTCAAGATGCCAGCCTTCTTTTACTCCACAATATTTGCCCTACGGTCTAGAGTTCACTGCTCTGCTTATAAAGACAACCACTGCCAGTGCACCCACATGCCCTGCTGAATCAGCTCTTATTTCCATCCCCTTATTCCTTCTTTCATTCCCTCATTCAGGTGTTTTTCAGTGCCTTCTCTGTGGCATGTGCTGTGTTTTCCTTTTATTTCTCCCTTCCAGAAACTGTAGCAACAGCTAAACCAGATTGAATGTGCTCTTGAGAATTTAGATGAGTCACTCTGTCATCCCTAGTTAACCATTAGGAGTGAATGCCTTTATGGATGTAGGAATGTGTCCATTTAAGTTTGATATATTTAAAATGCATTTATAGATAGCAACAGGGTAGGGATTTTTCAAAAAGCATTTCTGACTGGATTCAAATAAGCTCTGTTTTCTTTATGTACTGGTACAGAAAAATCTCTTAACATATATTGTTGAACAAAAAGGTTAAGGTGTAGCACGGTGTATATAGTGTGCTGCCATGAATATATCTATACATACTTGCTAGTAAATATATATCTCTGGGAGGATACATAAAAAGCTAATAATGTTAATTGCCTTAGGGAAGAGGAGCTGTGGGGCTAGAAATACACGAATAAGATGAAAACCTTTTTCTGTAAACCCTTTTATAACTTCTGTATTGGACCTATATGCATATATTATCTGTTCAAAAGTTAAATTATTTTAAAGGTTCTATTAGTACTATGAATATGATACACCTTAATTATATTTCATTCATTCAACAAATATTTGAATGCCTACTATTTGCTGGATAAAATACATCAAACATTCTTTTTAAGATAAGAGATGTCCCCAGATTCATTTACTTCCCACCCAATAAAGAACCCAGTATCTATAGCGGTAAATGGGTGAGCAAACACTCTAACTGGGAGAACTCTGAGCTTGGATTTCAATGCCAACGCAACCTGGAAATAAGACCTCTTGAACTAGAAGTAATCAGGACTCAAAACTGAGATCCTGCACATGAGCCAGGACCTTCAAAAGGCTATATCCTTCGTTTAAAAGAGGAGGCAAAGGGGTAGAGATTAGAACAAGTTGGCCTATTGGTAAAAAGAAGACAAAGAAGCTTCTCTGCTTCAGACTAGCATTTGAGTGGAAACAAAAGCCCTATAAGTTTCGGGTTCACATTTATATTCTGATTATTTCAGGAATCCTCAAGTCAAGAAATTAACATAAGTGTACTGGGCTGATGAATGCTAAACTTCCCTTGAGAAACACATCCTCAACCTATACAGTACAAAGTTCGTCCAGAATGAAGCCCCACTGAGAATAATATTGTTCACAATCCAAAATTACAAAATACACTTGAGTGAATGACAGCAGACATAGTAAACTACAGTATTAGACTTTGAGGAACTTCAGTAAAACTTGGATAAAAATTATCAGAATAAGTCTGTATAAAATCAAAGAATCAAAAACACAAGAAAAGACATTCCAAAAAAGAACAGGCAGATTTGGAAGAGAACCAAATAGAACTTATGTAAATTAAAAAAATACAGAAATTTTACAGCGGATAAGTTAAAGTGAAGAATTGACACAAGTTAAAAAAAATTTGGTGAAAATATTTGTCTAAAGAAATTGCCAAAAAGGCAGCACAGAAAGGTAAAGAAATGATAAATGTAAAGAGACATTAAGAGTGGAACAAGAGAGTTCAGCATTTATTTATCTTAATTTGTTTTTTGAGACAGAGTCTCGCTCTGTCACCCAGGCTGGAGTGCAGTGGTGTGATCTCAACTCACTGCACCCTCCGCCTCCCAGGTTCAAGCGAGTCTCCTGCCTCACCCTCCAGAATAGCTGGGACTACAGGCATGCGCCACCATACCCAGCTAGTTTTTGTATTTTTAGTAGAGACGGGATTTTACCGTGTTGACCAGGCTGGTCTCAAACTCCTGGCCTCAAATGATCCGCTTGCCTTGGCCTCCCAAAGTGCTGGGATTACAGGCATGAGCCACTGTACCCAGCCTAATTTTTTTATTTTTAATTTTTGTGGGTGCATAGTAGATGCATATTTATGGGGTACATGAGATACTTTGATACAGGGATCCAATGTGTAATAATCACATCATGATAAATGGGGTGTCCATTCCCTCAAGCATTTATCCTTTGTGTTACAAACAATCTAATTAAACTCTTTTACCTATTTTGAAGTATACAATTAAATTATTATTGACTATAATCATCCTGTTGTGCTGTCAAATACTGGGTCTTATTCTTTGTAACAATTTTTTTGTACCCATTAACCATCCCCATTTCCGCCCTCATGTCCCTACAACCCTTCCCAGCCTCTTGTAACCATCCCTCTACTCTCTATCTATGTAGCTTCCATTGTTTTTATTTTTAGCCCCCACAAATAAGTGAGAATATGTGAAGTTTGCCTTTCTGTGCCTGGCATATTTCACTTAACATAATGACCTCCAGTCCATCTATGTTGTTGCAGATGACAGAATCTCACTCTTTTTTATGGCTGAATAGTGTTCCATTGTGCATATATACCACATTTTCTTTATCCATTCATCTGTTGATGGACACTTAGGTTGCTTCCAAATCTTGGCTATTGTGAACAGTGCTGCAACAAACATGGCAGTGCAGATATCTCTTTGATATGCTGATTTCCTTTCTTTTGGGTATATACCCATGATTGGGACTGCTGGATCGTATAGTAGCCTATTTTCAGTTCTTTGAGGAACCTCCAAACTGTTCTCCATAGTGATTGTACTAATTTACATTCCCACCAATGGTGTACAAGGGCTCCCTTTTCTCCACATCCTCGCCAGCATTTGTTATTGGTTGTCTTTTGGATAAAAGCCAAGTTCAGTATTTTTAATAGTTCCAGAAGGAGAGATTGCAAAAAATTAATATTTGAAGATATACTTACTAATAATTCCTAGAATTGATTTAAACATTGGGACCTTCAGATTCAGAAATTATGAGCTCTGGTTAGTAATAATCTGTGATGTTCATCTGCTAGAATACTATACAGCAGTGAGAATGAGCTACATCTACATGCAATAATGTAAATGAATCTTACACATGCTACTGAGCTGAGATGCCAGACACAAAAGAGTACATACAGTATGGTTTCCATTTATATAAAGGCCAAAAATGGGAAAAACTTCTCTCTAGCATTAGTAAAGGGGATAATGATTACCTTGGGTGAAGTAAGGAGGTAGCAGGCAACTAGAAGGGGTTAACAGGGCACGCGTGCTTCTGAGAGTCTAATAATGACCTGATTGTTGATATGTGCTAGTTACATGGATAAATTTCCTTAAGAAAATTTATATACAGTTGACCCTTGAACAACATAGGTGTGAACTGTGTGTGTCCACTTATATGCAGGGTTTTTTTGTTTTGTTTGGTTTGGTTGGTTTTGTTTGTTTTTTTTTTATTATTATACTTTAAGTTTTAGGGTACATGTGCACAACGTGCAGTTTAGTTACATATGTATACATGTGCCATGTTGGTGTGCTGCACCCATCAACTCATCATTTAACATTAGGTATATCTCCTAATGCTATCCCTCCCCCCTCCCCCCACCCCACAACAGTCCCCGGGGTGTGATGTTCCCCTTCCTGTGTCCACGTGTTCTCATTGTTCAATTCCCACCTATGAGTGAGAATATGCGGTGTTTGGTTTTTTGTCCTTGCGATAGTTTGCTGCGAATGGTGGTTTCCAGCTTCATCCATGTCACTACAAAGGACATGAACTCATCATTTTTATGGCTGCATAGTATTCCATGGTGTATATGTGCCACATTTTCTTAATCCTGTCTATCGTTGCACATTTGGGTTGGTTCCAAGTCTTTGCTATTGTGAATAGTGCTGCAATAAACATACATGTGCATGTGTCTTTATAGCAGCATGATTTATACTTTTTTGGGTATACACCCAGTAATGGAATGGCTGGGTCAAATGGTATTTCTAGTTCTAGATCCCTGAGGAATTGCCACACTGACTTCCACAATGGTTGAACCAGTTTACAGTCCCACCAACAGTGTAAAAGTGTTTCTATTTCTCCACATCCTCTCCAGCACCTGTTGTTTCCTGACTTTTTAATGATTGCCATTCTAACTGGTGTGAGATGGTATCTCATTGTGGTTTTGATTTGCATTTCTCTGATGGCCAGTGATGATGAGCATTTTTTCATGTGTCTTTTGGCTGCATAAATGTCTTCTTTTGAGAAGTGTCTATTGATATCCTTTGCCCACTTTTTGATGGGGTTGTTTGTTTTTTTTCTTGTAGATTTGTTTGAGTTCATTATAGATTCTGGATATTAGCCCTTTGTCAGATGAGTAGATTGCAAAAATTTTCTCCCATTCCGTAGGTTACCTGTTCACTCTGATGGTAGTTTCTTTTGCTGTGCAGAAGCTCTTTAGTTTAATTAGATCCCATTTGTCAATTTTGGCTTTTGTTGCCATTGCTTTTGGGTGTTGTAGACATGAAGTCCTTGCCCATGCCTATGTCCTGAATGGTATTGCCTAGGTTTTAATCTAGGGTTTTTATGGTTTTAGGTCTATCATTTAAGTCTTTAATCCATCTTGAATTAATTTTTGTATAAAGTGTAAGGAAGGGATCCAGTTTCAGCTTTCTATGACTAGCCAGTTTTCCCAGCACCATTTATTAAATAGGGAATCCTTTCCCCATTTCTTGTTTTTGTCAGGTTTGTCAAAGATCAGATGGTTATAGATATGTGGCATTATTTCCGAGGGCTCTGTTCTGTACCATTGGTCTATATCTCTGTTTTGGTACCAGTACCATGCTGTTTTGGTTACTGTAGCCTTGTAGTATAGTTTGAAGTCAGGTAGTGTGATGCCTCCAGCTTTGTTCTTTTGGCTTAGGATTGACTTGGCAATGTGGGCTCTTTTTTGGTTCCATGTGAACTTTAAAGTAGTTTTTTCCAATTCTGTGAGGAAAGTCATTTGTAGCTTGATGGGGATGGCATTGAATCTATAAATTACCTTGGGCAGTATGGCCATTTTCATGATATTGATTCTTCCTACCATGAGCATGGAATGTTCTTCCATTTGTTTGTATCCTCTTTTATTTCCTTGAGCAGTGGTTTGTAGTTCTCCTTGAAGAGGTCCTTCACATCCCTTGTAAGTTGGATTCCTAGGTATTTTATTCTCTTTGAAGCAGTTGTGAATGGGAGTTCACTCATGATTTGGCTCTCTGTCTGTTATTGTTGTATAAGAATGCTTGTGATTTTTGCACATTGATTTTGTATCCTGAGACTTTGCTCAAGTTGCCTATCAGCTTAAGGAGATTTTGGGCTGAGACAATGGGGTTTTCTAGATACACAGTCATGTCATCTGCAAACAGGGACAATTTGACTTCCTCTTTTCCTAATTGAATACCCTTTATTTCCTTCTCCTGCCTGATTACCCTGGCCAGAACTTCCAACACTATGTTGAATAGGAGTGGTGAGAGAGGGCATCCCTGTCTTGTGCCCATTTTCAAAGGGAATGGTTCCAGGTTTTGCCCATTCAGTATGATATTGGCTGTGAGTTTGTCATAGATAGCTCTTATTATTATGAGATACGTCCCATCAATACCTAATTTATTGAGAGTTTTTAGCATGAAGCGTTGTTGAATTTTGTCAAAGGCCTTTTCTGCATCTACTGAGATAATCATATGATTTTTGTCATTGGTTCTGTTTATATGCTGGATTACGTTTATTGATTTGCGTATGTTGAACCAGCCTTGCATCCCAGGGATGAAGCCCACTTAATCATGGTGGATAAGCTTCTTGATGTGCTGCTGGATTCGGTTTGCCAGTATTTTATTGATGATTTTTGCATCAGTATTCATCAGGGATATTGGTCTAAAATTCTCTTTTTTTGTTGTGTCTCTGCCAGGCTTTGGTAACAGGATGATGCTGGCCTCATAAAATGAGTTAGGGAGGATTCCATCTTTTTCTATTGATTGGAATAGTTTCAGAAGGAATGGTACCAGCTCCTCCTTGTACCTCTGGTGGAATTCGGCTGTGAATCCATCTGGTCCTGGACTTTTTTTGGTTGGTGAGCTATTAATTTTTGCCTCAATTTCAGATCCTATTATTGATCTCTTCAGAGATTCAACTTCTTCCTGGTTTAGTCTTGGGAGGGTGTATGTGTCGAGGAATTTATCCATTTCTTCTAGATTTTCTAGTTTATTTGCGTAGAGGTGTTTATAATATTCTCTGATGGTAGTTTGTATTTCTGCGGGATTGGTGGTGATGTCCCCTTTATCATTTTTTATTGCATCTATTTGATTCTTCTCTCTTTTCTTCTTTATTAGTCTTGCTAGCAGTCTATCAATTTTGTTGATCTTTTCAAAAAACCAGCTCCTGGATTCATTGAGTTTTTGAAGGGTTTTTTGTGTCTCTATCTCCTTCAGTTCTGCTCTGATCTTAGTTATTTCTTGCCTTCTGCTAGCTTTTGAATGTGTTTGCTCTTGCTTCTCTAGTTCTTTTAATTGTGATGTTAGGGTGTCAATTTTAGATCTTTCCTGCTTTCTCTTGTGGGCATTTAGTGCTATAAATTTCCCTCTACACACTGCTTTGAATGTGTCCCAGAGATTCTGGTATGTTGTGTCTTTGTTCTCATTGGTTTCAAAGAACATCTTTATTTCTGCCTTCATTTCGTTTTGTACCCAATAGTCATTCAGGAGCAGGTTGTTCAGTTTCCATGTAGTTGAGTGGTTTTAAGTGAGTTTCTTAATCCTGAGTTCTAGTTTGATTGCACTGTGGTCTGAGAGACAGTTTGTTATAATTTCTGTTCTTTTACATTTGCTGAGGAGTGCTTTACTTCCAACTATGTGATCAGTTTTGGAATAAGTGCAGTGGGATGCTGAGAGGAATGTATATTCTGTTGATTTGGGGTGGAGAGTTCTGTAGATGTCTATTAGGTCCTCTTGGTGCAGAGCTGAGTTCAATTCCTGGATATCCTTGTTAACTTTCTGTCTCATTGATCTGTCTAATGTTGACAGTGGGGTGTTAAAGTCTCCCATTATTATTGTGTGGGAGTCTAAGTCTCTTTCTAGGTCTCTAAGGATTTGCATAGGCTCAAAATAAAGGGATGAAGGAAGATCTACCAAGCAAATGGAAAACAAAAAAAGACAGGGGTTGCAATCCTAGTCTCTGATAAAACAGACTTTAAACCAACAAAGATCAAAAGAGACAAAGAAGGCCATTACATAATGGTAAAGGGATCAATTCAACAGGAAGAGCGAACTATCCTAAATATATATGCACCCAATACAGGAGCACCCAGATTCATATGCAGGGTTTTTTTTTAAATGAATATATTGGAAAATATTTTGGAGATTCCTGACAACTTGAAAAAAACTCAGTTTTGCAGCCTAGAAATATCAAAAAATTAAGGAAAAGTTACATGTCATGAATGCATAAAATATATGTAGATACTAGTCTATTTCATCATTTACCATCATAAAATACAGACAAATCTATTTTTTTAATTATACTCTAAGTTCTAGGTTACATGTGCACAACATGCAGGTTTGTTACATATGTATACATGTGCCATGTTTGTGTGCTGCAGCCATTAACTCATCATTTACATTAGGTTTATCTCCTAATGCTATCCCTCCACCCTCCCCCCCCAATAAATCTATTATAAAAAGTTAAAATTTATCAAAACTTATACACTCAAACACAGACCGTTCATGGCACCAAAGCTGAGAAAAGTGTAAACGATTGTAAAAATGCAATATTAAATCATAACTGCGTAAAATTAACTGTAGTACATACTGTTCTGTAGTAATTTTGTATATAACTCCTGTTGCTATTACAGTGAGCTCAAGTGTTGCCAGTCTGTGCTTAAAGTGCCAGGTGATGCTGGTCATCTCTACATGAGCAGTTTGTCCCTCCAGTAAATTGTGTATTACAGTTAAAAAGTGATCTCGCAGTTCTTGTGTATTTTATGTGTTTAGTACACTACCATAAACCTTGAATAACACAAGGGGGGCCCATACAAAATGCCACTAGTGATGCTGGAAGTGTTCCCGAGAAGGAAAGTATGACATTACAAGAAAAAGTTAAGTTGCTTGATATGTACCATAACTTGAGGTCTGCCACCACAGTAGCCACCATTTCAAACAGATGATTCATCTTGGAAACAGGCAACATAAACATACAGCATCAATAAATACAGTACAGTACTATACATGTATTTTATCTTATGATTTTCTTAATAGCATTTTCTATGGCTTATTGTTAAGAAGACATATAACATACAAAATATGTGTTAACTGACAGTTTATTTACTGGTAAGGCTACTAGTCAGCCATAGAATATTAGTAGTTAAGTTTTTGGAGAGTCAGCAGTTATATGTGGCTTTTCTAATTCATGTGGAGTTGGCACACCTAACCCCCATGTTGTTCAAGACTCAACTGTATATGATTTTGGTACTCTTCTGTGTGCATTTTGTACTCTTTAAAAAGTATACAGACACCAAAAAAGTCTAAACCTAGGCAGATATACAGTAGTGGTGTTATTGTTTCTGTGTAAAATCTCATTTAGCCTTTTCTACAAATGTTTGAGCTAGGTACTGCCTTCCCCCATTTTTAATTGAAAAACTACAGTTCAGAGATGTTACCTTGACAGGGTAATCCAAGCTGTAGGTTGCAGAGCCAAGACACTTGTATAGGTCTTCTGATTCTACATCCAGACCTCTTTTCACAATTTCATAAATAATTGCAGTCCTGCTGTCTTTTTAAGGAAGACATTATTTTGTGGAAGATAATCTTTCATAGAAATCAAATTAAAGAAAATCTTTTCTTATTGGTTACCTTGGTCAGTGATTCAAGGCTAGTTTTCAAGACTGTACTTGGGAGTAAATGTATATCAATATTTCTGTCTGTGTGCTTTTATATTTTTATTTCTGTTCACCAAGAGTTTATACATTAATAAAAATTATCCCTGATTCAAAAATCTTGCCTAAAATTGATCTAGAACTTCTGTTTCTCTCAGGTTATATTAATCATCATGGAAAGAACAAAACAAATGACATATATGTTAAAATCAAGATAATCAAATACTAAATATCCCTATAAGTTCTGGCGTTACAAATATATAAAACTAAAATATTCTGACAATTCAGGAATATTTAATAAAAATTACTATTTTAAGTTTAATTCGTAATCACTTATAGGAGTGGGTTATTTTTAATTTATAATTTTTCACTAGGTCACTGGATTCTTGCCAGTTTTTAAGGTAGTCAAAACAGTCTTGCATGTAATAATAATAATAATGATTTATTAAGCACCTATTATATGCCAGAGGATCTGCTGGGCATATTTGTTATTCATTTAATCACTTAATATTATTTAACCCTTTTTATTTAGTGGGCAGTCAGTTATTATTTGTTGATTTTATTTTATTTCAGGACTCTTAACCTACTCTTGGAACTTTCCTAAAACTATAAGTATCGTTAAATCCAGTGAGTGCAGACAGTGTTGGGGATGTCTTTGGGGATTTAGTTATTATTTTTTATGAATTATGGTTGGGCTTGACAGCTGTCCTTGTGTTGACAGCTCTTCTGATTATAGCAGTTGTCAAACTCCATCCTTAAGCAGGTTGTAAATCCTGGCTCCTTCCGATTAAAA
Organism: Homo sapiens; assembly: GCF_000001405.40. Classification (NCBI taxonomy): domain Eukaryota; kingdom Metazoa; phylum Chordata; class Mammalia; order Primates; family Hominidae; genus Homo; species Homo sapiens. The sequence continues at coordinate 180,300,036 of NC_000001.11, read as the reverse complement.
CTAGGTCAGAGCCAATCGCAGGTTAACTAGAGGCCGGTATTCTACTACTGTACGTCCTTACTAGTTCATTCTAAATAGGCTTTGTGTGGCAGCATACTAAAACCCTTATGTGCCTATATTTTACCTGGGTTTTTTTTTAATCTTCAGATATTGGTCCTCCTGTTACTTCATGATTAAACATGGTCCTTGCTGAAGAGTATATTGGTATAAGTATGGTCTTACTTATAAATGGCCTGTTAGCCTTCCCCTCCTCTTCCTCCACTGGGAATACTAATATCATTGCATCTGTGTCTCCCAGGGGAAATCAAGGCTTTTCCTTGCACGTGCAGTCATGTGATTTCAGAGTGGGCAGGCTTTGTATCCTCATGAGCCCTCAGTCTTCCACGCAAAGCACCATCTGTTCTGTTACCTCCACACTGTTACAGGGCAGTGGGAGGAGGCATTAGAGTGAAAATAAATAAAATAAAAAAAAAAAGAAATTCATTATCAAAACCCTGAGGATTAATGGAGTCAGAAGGCTCACTGCTCTGAATGGAAATTCATCTTCACCTGTGCCAGTGTCAGGGCTGCCTCTATGGCACTTGACAAATAGAGGTTCCCAGGGTACCATAAATTCAGCAACTGTTCTAATCCCTATAGACTTGCTCAAGCTTTTCTGAGATGGGCTTATGACTGTTTTTGTATTTCCCAGCACATTGTGGGCACCAGTATATCCCCTCATTAATTTGGTAAAATGTTAGCACCCTTTCCTCCTCATTTTTCTCTCATATTCTTTGCCTTTGTCTGTTTTGAAAGGGTGGGCAGAGTACACATTTCTGAAAGATGACTCTACATTATGACTTGTGTTTCACTGAACATGCCAAAGGCAGAGAAATCAATTAACTAATGAATTTTGAGCAAACAGTAAGTGCCCAGCATTATGCTAGATGGAGAAGAGAATACAAAAAGAAGCATATACTCAAGTAGTTCAGCATCTCATTGTGGGGTACAAAGCATATTTTTTCAACAACTATTTGTTGGGCAACTATATGTGCAAGTAGGCTCTGTGCTAACATAAACATAATGGATGCCTCTCAACAGTGAGTCTCCAACAGATACTGCAAGTGGCCTCCTCATATCAGGATAAGATGCACCTGTGTGGTTTAAAAGGACCCTTGTCCTTTAAGTTATTCAGTCTCATTCTTTTTTATCTATATAACTTCCTCATTGTTTATGCTGTCATGTAAGTCTGTCTTTGCATAACTCCCAGGCATTTGTTAATAAAACCCCTTTCATATGAATGCCATATTTCTTGCTCTGAATTACTGTTTTGCCACCTTAAATTCCAAATTCATATCTCACATTATAGTTAGACCTGAGCTAAAATTTCATTCACATCTGTCAAGTTAGGGAATTATTATTAGCCTCAGGTAGCATTTTCATAGCTGGTTGACTAGAGTTCCCTAGATGTGGAACTTAAATTCTTAAGCTCCATACCTGGGTTGGTGCCCATAGATTATATCATATCTCACCACTGGAATGGTCACATCATCATACAGCATAAATGTAATTAATGTCCCTTTGTCTGAGATGGCCATCTTTTGTGTCTTCAGCCATAGCACACATCTACTTAGCCCTGATCTTCTCGCGTAACTGTTGGGTTGGAATTGAGCCAAGCGTGATCTGACAGATCATGATGGTTATTATTGTGTATTATAGATTTATACAATGGGAAGTTTATTCCCATGATACTGCTAAAGGTCCTATTTTAAAGCCTAAGTGTTTCTTACAATAAGTTGAGACTAATAACTGCAGTGTAAAGGTTAAAGTAGCTAGTTCTATGCAGGATAAATAGCCTTTTTTTCACAGCTACTTGATATAAGGCAATGTGTCTTCAACTTTGTTGTATTTTATAAGAGATTGTCTTTCATTTTAATCCAATTTGGTATACAGTGATTCATGATAAAACCCTTCAGAAGTTTAAAATTAAAATGTTGACTAAAATTATTTTTGGGCCAGGCACAGTGGCTCATGCCTGTTATCCCAGCACTTTGGGAGGCCAAGGCAGGTGGGTCACCTGAGGTCAGGAGTTTGAGACCAGCCTGGCCAACATGGTGAAACCCCACCTCTACTAAAAAATACAAAAACAATTAGCTGTGCTTGGTGGTGGGCACCTGTAATCCCAGCTACTCAGAAGGCTGAGGCAGGAGAATCGCTCGAACCCGGGAGGCAGAGGTTGCAGTGAACCAAGATCGTGCCATTGCACTCCAGCCTGGGCGACAAGAGTAAGACTCCATCTCAAAAAATGATAATAATGATAAAATTATTTTGGGAGGCAATTTTAAAGTCTCAAAAAGATACTATAATCCTAAACACTCTCTTGAATCCTCGGCCTTGGTAAAGATGATACCGTCTCTTCCTCCCTGTCTGTGGCATCCCTCAAGATGAAGAATAGCTCTTGAGTCTCAGGAGCTACCCAAAACTATGATCTCAGCCAATCAGCAGTGACCCTGGGGTTGGAACAGGCAATTCTTGCCTGCCTCTATGTTTTCTCCTATTCTCCATTCATCAGATATTAATATCTGTATCTTGGTAGCCTTCTAAGAAACCCCACATCGCTGAAGGCAGAGATAGCATTCACAAATGCTCTGATTTTAGCTCACAAAAAAATCTACCCTCCACTTTGATTCACTTAGAAGCACCTCTGAGTTTATATGGTTATGGATTAGAGTTTGGTGCCTAAGCTTGTCAGGATAAGTAATGTAAAGGATCACAAAATATATCCCAAGTACCTATCACAACCTGGTTTTGGCTGTCGGCTCTGTGCACACTTCACAGCACATAGCCGTGAAGCCCTGAGCTGGAAGTACCCACACAAGGAGAAAAGATGGTCAAGGGAACCAGAGAAACTACTTTATCTTTACCTAAGTACCGTTAGAGAGCAAAAGAAGAAATATCACTGCTAAATCATTTAAAACAAACCCCTGGGGAGTTCTGCTTCCACTATTAAGATGTAGAAAACTGCAAGAGAACTTCATTCTCACCCTAACAAAAGAAGCACAAGCCACCACACCCAGCTAATTTTTTGCATTTTTAGTAAAGATGGGGTTTCACCGTGTTAGCCAGGATGGTTTCGATCTCCTGACCTTGTGATCTGCCCACCTTGGCCTCCCGAAGTGCTGGGATTACAGGCGTGAGCCACTGCGCCTGGCTGAGAGTTCACCTATTCTTTGAAGACAGGCATTGTTTTCTCCTTTCTAGTTATGAAAATCCTAGATGGCATCTTTTTCCAGTATGAGGCTGATTTGTCTACACTGAAAATCTGTTGGCTGGACATGGTGGCTCATGCCTGTAATCCCAGCACTTTGGGAGCCCCGGGTGGGCGGGTCACTTGAGGTCAAGATTTCGAGACCAGCCTGGCCAACATGGTGAAACCCCTTCTCTACCAAAAATACAAAAATTAGCCAGTCATGGTGGCACATGGCCAGTAATCTCACCTACTCAGGAGGCTGAGGTACGAGAATCGCTTGAGCCCAGGAGGCAAAGGTTGCAGGGAGCCAAGATCGCAACACTGCACTCCAACCTGGGCGACAGAGTGAAACTCTGTCTAATAGAAAAGAAAAAAAGAAAATCTGTTGTGTAGTATAGCCATCCTCATCAGTTATCTTTATCTTAGTTAGATCTTCTGGATAACTTGCTCTCACTTCTGCATCAGCACTTACTGCTTTACCTTGCACTTTTATTTTATGGAGACAACTTTCCTTCAACCTCATGAGTCAGCCTCTGCCAACTCCTAACTTTTCTTCTGCAGTTTCTTCATCTCTTTCAGTCTTCGTAGAATGAAAGAGCCAGAGCCTTGCTGTGGATTAGACTTTGGCTTCAGGGGATGTTGTGGCTGGTTTGATCTTCTACCCAGACCACTCAGACTTTTTCTAAATCAGCAATAAGGCTGTTTTGCTTTCCTGTCATTTGTATGTTCACTGGAATAGTGCTTTAATTTTCTTCAAGAACTTTTATTTGGCATTCACAAGTTGGCTGACTGGCACAAAAGCCTAGCTTTTGTCCTATGTTGGTTTTTGACATGCCTTCATTACTAAGCTTAATCATTTCTAGCTTTTGATTGAAAATAAGAGATGTGTGACTCTTCCTTTTACTTGAGTAAAAGGATTGGAGTTCATTGTAGGATTATTGGCCTAATTTCAATATTATTGTGTCTCAGGGAATAGGGAGACCCAAGGAGAGGGATAGACGAGGGATTGGCTGTTCCATGGTACAGTCAGAACACATAAAACATTGATTGATGAAATTCATATTATATGGGTGCAGTTCATGGCACCCCCAAAAAATTACAATAGTAACATCAAAGATCATTTATCATAGATCCTCACAACAGAAATAACAATAATGAAAAGTTTGAAATATTGTGAGAATCCCCACAGTGTGACACAGAGACACAAAATGAACAAATGCTGTTGGGAAAATGGCACCGATAGACTTGCTTAAATATAGAGTTGCCACAAATCTTTAATTTGAAAAAAAAAATGCATTATCTGTGATGCACAGTAAAGTTAAGCACAATAAAATAAGTTATGCCTATATAAAATATTTTGAACTGAATGAAAATGAAAACACTCTTGTCAAAACTTGTGGGATGCTTGGGAGGCTGAGGCAGGAGAATCGCTTAAGCCAGGCCAGGGAGGCAGAGGTTGCAGCAAGCCAAGATTGCACCACTGCACTTCAGCCTGGGCGACAGAGCAAGACTCCGCCTCAAAAAAAAAAAAAAAAATTGCAGGATGCAGCTAAACCAGTGCTTTAAAGGAAATTAAATACTATTAGAAAAGAAGAAAGATTTCATATCAGTGATCCAAGCTTCTATCTCAAAAAAAGAAGGGCAAATTAAGCCCAAAGTAAGTGTGAAACAATAAAGATCGGAGCAGAAATCATTGAAATAGAAAATCAGAAAACAGAAAATCAGTGAAATCAAAAACTGGTTGTTTGTAAAGATCAATAAAACATAGTCCTCTAGCCAGACCAAGGAAGAAAAAAAAGAGAAGAAACAGGCTGGATGCTGTGGCTCACACCTGTAATCCCAGCACTTTGGGAGACCAGTGCAGAAGGATCACTTGAGACTAAGAGTTCGAGACCCAGCCTGGGCAACATAGCAAGACCCCATCTCTACAACAAATGTTTTAAAACATGCCAGGCATAGTTGTTTGAGCCTGTAAGTCCCAGCTACTCAGGAGGCTGAGGCAGGAGGATCACTCATGCCCAGGAGTTCCAGGATGCAGTGAGTTATGATTGTGCCACCGCACTCCAGCCTGAGTAACAAAGTGAGATGTGACACCAAAAAAAAAAACAAAAGGCAAATTACCAGTTTCAGGAATGAAAGGATATCAGTACATATCCTAAAGATATTATAAAGCAAATAAGGAAACATTATACACAATTTTATACCAATGAAATAGATAACTTAAATGAAATGGACAAATTTATTATTATTATTATTATATATTTTTTTAAGTCAGGGTCTCAGTCACCCAGGCTGGAGTGCAGTGGTGCGATCTCAGCCTGCTCACACTTCAGGCTCCACCTCCCAGGTTCAAGCGATTCTCCTGCCTCAGCCTCCGGAGTAGCTGGTATTATAGGAATGCGCCACCATGCCCGGCTAATTTTTGTAGTTTAGTACAGACAGGGTTTCACCATGTTGCCCAGGCTGGTCTCAAACTCCTGACCTCAGGCAATCTGCCTGCCTTGGCCTCCCAAAATGCTACTGCTAGGATTACAGGCAAGAGCCACCGCACCTGGCCAGGACAAATTTTTTTAAAGACACAAACTACCAAAGTTTTCTGAAAAAGAAATAGAAAGCCAGGTGTGGTGGCTCACACCTGTGATCCCAGCACTTTGGGAGGCTGGGGCGGGCGGATCACCTGAGGTCAGGAGTTCGAGATCAGCCTGGCCAACATGGTGAAACCCTGTCTCTACTACATACACAAAAATTAGCCAGATGTGGTGGTGCGCACCTGTAATCCCAGCTGCTCGGGAGCCTGAAGCAGGAGAATCACTTGAACCCGGGAGGCGGAGATTTCACTGAGCCAAGATCGTGCCACTGCACTCCAGCCTGGGCAACAGAGCCAGACTTCATCTCAAAAAAAAAAGGAAATAGAAGTGCATGCCTTTAGTCCCAGCTGGGAGGCTTGGGGAAGAGGATCACTTGGAGCCAGGAGTTCAACACTGCACTGCACTATGATCATGCTTGTGAATAGCCACTACATCTAGCTAGGGCAACATAGCCTGACTCCATCTTAAAAAAAAACAAAAATAAAAAATAGAAAATCTGGATAGCTCTATATTTATAAAAGAGATTGAATTTGTAGCTAGAAACTTTCCCACAAGATTTCCAGGCCTTGATTACTTCACTGGTGAATTCTACTGAGTATTTAAGGATGAAATTGGCCAGGCACAGTGGCTCATGCCTATAATCCTAGCACTTTGAGAGGTGAGGCAGCCAGATCACCTGAGGTCAGGAGTTTGAGACTAGCCTGGCCAATGTGGCAAAACCCCGTCTCTACTAAAAATACAAAAATTAGCTGGGTGTGGTGGTGGGTGCCTGTAATCTCAGCTACTCAGGAGGCTGAGGTAGGAGAATTGCTTGAACCCAGGAGGTAGAGGTTGCAGTGAGCCAAGATCATGCCATTTGCACCATTGCACTCCAGCCTGGGCAACAGAGTGAGACTTTGTCTCAAAAAAAAAAAAAAAAAAAAAATTCTACACACAAACACTTCCAGAAAATAGAAGGGGAGGGAGCACTGCCCAGCTCATTCTGTGAAACCAGAATTACCCTGATAACCAAATCCAGACAAAGACCTTAGAGGAAAAGAAAACAACAGGCCAGTATTCCTTATGAACATAGATGCAAAAATGTTTAATAAGATGTTAGCAAATTGAACCTAGTAAATACAAAAAGGTTAATAAATTTTGTGCAAGTGTGTTTATCCTAGGAATGCAAGGTTTGTTTGGCAATTGAGAACCATAGTATTTCACCATATGAACAGATCAAAAAAGCAAAATGTGATTTTATCAATTTATGTAGAAAAGGCTGACAAAATTCAACTTCCCTTCATGATTAAAACAACAACAACAACAAAAACTCACAACAAAATAGAAATAGGAAATAGTAGGGAATTTCTTTAGCCTGAGAAAATCGACAGTTAATATCGTCCTTGATGATGAAAGGCTGAACACTTTCCCTCTAAGACTGTGGACAAAGATATCCACTCTCTCCACTTTGATCCAACATTGTATTAAAAGTTCTAGCCAATGCATTAAGGCAAGAAAAAGAAATGAAAGCCACATAGATTTAAAAAGAAGAAATAAAACTTCCTTTTCTCGTAGGTGATGTGTCCATCTATGTATAAGACCCCAAGAATCTATTAAAAAAAAAAAACCTAGAATAAGTGAGTTCACCAAGTTCACAGGATGTAAAATCAATATACAAACATGAAAAGTATTCCTATATACTAGTAATGAACAATTGAAAATTAAAATTCGAAAACACCAGGGATAGTATACAAATCTTAATTGTTTTTCTTTATGCTTACAGTAAATTGAATTTTTAAAAGATATTATTTGCAGTAGCCTCAAAAACATGAAATTCTTAGGGATACATCAAACAAAATAAGAGTAAGATTTGTATGTGTATAATTCCTAAATATTATCGAAATTAAGGAAAATTTAAATGGAAAGAGATACCATTGTTCATGGATCAAAAGACTCAGTATTGTTCAGCTGTCCATTCTTTCCAAATTGATTCATAGATTCAGCGGGGTCCCAATCAGAATCCCAGCAGGATCTTTGTAAAAACTTATAAGTTGATTCTAAAATTTATATGGAAAAGCAAAGGACCTAGAATAATCAAAACAACTTTGAAAAAGAATAAAGTTGGAGGCCCCACACTGGTTTCAGGACTTACTATAAAGTACAGAAATCAAGCCAATGTTGTATTGGTATAAGAATAGGTATATAGATCAAAGGAACATGATAGATAACCTAGAAATAGATCCAATCACAAATGGTCAGCTGATTTTTGACAAAAATGCCAACATAAAATTCAGTGGAGGGAAGACTAGCCTTTTCAACGTATAGAGCTGTAACAATTGGACATCAAAATGCAAAACAAAACAAAAAGGTGAGCCTGAAGCCTACTCAAAAATTAACTGGGAAGGTAAGATCTTAGATGTATATGTAAGAGGAATAATGATAAAGAACTAGAAGAATATCTTTGTGATCTTGGTGTAGGCAAAGTTTTTTTTAGATGGAACACAAGCACAAACTATAAAAGAAAAAATAAATTGCACTTTATCAAAATTTAAAAATTCCACTCTTCAAGATACTCTTAAAAAAAATGAGAAGTCATATACTGGGAGAAAATATTTATAAAACATATATTTGGAAAAAAAAATTTTGTGTCCACAACATATAAAGACCTCTTATAAGAAAATGACAACCTTATTAACAAATGAACAAAAGATTTGAACAGATAAATCACCAAAGATAGATAGTTGGCAGATAAGCACATGAGAAATGTTCATTGTTAGACATTAGGGAAGTACAGATTAGAAATCACAATGAAAAGCCACCATAGACCTAACTAGAATGGCTAAAAAATATTTTTAATAATAGTAAAGTGCTGGTAAGGGTGCAAAGGAACTGGAATTTATACTTATTGGTGTGAGTGAAAACTTTAGAAAAGTTTGGTAGTTTCCTGGAAAGTTAAACATTCACTTGCCATATGACTCAGCAATTCTACTTCTAGATATTTACCCACAAGCTGTGAAAACATAAAACAGGACAACACAAAGACCTTTACCCAACTGTTCGTAAGATCCCTGTTCATAATGCCAAAAATTGGAAGCAGCCCAGATGACTGCATACATGCATACAGTAGAATACTACTCAGCAATCAAAAGGAAAGAACTGATACTTGAAGCAATGTGGATGGATCACAAAAGCAACATGCTAAGTGAAAGAGACCAGATACAAAAGACTATGCTATATGATTTCTATTTCTGGAAAAAGACAAAACTATAGGGACAGAAATCAGATCGGTGCTTGCCAAATTATGCCACTCCACTCCTCATAAATGCCTGTGGATCACTTGACAAAACTCAGACTTCTTAGTGTGACCGATTCAAGGCCCTAGATAACTTGACTTCAATCCAACCTCTGTACTTTCAACTCTTTGTACTGCTTCCCTGAGCCAGCAGAGACAGTTCTCCAGCATTCCTTGTCATGCCTCTCCTAGTGGTATTTTCGCATTCTGCAATGCCTTTCCTTCTCAGAAATTTTGCTCGATCCTTCAAAGCTCATCTTACATCTTACTACCAATTTGTAGTGTTTCCTGATCCCTCAGTCTCCTCCTTCCTCCCTGCCTTTGCAGTGTATGTATTTCTGCCACATTTCTTATTCATTCTTTTGTGTTAGAATTGGTTGTTTACATATTTACAATCCATTCTGAATAGCAGGAATCTTACCTGTATTCCTGACTGGACTGGTACAGTATGTGCTCAATAAAATGGCTATAGGGCCGGGTGCAGTGGTGTATGCCTGTAATCCCAGCACTTTGGGAGGCCAAGGCGGGAGGATTGCCTGAGCCTAGTAGTTTGAGACCAGCCTGGGCAACAAAGTGAGACTCCCAAAGTGAGAGCCAAGCATGGTAGCACACACCTATATAGTTATAACTACTCAGGAAGCTGAGGTGGGAGGATTTGCTTGAGCCCAGAAGGTCAAGGCTGCAGTGAGCCATGATCTCGCCACTGCACTCCAGGTTGGGAGACAGAGCCAGACCCTGTCTCAAAAAGTCCGTGAAATTCAGCTCCATACCCTTTCTCTTGAAACAAATGAGCAACAACAACAACAAAAACCCACACACTGTGTTGTGTGATAATCATGCTGCAAAAGAGTATATAAAATGTATATGAAGAATTTAAACAAAGCTTTTAAAAATTTACCCACTACTTAGCTTAAGAAATAGAACATCACCAATATCTTTGAACCTCCTGTGCATGCCTCTCAATCATATGGCCTTCCCTAGTGGTAATCTTTGAGAGATTACCACTATCCCAAATTTTATATTAATTAATGATTTCCTTTGTAGTTTCAGTACATATTTGTATGTCTGAATCATATTCTTTAGTTTTACCGGTTTGCAAAATTTTGTTTAAATGAAATGATATCATATGTATTCTTCTCACTTGTTTTTTTCCCTTCAACATTATGTTTTGGAGATAAACCCATGTTGTGTGAAGCTATAGTTCATTAGTTTCCAGTGTTCTACAGGATTTCATTGTACAAGTGATCAATACTTTATTTATATGTTACCATTAATGAGCGTTTGGGCTGTTTACATTTGGGGTCTGCTGTGTACATGCTTGCAAATATCTCCTGGAGAACATATGCAAAAGTATATAACTAGAAGTAGAATTACTAGGTTGGAGGGTATATGTGTGTTTAGGTTTAACCTGTAATGCTCTAGTGTTGTCTAAAATAGCAACACCAGTGTACACTCTGACATCTAAAGGGGTTTCTCTGCTCCAGTCCTTATCAGTGCTTGGCATTGTCAAAGTTAATTTTCACCAATCTAGTGGGTATGAAATGGTATCTCCTGGTTTTAATTTTCATTTCCCTGATAATGTGGAATGCTCATCTTTTTATATGTTTATTGCCATTTATGTTTCATCTGGTGCCTCTTTTTGCCTTTAGTGAGTCCCAGTTGTCTCTACACCATCTAATCATTGGGTCTTTATTTCCCCACTGATCTGCCAGCTTTGTCATGAATTAAGTTTTCATATGTGTGCAGAAGAATAGATCACCCTCTGTTCTAAGCTTCTGGTCTGTTTTTCCATTTTGGGGCAATACCATACCATATTTATAAGTCTTGATATCTCTACGCCCTTTTTTCCCCTTCCTGTACCTTGAACTTATCAGTTACACCCATTGGTGCCTTTTTTTTTTTTTTTTTTTAGTTCCTGTAGAAGAATGGTCTGATTACTGGGCCAGCTTTTTTTTAAAAAATTTACAAATTGTAAAGTTCAGTTAGTTACCCACTTATCCCCTCTTCAAAAACAAAACAAAACCTTTTATTTGACATTTACAGTATTTTTAGCCTTTTGACATATCCTGCACATGTATCATTATTCTGAAATAAAGATCAAAGTAAAATAGATACTTAAATACTATTTTTTATTCCTTTCCTTAATCCCATTCTTAAAGACTAGAGCCCAAAAGCCTCACAATTTAGAATATATATTTGTTTGCGTGTGTGTTCCTAGACAACCAAAAAGGTAAATTTGATTTTCCTAAGGCTTGAAAATCTAGCATAATACCACAGTTCTCATTACCAGGCCTGACCATCCTTCAGTCACTGTAACATTGCTCATTGTTCAGTATTCCTTATTGCTCAGCACTTTCCTTTCCTGCTGAAGTAGAGGAGTTTCTCTGTCTCTTGGTAAACTTGTTTTCATATTTGTCAATTTTCCTTTCAGCCTCTGCCTGTGAGTTTCTGGATATTGTAGAGCTGCTGCTCCAGTCTGGTGCTGACCCCACTCTCCGAGACCAGGATGGCTGCCTGCCAGAGGAGGTGACAGGCTGCAAAACAGTTTCTTTGGTGCTGCAGCGGCACACAACTGGCAAGGCTTAATCAAAAGACTGGAAAACTGCAGTCTGTAATAGCATAAGGCTTCCATTATGAAAGAAAACTACAAAAATAATACTTCTTTTCCACCCGTCTTTGGTATGTATTGGCTAATAAAATCAGTTCTGTGGAACTGGGATTTTGAAGTCTCAGCAATTCATTCTTCTTGCATACATTCTAGGCAGTACAGTTTTGGTGATGAACATGTGTACTGTGCATAATATAATCCAATTCTGCTGAGCATGCTCTGAAATTTATCACTGCTTTAGAGGGTGGGCAGAAGAGGAGACAGATCATATTTCACAATATTAAACATGGCTGCTTTTTTAAAAAACATACAGAAGCAAATGTAACCATTAGGGAAAGTTTCATGCAATCCCAACATGGTAGAGATCAAATTATCTTTTGTAGCATTTTGTACACATGGTCTGAATAGGCAGCTAAGATGTCTATTCTTTTGGCAGACATAACTAGGAAGATAGGAAAGAAGAGGGATGTTAAGAAAAACAAAGCAAAGGAGAAAGCAGAATTTTGTCACGTAAGGGGTGTAGAAGTCAGAACAACTAGATTTACTGAAAATCTCAAAACCCTGGGGCATTTTAGAATAGTACTCTGTTTTCACTCTAGGATTGAAACAGATTCTGGAGGATTCATCAGGGTTAGGTCAGATTCCTTAAACTCACCTTCACTAAACAAGAAAGGAATTTCTTTAGGGCTCTTTTAATTGTCTATAATGACCATGTCATATGTAGCAGCAGTCTCTGTTAAAAAAAAAAAAAAAAAAAAAAAAGCTTAGATCTGAACTGTTAGGTCTCTTTGGGTCTATCTAATATGTTAATGTGAAGTTACTTCTGGATACCAGAAGAGCTTTTGTTTTTTATTAAAAATGTAGACAAGTATGCTCTCATTTTAATTTAAAGGATAGATCAGTATGCCACTTTTTTTTTTTTTTTTTTTTTGAGACAGGGTCTCGCTATGTCACCCAGGCTGAAGTGCAGTGGTATGATCATGGTTCACTACAGCCTCAACCTCCTGGGCTCAAGGAATCCTCCCACCTCAGCCTCCTGTGTAGCTGAGATAGCTGGGACTACAGGTGCGTGCCACCACACCCCACTAATTTTTGTATCTTTTGTACAGATAGGGTCTCTCTGTGTTCCTCAGGGTGGTCTCAAACTCCTGGCCTCAAGCAGTTTTCAGGCCTCTTAAAGTGCTGAGATTACAGGTGTGAGCCACTGTGCCCAGCCAGGTATGCCACTCTTGAAACTGGCTCCCAACATTTTCCCTGTAAGCCCCAAAAGCTCCATCTGGGGAATTCACTGACTTTTACTATTATATAAGGAAAGTAGATAGTTGACATAGGAAGAGAAATGAAATAAAAAATGAGTTGAGATGCAAAGATAACCACTTAAAAGATAATTTTTCTAACAGGTGTTACTATTAAAATAATGAGTAATAAACTTGCTTAGTATAGTCCTCAACGGTGAAGAAGATTTTCATTAGCATGAACTAACCTGTTCTTTGGAATAAGCCCCTCTATAACAGAAATGAGGCATATTAGTGCTGTTTATTTTGTGATTTTTCTATCTTAACTTCTTATTTTCTGAGATATAAACCAAAATCATTCACCAAGATGATTCATTTTTGAAATAATTTAATTAATCTGTGGAAGTGATATGCATATTAGTACATACTGAAATGCTGTAATTCTAGTAGAGCATTCTCTTCACTGTCTGTTCTTTCACAATCCTTGCTACATTGCAACCTGCTGTTTAGCTTAAGTCTTTCACATTCCACACTAATTGAATGTGTTTTAAGAAACATACATTAGTTATAGTGAAGTCACCAGGATGATGCCTTCAGTTTTTAATTGGTATTACTTTGTGCATTTTTTAAGACATTAGCAAATCAAAAACCATTTATTCATTTTTAATTTACAGGGTATTTGAGCAAGAAGCTATTAAGGAACTCCTTTTTTCATCTCTTTAGCAGTTCGAACTTGATATTTCTTAGACAAGTTTTTTATTACCTGTTTTGCCGCATCTAAAACTGTATAGATTTTAAGCAAAGAATATAACTTATCTTTTATTTTATTTTAAAGGTTTCAAATTTATATTCAAAGCTATCACTAAAAACAGCCATCAACTTAACATTTTCAAATACATTCTAAAGCCAATTTCCAAAATCTCTGTTCTTTATTCATGAGTGTCTGAATTTTGAGAAACCTTGCTATCATATAATCTATAGATCATCTCCCTGTGCCTTAAAACACTGTTCTAGGCCCATGGCATTCCCTTTTTTCAGTATTTTGTATATTTAGAATTAATATACTACATGGGATATTAATATACTACATGAGATATCTTGAAAAGTCTCATAGAAAGTAGTGAATTACCAATCAGAAACTAACTAAATCTTTTAAACCTATTACAATTATGTTTCTAATAAAGATGTAAGAAGTCAGCCAACTGGCCACATATAATCTCTTATGCTTGTCAGGTAGAAGGGTAACAACCAACGTAAAATATCTGGAATTGTATCTAGTATATCTTTTTTTAATGTTTCAGCATTTTCCAGCTAAAAGGTTGCTATAATCCAGTGAACCTTTCTATTAAATAGGTATTTCTTAGCTTCCTGCCAGATTTAACTACTTGGCTATGGGTTATTATTCCATGTACACTACAGCATCTCTGAGATTAATGAATAATGTGTGTGATTGTAGCACAGCTGAGCTTGGGTTGCAGAAGAGTTGAGCGTCCAGACAAATATATGCTTCAGTTGAACATGAAAGCTTTTATCAAACTTCAAGCCCTTAAAAATTCCCCTCCATAAATAAATATTTATCATAGAATAGGTATGTAACCCATCAGCTACAATTTAGTAATGAAAATATTGAGTTTAAATATTTATGAGTGAATTTCAAATCCCAGTTCCTAAGGTGATTTGAGTCAAATGTTTTCATCATAGTTACAATATTATATTTGATCAGTTCTGAGATGCACCTATTTTCACTTTTTTTTGAGACAAGGTCTCACTCTGTCTCCCAGGCTAGAGTGCAGTTCTCATTTTAACATATCCAAAATTGGATGGCTTTTATAAACAATGGCATATCGTAGTTCAGTTGCCAGCATTTTTTCTTAGTGATACATAAACTTATGTTTCTTATAATCAGTTATATCTTAGCTTCAATGAAATAACAGCAGTTACGCCGTTTTTTGGGTTTTTTCGTCTTTTTGAGTCAGGGTCTCGCTCTTGTCATCTAGGCTGGAGTGCAGTGGCACCATTATAGCTCACTGCAGACTTGACTTCCCTGGCTCAAGCAATCCTCCCACCTCAGCCTCCCAAGTAGCTGGGACCACAGGTGCACACCACGAGGCTCAACTAATTTCTTTTTTTCTCCCTGTATTGCCCAGGCTGATCTAGAACTCCTGGTCTTAAGTGATCTGCCCGCATTGGCCTCCCAAAGTGCTGGGATTACAGGCAAGAGCCACCAGGCTTGGCCACATGATCTTATTTATTCAAAATCAGGGTAATTATGCAAGCCTTTCATATCAAGTCCAAAAGCTTCTCTGAACTATGTTATCAGGATAAGCAAAAGCAAAAACAAAAGCAGCCATACTCAAAGGTGCATTATCAGGCCTCTTGGTGGATTTTATATATACACATTGAGCTTTCGTTTTATACCATAAAGACCTTAATATCGGCCAGGCTCGGTGGCTCATGCCTGTAATTCCAGCACTTTGGGAGGCTGAGGCGGGCGGATCACCTGAGGTCAGGAGCTTGAGACCAGCCTGGCCAACATAAAGTGAAAAACCCCATCTCTACCAGAAAATACAAAAATTATCTGAGCATGGTGGCGCATGCCTGTAAGTCCCAGCTACTTGGGAAGCTAAGGCAGGAGAATCACTTGAACTCGGGAGGCAGAGGTCACAGTGAGCCAAGATCGCGCCACTGCACTCCAGCCTGGATGACAGAGCAAGACTCCGTCTCTCAAAAAAAAAAAAAAGACCTTAATACCATCTTTCGTAATCATGTGATTTGAAAAGTTGTTACGATTATTATTGGAACTTTTACCTTGAGTATCTTTAATTACTTTAGTAATCATTCACAATTTCTTCACCAGAGAGATGTTGGATTAAAGTATAGTGATTATCAGACTCAAGAAAAAATATGCTTCCTTCTTATGCTTGTCAGCCAGTGTTTATTATGCACCAAGTATGGTCAATTTTCAAATATGCATTAATTGGCATTACACTAGAGGATTGAACAGGTAAAGCTATTTAACCTAATCTTTATTCACTTGTCCTTGAAATATTCCTGTCATGATTTTTGTATGGATCACTTCGCATGAATCATGTATAGTTATTGGGAATTCACGGCTTATTTCTTAGTCCAGGGAGACGAGTCCTTATCCGAAATGCTTGATTTCTGGTTTTTTGGGTGTTTTTTTTAATTTTGGAATGTTTGCATTATATACGTACCAGCTGAACATCCCTAATCCAAAAGGCCAAAATCCAAAATGCTTCAATGAGAATTTCCTTTGACATGTAAGCGCTGAAACAGTTTTGGGTTTTGGAGCATTTAGGATTTTGGTTTTCAGATTAGGGATACTCAACCTGTATTTTTCTTTTATACTTGAATTCTTCAAAATTTTCTTTCGTGTGTTTTGTTGTATCACTTTTTCTTAGCACAATTACAAAACAAATGTAATTATTTCACATTTTTCACTCTCTTATGGGATGCATGTACTGGAATTACTTCTGGGGACACTATTCCTTCCTTTGTATTCCTGGTCCTAAAAACCAGGTCAGGGTGTTCACAAGTTACAGACTGGTTTCTATGCATGACAGAATCTTTTGCTGATTTTATTCCTAAATGATAGAATACGGAAGTTAAAAACCAGGTGAGAAAACCAGGGGAGGAGCTGCCCAACAGCATGCACTTGTCTCATGGTGGAGCTCTAGGCACTCAGGGTGGGTTTTTCTCAGAGGTGGGAAAGTCACCATTTGAACCTAATGCTACTAGATGCAGTGGCTGAACATGTGGGACTATGAGGGCATTAAGGAGTCAACAGGTGACTTCCAATGGACTGTACTAGGCAGCAGCCACATTTATACGCACTAAAAGCAGGATTTATTTTTCCTCTCACTTGCGTAGCAATCTCGGTTTCCATTTTAATATTTAGAAGGTAAGTTCAGTTGATGGACACTTTGTGTAATAAAAGGCTCTTTTAAAGTACAAGCTTATGCACACACACAGGATAAAAAGTGGCACTTCCTGTGCCCATGGCTTTCATGGAGTACATTTGTGGAGCCCAAAGCTTAGTCCTGGATATGTTTATAGCACTTTAGCTCCGTTTGTGAGTTTGGAACCCTTCCAAAAAAAAAAAAAAAAAAAAACAGAAAGACATATATTATTGTTTATAATCTGCTTTATTCCACCAAACCTTGACTGAACAGACTTGTGCATTGCTGTTTAAATCCCTCAGTGCCTTTAACTACCGATACAGAAAGTGGTTAATGCGCATTCTGAACGAAGCTTGGCATCCACTCCAGGGAATCACTTTAATTGAGGAGCATTAAATGTTACAATGATTTTTTTTTTTAAAGCCAGCACACACATACTGAGTATAGAAGTTCTGGCCCACCAGTAATGTAGTTTCTTAGTTATTGTATTCCTCCAGCTTTAAGCCCTGCAGTTGACAGGTGTCGAAAAAGTGACTTTCAATTCCCTAAGCCACTATCTGCAGGCAGCTGGCCAGTGAGGAGGCAACCTTCAAGGATTCCACTTCAGAGGAGGGGAGGGAGCTGTCAACTTTATGGATGTTTGTTTTTCTGAGATAATAAACTAGTCCCAGGTGACTAAAATATGAGATTTAACCCCAAAGTTCTTGCCTGGGCTCTCCATTGCTGTGCAGAAGCCATCTGTTGAAATCTATTTACCATTTTAATGGTCTCTCTTGCTCTTTTTTTTTAACTGCTTATTTCCAACTCCAAATGTGTGCCAAGACCACTTTTTTGGGTCTATATTTTATCTTTCAGAAAGCAATTCCCAGCCTTTCCCAAATCCCCAACCCCTCCCAGCCAACAGGAGATCCTGGTCCAGGGTTGGCAAGCAAGAGAAAGATAAATCATTAATTTTTTTAAAAAAGCCTCTCCTACAACTCTAGAGGCAGCTCAGCCTCTATGAGCCTTGTAAGTTCTGACCAGTTCAGGGACACCCTGTAACTTGCCCAATTTAATTACAGAATAACATACCAGTTTGTGTGTAATACTTTTATTCAATTTTTGTGTTTTTGGAGATGGCTAAAGGAAAAATCACCAAAAAGAAAGGGTTCTAAAGGAAAATCCTGAAATCACAATGGCAAAAATGACAGAAGAAAATGAATTAAAAAATCAAAAGAGACAGATGTTACATGCAGAAGCCCACGTCTGCTTTCTCTGAGAGGATGTGATATACTCTTCCCCGGGCAGGAGCTGATCATTTAAAAGACCTTTATTTAATAGTTTCGGATGGTTTATTTGTATTACTCCTTTTAGAAGGATGATAATAAAATTTCCCTTTTCCTAATGATTTGGCCCCATTTTATAAACATTGATTTTTTTTTTCTCCCTCCTAACTCAATACTTCTCCACAGTAGTGGCTGAACTATGTACTTCCCTGTGGCAGTCATGAGACAAATAATCATCCATACAGAGCTTGATCAGTGCTCCCTGCACAGCCAGGCAAAGGGGCTTTATGAAGAAAGGCACTAGGAATTCTGAATAAAAATGAAATAGCATTCTTCTAAGCAAGTGTGGCAAAGGACACACTTTCAGACTGTAAAGGACAATTTTTAAACTGTGCCTCACATAACAAATCTTAGGAAATACATGCAGATACATTGAGGATCACCTCTCAAGATGTTATTTGCAGTTTAGCCATCAGTTAAAATGTGCAACACACTGACTTGCCTTTCATTTCTTTTTTCCTTTTGTGATTTTAGCTGAGTAGAATCCTGGGCCCAAGGGGAAAGGACAGGAAAGCAATGGAACACCGACTGCGGAGCTTCCATTTGTTCTCCTGAGTGAGTCTTGCTTACTTCTTTCTGGCTAGTGATATCTTTCCTTTATTCTTTAAGCAGCTGTCTTTTTGGAAAACCACTGTCAGAAAGAAAATCAGACTGCTCAGGTGCCAGTCTCCAGTGACCAAACTAAAATAAGGGGGTTGTTGTTGCGGGGACCAGATCTTCTCTCCTTTGTGAGCTGCAGCCATTTTATAATCCCAAAAAGTTATTACTAGGTTAGCATTGTGGTGGAAGCTGTGTACACTAGAGGATAAAGTGGAAGCGGTCCAATGAACCTGCTATACTCAAAAACAGTTGATAGTATGTTGAAAAGAAAGATGCAACATAGGCTGGTGATGAGGGGCTGAGAATGGAAGACAAGTTAGGCTACCCAAAAACATGGTATATAGTGCATAAACTAGCCAAAATTCTCATGCCCATTACCAGTGCCTCAGCAATGAGTAACCAAGTTTAGGAGCAACAGAGCCCTTCCTAGCCACATTGTGAATTTCCCTAACCACCACCCAAGAGACTGGGCTAGTGAAGAAAAAAAGACCTTATGTACAGCACCTTCTGTATTCCCCTACCAATATCTTCACTCCCATTTGAACTTCTCATCTTCTCCACCCTTCCTTGGTATATAACCCAGTAAGATCTCTTGCCTTTCTCAGCCTAATAAAGCACTTAACGCGGGAGATGATTTTGGCAAAGGGTCATGACTCTCCTTGATAGCAGAGGGGGTCTCCACTAAAAGACCTTTAATCCCTCCAAGAATCCCACTGGGCATTCTGCCTGGGAGGTACTAACTTTCCGGTTTAAGTGGGTAGACTTTAGGGGACAAAGCAGTTGTAGGACTTAGGTTAAGTCACAACAACCCAGTGGCAGCATTAGAGAACTCAGAGGTCCAGAGCCCAACCTCCTGCTTTGTACCTAAGTAAATTGTTCTATGTAGTGCATTTTTTTTTTTAAGTTTTCTCTATCCAGGAAAGGAGAAAAAACAAAGGGGGAGAGGGAAATGCCACACACACAATAAGGTGGCAGAGAAGTTGGCACTGCTACTGTCTAAGGAGTCTCAGAATATTTCACCAAGTATTCCAGGATAACTAATAGCTAAACATGTGATGAATGAGATTTCCTTGCCCACTCTCCCTAACAAGACTCTATGAGCACCGTCCAGTAGAGCCATCTGCAATGATAGAACTGTTTTATATCAGTGTCGTCCAAATACAGTAGCCACTGGTCACATGAAGCTGTTGAGCACCTAAAATGTGTCTAGTGTAAGGAACTAAACTTTTAGTTTTATTTAATACTAATTTAAATTTAAATAGCCATGTGTGGCTAGTAGCTACCATATTGGACAGTGCCACTGCTTTGGATCTTCTCTTCAGCCAAACAAAACTAATGACTAGTGGGGAAAAGAAACACGCTGTAGTTTTTCCACAGTGGAATCCCAGCTGTAAAGAAATGCTATGACTTTTTTTTTTTTTAATGTAATGAAAAAGTCCCTGTTGCTGTTTCCATTCCAGCTAAACTTAGGGTCTGCACACTAATAAAGACTCCTGCAGAGAAAACAAACCTAAATGGAGATTCTCCTGGAAAATGTTTGTCCAGGAGCCCTGATGACTCTGATGAGGTGTTTCTGTCCCTCTGTAAATATAGACATTTGCATATACTTTCTCTAGAAAGAAAAATGTATGAGTGTGAAGGACTTTTAAAATGCTACTGGACAGGCCGGGCATGGTGGCTCACACCTGTAATTCCAGCACTTTGGGAGGCCCAGGTGGGCGGATCACTTGAGGTCAGGAGTTCGAGACCAGCCTGGCCAACGTGGCAAAACCCCGTCTCTACTAAAAATACAAAAAATTAGCCAGGCGTGTTTGCGCATGCCTGTAATCCCACGTACTCTGGAGGCTGAGGCACGAAAATCACTCGAACCCAGGAAGCAGAGGTTGCAGTGAGCTGAGATCACACCACTGCACTCCAGCCTGGGCAACAGCGCAAGACTCTGTCTCAAAAAAAAATTTTAAAAATGCCACTGAACAAACAGGAACTAAAAGTTATATGGTCAACATTTCTACTGCTCATTTCCTAAGTCTGGGGGCAGAGGATCGTGCCCAGGAAATGACTATTAGAAAAACCAGGGAACTTCCTCTAATCAGTCCTTTATTGAGTGGTTCTGGTATTTCATGGCTCTAAGTATAATAGTTCTGGCATTCAGAGTTGTATATTTGGTTTCCTTCTGATGATAAAAGGAAAGGACCTCACATCACTCAGTTTTTATTCTATTTATGTCAAGAGAAAAAACTTCCAGCAAACCAAATGAAAAGCAAGACACATCAGCATCTAAAGAATTTCCATATTTATTTTACATAATTTTACCGTACACATCTCATGCCAACACACAGGAGGCATATACAAACAAACGCACCAGCTTCTGTTTTCCAAAGTCATATGGCAATAAATAAGGATGGGTGGGTCTTTTTTTTTTCTTTTTTTCTTTTTTTTCCCCAGGAAACGAGACTTCATTTCTCTTTAACTGTACAAAATTTACATTGTGAAGGATGAGGGCAACGATCCAGAGCTGAGGGGATCTGGGGCTTTGAGGTCTGATTGCAAGCTCAGAGCAACTTCTGGAATCCCGCAGCCCTGAACCTGCTTGTTTGGCCGAACACAGTCCTCAAGTGGGAAAGTTGGTGTGATTCTTGCCTCTCGGTGGGCAATAGATGAGAGTGGGGGTGTCCTTCCTCTGTTCACCTGTGCTCTGCCTCCCTAAGCAAAGGAATGCTTGGTGCACCTCCCAAACCTGCAGCTGTCTCCTTACCAGAGCTAGCAGCATGAAACTGTGCTTTTAGTGTGGTCCTACCAAGCAGAGTGTGGATGGGATGGCTTTGCTGAGCTCTCTCTTTTTGGCTCCAGTCACTCACTGTTTAGAACAGTTGGAGCAACTACTGCAAAAAGGGCCAATTGACCAATCCAAGAAAGAAGAGAGCCAGTGATGTGCTTTTCATTTAGCTTTCAGCATGCCCAGAGCCCTTCAGCAGCAGGCAATAAAACAAAACTCATTTCCGCTTAATTGAATTTTTCTTCATCTCACGGTTTCCAATTTTTAAAGTGCAGTGTTTAAAAATGAGCCTCCTCAGGCCTTCCAGACCCTGCTGGCTGGGGAGGTATGGTCATTATTTTCATGGTTATAACCAAGTTGTCAGTCGTGGCACGTGGAAGTGTAGGTGCAGAGAGTGGACTGTCATACAACACACAGCCTTTGCTCATCAGAAGCCTTGAGCCCCCTCCTGTAAAGAGGCAGTTGGAAATCACCAGTTTGAGCTTCTGAGATAGGAATGTCTTTTGTTTTACAGATTTCTTACACTTCCTTGCAAAGTGAGTTTAATGATGAAGATCTAATGGCCCAATTATCTTACTAGGTTTCATGTTTTACACTGCCCCCCCCCAAAAAAAGTTTAAGGACACTGCCAAATGGTTTTCTTGTGGCTTAATTTTTTCCTCTTTCCCTGATGTTTCACAGTATTCATTTGCAGGAACAGTGTTATCAATGATAGTTGATCTTTATTTTACGTTATATTCATAACTGTCAGATGAGACAAGAAAGAGAAAGCACAAAGACTGAGAGGAATTTGCCTGAGGTTGCATAGCAAGTCCTTGAAGGGCCAAGAACCTGACTCCCAACACTGATTTACCCATCGGGCCAGCTTCTTAGCCCTTAAATCTGGTATTTCCTCCATGGTTTCATTACGTTCCAACAAACAGAGATTCCTCCATAGCCCCTCAGTTTCCATTTTGCTTATACCAGTTACCACTGGAACTTGGGGTTTTAACTAATTTGCTCCTGGATTCAAGAGCTTCCTACTCTAAAGTCGACCAGCCAGGCACTGCAGATAATGGTTGCCTCTAGAAGGTCTCATTTCATTTTTAAAATTCATCCATGTCATTTTAGCAAGGGGGGAAACAGCTACCATGTAGCACCTTATACCCCATAATAGACTTCCAAGCAACAGAGGAGTGCCTCTAAGAGAAGCTAAAAGTAATGAATGCCCGGCTTTTCTCCATTTCCAAACCCCAGAAGAGTCCTGTCATGCAATGGCTCATTAGTGGCACCAGCCCACCCATAATGCTAACCCAACCTGTAG
Organism: Homo sapiens; assembly: GCF_000001405.40. NCBI lineage: Eukaryota > Metazoa > Chordata > Mammalia > Primates > Hominidae > Homo > Homo sapiens. Next base: position 180,277,181 of record NC_000001.11, on the reverse strand, counting down.
GGAGATCCATTTAAAATCTTAGACCTACTGTGGCTGTGCTTCTAAACAGGCAGCAGTGTTTGCTGCTTTCTGGGGAGGTGGCTCTGGAAAACAAAGCTCTCCTGGTTTTCAGGCCAGTGCTCTCAAGGGTTTTTCCAGCTAACCAGCCCTACTGATGCCAAAGAACTATTGACCTCGTCAACTGCTCACTGAGTTCCTCAAGAGATTTATTATATTATTAGTATAAATGAGGAAGGCCTCTCCTTCCACTATTGAACTGGGAATTAGTATGATTAACTTACAAAAACTGGTCAACTTACTTACAGTGATCTTAAACAGTGCTACACAGAGGAGGATGCCCCCCCCCCTTTTAAAAAGCCTGCTCTCCCCCACACTATACTCACCAAAAACTTCAAGGGCCTCTGAAATCCCATGAGTTGCTAAGCCAAATAGTCAACCTGCAACAGTGATCTGGGTGGGCAGCTTTTCATCTGGTTCATTGCCCAGCAGAGCCTTTTCTCCTGTGTATTTTAAGCAGCCTGCTAAGAAGGGTGTATTTAAAAAGCCATCCTCCAAAAAGACGACTGCATTTTCCTTTCCTCACATGGCATTTGTGTCTTCCTCCCCACCCCAGTGTTCATGATTGGAGAATTCCCAATAGCACAGAATTGGCTAGGATTAACACAACATCATCCATAAACATGGAACCTCAAGAGAAGTGTCTATGTTTGCAGACTTCTCAAGCAAAAATCATGACCACTGCAGCACACCAAAAAACGAGGGTACGCTATAAAATTGGTCAGAGAAGAGGGCCCGAAGGCTGATCCCGGAATTTACTGTTTTAAAGAACTTACTTAATTGAACTTAGTTTAGTCCTGGAAAAGGGCTTACAAAAGATGTAGCAGTCCAAGAGGAACTGTGTATTCTTCCTTTAGTCTGCCTATGACATGCCTAAGTCTTTGCAGTCCTCAAAAGGTGACCAACCATTCGTAGAAGGAAGGGTCCTTAGGGTCTCTGGCCCCATCACTTCATGTGATAGGCAATGCCTTCTCACCCTTTCCTACTCTGCTGATCTCATTTAAGAGAATGGGAGGCCAGAAGAAGCAAACACAGCTTCCCAGAGGGACAGGAATAAATTCCAGCTGGCTAAATTCCAGTTTGCACATGGAGAGCTTCCTGATGGTAGATGGGTGCACAAGGTGGGTGGGAGCTGCAGCACCATTCAGGACAGCGTTTCCCACAGCAGTGCAGTCTGTCGCAGGAGTGGCAACTCGTAAAGCGGGGGTTGGCCTTGCTCTGGCCTCAGGCTTAGTGATTTGCTACTGCAAACCTGCACAACGGGGAGTCCCTGCACCACCACTGGCCAGAGAGTTCTGGCTTTCTGACCATGGGACTGCAGCCCAAGGCATGGCAGGTGTCCAGCCAGCAATCCAGAGAGATGCAGCCCAAGAACCACTTAGAACCCTTTGGACAATTTTAGGGCTGCTCCCTAAATTACTCTTCCCAACCAAGGTAGGCCAAAAAAAAATTGCTGGTTCCTGGAAATGACCAAAACTGTCCTCCAATTGAGTCAGCTAGGACAGCAGAGAAAGCTTTCAGAGGGGTAGACTTGCAAGCTCATCTAAACCAACTCCTTCAAAACAGACTCCAAATATTTCACCCTACAAGGGATGGGGAACTCTGGAAGACTGGCATCAGCCGATATGGCTGAACAGACTGCAGGTTTGGAATCCAAATGTGTCTACAAATGTTCACTGATTGATTGTCATTTTGTTCTCCCCACATTTTAGTTTTGCTCATTTTACAGCCCACAGCCTGTCTTGTGGAATAAATGATACAAGCAATTGAAGAAGGCACACTGTGCACCAAGGGGACGACTCAGGCAATCTGCAGCGGTGGTCCAGGGCTACTCAGCTCAGCCTCAGTCACCTGCAATGAAAACCACCTCTTGCCATCAGAGTCAATGATATAGATGGGACACTTAAAAACCAAAACAGGTTCATATTCTCTGGTTTGTAGGAAAGAATTCATATCTTCACAGCAAAAATAAAAAAGGAGGGGGCATGTTTTTAATATCAAACTGGCCATCAAAGTGTTCACTGACCTTTAATAACTGATCTTTTCATTTTGAAATATAGGGTTCAATAAGGATGGTCCAGAAATCACTTTTATTTTACTCAAGGGCTGTGAGGCCTCTACCTTAGGAGTCTCAGTTCTGGTGAGAGCAGTGTTTTGGGAGGCATTGTGTGAGACACACCAGTTGGAGCAAAGTTCCCAAAGGCCAAGGGGGCCTATCACAGTCACCTTGTGCTACCAAAGCACTGAGCAGCCAAGCCCCTAAGCAGAACAGCAGGGGAGAGACCCAACAAGCCAGTGTCCCTAGAGCTCTAGGCCATTACCCCCTGTGCTGTGTTCTGAGATGAGTCTGCTCTCCCACTGCTTCCCCAGGGAAACAATGCCCTAGTGTGGTCTCACAGCCTTCTAGGAATCAGCGGAGGACTTCCATTGAAAATAATGGAAATTCACATTGGCGTACTTTCGATCCTTAAAAGGCAAGTCTCTTTTGATCCTTGAAGATATTCTCTCAAGCCAGGGGGGCAGGTAGGGTGGGGAGGAGAGAAGTTTAAAAAGGAGGATGATCCATTTCATCGAGCCAAGAGCCTGGGCTAGTTGGAAAGTCGGGATAGCCTACACTGCTTCCTGTGGAGATGTCAGAGGTGGGTCCCCCAGCCATGGCTCTCAGCGTCTGGCTTACTCCCTGCCCTGCATGCGCAATGATGCCCAAATTACTGTCCACCGTGTAATCCAGCCCATTGAGCAAAGGAGCGTGGGATGGCAGGGACGATATGGAGGATGGAGACTGGGGGATTCCATAGGGGCTCCCATCCCTCAAGTCCTGATAGGATTGTCCTGTCCCGTCCATGGAGAAGCTCCCATTCATTAACTGTCCGCCTGTAACGTCCCCCACGTTGCCATAAATCCTATTGGTGTGGCCAAGTTCTGAGAGAATTTGATCCTCTGTGGACAAAAGAACGGAGATTTATTGTCAGCTGCCAGGACTCTGATGGTCCCCTGCTCTTCACAACCTAGGAACACACATGACCAGGAAAGATGCCCAAGGATGGCAGCTGCCTTGCAGCCAAGCATGGGTCAGACACACCAATATGGCAGCCTGATATCCAGAGGCCAACCCAGGCCAAGGAGAAAAACAAGAAACACCTGCAAAGACTAAATTCCCAGGTCCCAGAAGGATGGACAAATGTTTGGTGAGCTCGTTGGTCCCTTGTGGCTCGTGTACTAATACTCTGGCTACACTGAGGAGGATGAATGCCTAAGGCTGGGTGGGTCAGATGTCTCCACATCACAAATGGAAACTACATGCTGACAACATTTACCCTGAAAGCTTTCAAGCTGAGAAAGGGCTTGGTTTAGTTGATTGGGAAGCAAGCAGGCCCATATGGTCAGGGAAGCTGAGGACCACTCTTAGACATCTGTACAAAATCCTTCTGGTCTATCTGGAAGAGAGGTTCAATATCAAAGGACTTGGTTTCTGTCTGTATTCAATAAGCTCTTCACTGGGGACAAAGAATTGACTTGATTAAGGCAAATGAACCTTCTTTTTTCTTAAAGAATTTCATTAAGGGGATCTAATGGAATCTTTGCCACTTGAAAGAATTTCTCTCTCCAACAGAGGTGAGCAGTTTTAGTCTTTGAGAAATTATTCCCAGAGAAACCAATGATAGGTCAGCCCAGGGACCCACCTGCACCCAACAGAAATGAGCTTAACAATCCAGTATGTTCTAGGTGTTGACTTCAACAGCCCAGATGAGATTGACTTTCCCAATCCTGCCAAGAAGCCTAAAAGGTGAGTATTAGTCCCATGAGCTGTCCCCAAGGCCTCACGGGCCCTGTGTTCTCAGAGGAGGCTGCCCTCTAGGGCTCAGCTGACCTCTGGGCTGAACTAGAGTCCTCCCAGGGCATCGTTGTCCTGGCAGGCAACTTGTTCCATCCTCTGTCCCACAAACTTCCTTTTCTATTTCCACCTGGGCCTCTGCACCAATCCCTAAATAAGGCCTCCCCAGACTAGACTTCAACACCCCATCCCTTCTGAGGCCTGCCCCCCATTCCCCTTATGAAAAAACATGGTGGGGGGAGCTCATGCTCTTTAAAGGGAGCAGGAAGATGAAGGCTCCACTCCATTGTCAAATGGCCATGAGTTAGCCTTTTCCCTATACCTGTCATCCCAAATGACCAGGGCCCTCTGCGGGAGCCACACGCTCCCTGTGGGAACGATCATGCCTTCCAGGTATACAAATGTGCCAGGCTTTCCCCAAGCACATCCACAGTTGGTTGTGTTCATTGATCCCCACAACGCAGTGAGATGGGCAAAGATATGGTATTCCTCTTGGGAATACTGGGGCTCAAGAGAAGTGAATCGATTTGACAGAGCTGCACTGGAAACCAGGTCTCTGATCGCCAGTTGAGTACTCTTCCCTTTCCCCCTCCGCAGAAGACCTTCCACATTTGAGAACTCAGTACCTGAGAACAGTTATGATTCTTTGCAAACAACCTGAGGATTCATAACATGCAGTAATTTACAATTTTGCTGATGCATGAATTTGAATATAGTGCATGCTGCAAAGCTTGTGTGCAGGGGACAGAATGAAGTGAGTGGTGGGGAAAGGGATTTCGGAAGTGAAGCCAGTTCCCCATCTCACATGCACTCACAGTACTGATTTCCCAGGAAAAAACCTGTGGAGCATGACCTCCCCACCACCAGGACTGGAGGAAGGGGTGGCTCTAGGGGACTATGGGAGTAGGCCAGTGTCCCAGCAAAGGGGACAAAGATGGGAGAGGGGCTAGGGGCACAAGGCTGGAACCCAGTCATCTGTTCATAGCTGTGTGGGCTGATGAGGGAGGCCCCAGTCAGCAGGAGGGGAGGGGAGACCTTGGGGCCACAGGACGGGGCCTGGCCCATCCCAGCTTCCAGACCTCAGCAATCTTGTTTCCTACTCCTGTCCCATGGTAAAGGGCCACTACCATTTCCCCCACCCTTCACTGCAAGTCTTAAGGAAAAGCCTGTGTTCAGGAGGGAGTTGCCAAGGCCTCAAGAAAGATCCCTCCTGAGTGCCAGGGATTACAGATTCCCAGGGGACTTTCCTAAGGCCTCGGCCTGGCCCCTCCAGCCCTGCTCACCTCGGAAGCTCAGCTCACTGTCACTAACCCCACAGTCCTCTGCAGAGCTCTCCTTCTCCTGCTTGCTGCTGCCCCGGCTCCTCTTGACGCTCTTATAGAACTGCCCCCAGCGGTGCCGCCCTGCATCCTTCTTCAGGCGTTTCTCTTTGGCCCTTCTGTTCTGAAACCAAACCTGCCACACAAGCACAAGGGACATACTCAGGGGGCGTCCACCACAAACCCAAAGCCCCCAGGACCCCCTAGGCGGGCGGCTGGAAGCAGACTGAAGCCTGAATGGAGCACAGGTCTGGGAGTGCGATGCGCCCCACCCCCTCTCCCCAGGTGGGCCTCAGAACTCTGTCTTCAGTTCTGGCAAAAGCCCTGGGGTCAAGCCCTGAGCCCAACCACCCGTGAGCTGATGTCACTCAGGATACCTTCCACCCCTGTCCCGGGCCTGGGATCCCCGGAGGGCACAGGAGTGCTGGCATCTCACCTGTACGACCCTCATGTCCAGGCCTGTCTCTGAGGACAGCTGCTCCCTCACGTGCCGGGCAGGCTTGGGGGAGTTCTTGTATGCATTCTTTAATGTCTCCAGCTGCTTGGCTGTGATGGTGGTCCGGGGCCGCTTAGCTCCAGCCTCTGAGTCATCTGCAAGGAAAAACCACTGCTTACTGGCTTCGGCCTATCTGCAGCAGCTGCGCCTCCTCCCACACCCTCCCTTCCATCCTTTCTGCACCTAAGCCTGCCTGCTGTAGGCAGGACAGCGCGAGGCACAGGGGACATCAGAGTGGAGAGGTCCCCACTCTCATGGCACTGACTCCTGCACCACGGGCCTTCCCAAGCCACTGAAAAGTGAGGACAGCAGTCCTTTCTCTGCTCAGCTCCCTGCCTCAACCCTCCCCTGCCAGCCCAGCTGCACAGAAGTCTCATCAGATTGAATGTACCCAATTCCACACGTCCCTGTCATGACAAACACTCTGCTCACACATCCTCATGAGTTCTTGCCAGAGCTGTGAAGGTGAACAGCCAGGTTGAAGTCATGTTCAAAGTCGCCCCAGATGCCCTCCCCTCTGTCTCATCAGGAGTCTCCCATTTCCCCACAGCCATGTCACCTTTGCCCTGGCGTCGCTGGGCTCACAGCCAGGGGTGAGCTTGCACACCCAACAGTGTCTAAGCAGGTTTCTAAACTATAGGTCAGAACCCACTCGTGGGCTGTAAAGTCACCTTAGTGGATCAAAACTAAAACAGGAAATCAGATGAAGAGAATGGGATGGAATGGCAAGATCATTTCATTAAACTTTAGTTTTTATTGTATAAATATGTGTACTGAGATGAAATGTAAAATGAGTTTTACTGTGGATTGTAGTCAAAATTTTTTGAGAAAACTAGTCTAAGGAATGTTCTGGGCAACACACTGACTGATCAACACAAAGTCCTAGACAGATTTTGAGTGAACAAGCTCAAGTTCCTGTTAGTTAAAGTCTGGTTTGTTCCATTCAAAGTCAGGTACAGAGAGAGGCGCGTGCGTGTGTTCGGAAGCACAGGTGAATGTAAAGGTTTGTTTCCTCTCCCAGCACTTAGGCATACTGCCCTTTTCTCCACAGTGCCCCTGGAGGACACACGGAATAAAGTCAGCAGCTGGCCTGGGCAGCTCTGCTCTCTGTGCTTGCTCACCTGTGTGCCCCAGAAGGTGTCTCTGTGACATTCCTGACTTCCTCTCTGTCTTTTCTCCTTTCTTTCCATTCAAGAAAACCCTCTCTTAGAAACAATAGTAGCCAACATGTGTTAGCACCTACCATGTGCTGGTGTTGACTAAGGACTTTATATGCATTCGGTCCTCACAATCTACAAGGCTCTCCCTGGAGTCAGCAGACCTGGCTTCAGTGTTCTTGATGAGTGAGTGACTTGGGCCAGTAACTCACTTCCCCCTTGGAAGTCCAGAGGGCAACACGGCCTGCCCTGATCTTGGGAGGCACTAGAGGAATGAAGCAGCTGTGCAGCCAGGACATGTGTGTACACAGTGAGGGGGGACACACCCGTGCCTTCCCTTCTCCTCGGGCTGTTTTCTTCTCTCACGTGGCCACTGTCATCCCGGAACTACTGTGGCCCAACTCCCTCCCTGAAGCCCTGAACCCGAAGGGTAGGGATTCCGGAGCCCCTGCCACAGAGACTACACTACTTAGAGAGTCATTCCAAAAGACAAAGGGGAACCTCCAAAATGCCTTCCTTTTCATTCTGAGGAGTCTGTCCCTTCTGTGCATATTTATAGTCTACACGGGAGTGTCTGATGCAACTTTGAATTATGCAAATGGGAAATAGTGCACTTGTGTACAATCTTTATATTAAAAAATGTGAAATAATGCAATCACCAAAAATGTTTTAATTTCTCGAGAATCACTTAATTTCAAAATAGCTTGGCCTACGGAATTATAAATTCTTTTCACCACAGCCAGATGGTAGCGCCACTGGGATAGACCCGTCATCCTGGTTGGTGGCCCGCTGGTTCGGCACTGCTACACACACAGGATTTTCTTCTTGCAATGATGGGGACTAATATGCTGTTATTTTAACATTCACTGTTATTATAATTTAAAATCTTTTTTATATCCCATAACAATGTCATCCAAGTATTCATTAAGTAGCAGTGGCAGTGCTCGTGCTGAAAAATGTACCCAAAAATCAATAACTTTGGTACGGAAGTTAAATGTGACAAAACGCTATGAGGAAGGCCAAGGGAGCCCATGATACCCTGGGCTGTTAATTTAGGAGAGAGCGTTCTGCAAGGTATTCAAGATAATGCTGAGAAAATAAAAAGTAGCATTAAGGCAAAGATACACTTCACTGGTTATGGATTTATGTGCTCTCAGAATATACCACCCCCCCCCCCACACACTCTACATTAATTCCTACAGGAAAATTAGTCTTAAAATATGTTAGTTTTGAATGATGCAGGGTCTCCTAGAACTTGTCCCTGGCATAAAACGCAACCTCATTATATTGAAAATGCAAATATCCAGGGAGACGGAACAAGTGAACAAAATCATTCACACTAAGGTGCAAGTAACTGCTCTGAGATCCTTTGTTTAGCTAATGGGAGGGAACTGTAAGCCTGCAGGAGGGCTGAGAGTAGCAAGGAGGAATTAAAACAACCTGAAAAGACAGCCAGGCATTCTGCAGTGGACAGAACTCCCCGCTGCTCCAAGGATCACCGATTGCCCAGGACAGAGGAGCCCTGCCTTGCTCACAGCCAGGGTGGGGTCAGGAAAGGACCCGGGGAACAGGCCAGAAATACTGTGTAACATTCCGCTGCTTTAAAACCTCAAGCACACCTCACCTCCCTGTTTGCACTTCTCCTCCACGTCAGTCTCTTATTTCACATCCCATTTCACAAGCCTCATCCTATTTAAACCTCAGGAAAACAGCCCTACGTGGCAGATGCTATGATCCTCCATAGACAGCTGAGAAGCCGAGGGTCAGCCAGTTCTACAACTTGCCAGGAGATCTCCCTGTGTGGGGGGATGCCCAGCCAGCTTCTGACAGCAAGTCCGGCATCTTCCATCATCCTGCAGAGGTCTGCTGTGGTGCAAATATTCCTCGATAAAACTGTGAGCACCACAATGTCATTCCCACCTCCCCAGCCAGATTCTGACCAATCTACATCTGTTTCTCTTGTCTCTTGAACCACCCACAACATCAGGAGATGCTGAGCTGAGAGTGCTCAGAGTCCAAATGAGGCCTCTGATGAGAACCAGCTGCAGGCCGGGGAGGTCGTGCCATCTTAGTATCTCTGATGAACGGCACTAGACTTCCAAAGGTGTCTTGGTATCTCTGAGTCCATCTGCTGTGATGGTTCATCCCTGACAAGTTGCCCTAATCTCCCATGACATCACAATTGACTTCAAGGCAATAGCATGGAGTGAGTTTTAAGAAACCAGAGCAGATTAGTACATTGCAGGCAAAGAGCCTTGGGATGGGTTTGCAGAGGCCCCAGGTCTCTGGAGGAAGGAGGTCAAAGGCCTCTGTCCACCCTGAAAGGCCAGAGCTGTGGGGGTGGTGGGAGGGAAGGTCCTCAAAGAGACAGGAAGCCCTGCCCACTCCTGCCATGGACCAAAGCCAAACCCAGCTCCAGCTGGCTCACCTAAAGGGCCCTTATGAATCCCCTCTGCTTCCTCACCACCACAATCCCCTTATTTTATACTGTGTTCAATGAACAAAAAACCAGTTTCTCCATTATTGATGAGATCTGTATAATATGTGTGTGGGCCCAGAAAAGATCTAGAAGGAGATACATAAAATTGTTGTTAATTTTTTTTCTCATCAAGCCCAGAGCTGTCAACAAGAGCCGTTTTTGCACAGTAACACCCTGAGTTGATCAAAATTCTAGTCAAAGGCCAAGGAACTTGATGTTTTGTGCGTTCACACCTCTGAGGTTATCATGTTGGGTTTGGCCAAATCCCAAATTCAGAGCCAGGGCCTGACCCCACGACCATGTGGGTGCATCTGGGAGTGAGAAGCCAGAGGTAGGGCTGCAGGAATAAAAGTGTCCACCTTGGCTTTGCGAGGGGAGCATGGGGAATGTGTTGTTCTGGGCTCTACGCTGGAAAGTCCCCGGGCTGCCCAAGCGCATGGCATGTAGGGCGAGAGCCGCTGCCGCCAGGCCAAGCTAGGCCTTTCCAGGCGTGGCTGCTAAATGCGGGACCTGACTTCGGCCTCCACCATGCAGAGCTCCTGCTGCCACCGTGGGCAGTGGCCCTGCAGTGGTTGTGGTGAAGGGGGTGGGGGCAGCTATATTGAAGTGGGTGGAGGGAGCTATATTGCTGAGACGGAGCCTCCCTGAATCTGGCATGTGTCCTGCCTCTTCTTTTAGCACTCACTGGGCACTTGCAGAAACTCCAGGAGGCCCTGCCCTAGAGGAGCCCACAGTCTGCGAGGCGAACAGAACACAATTAACAGACAGATGTATGAAGTGTGCAGAGGCCAGTGCTGGGCTCTCACCGACGGCCTTTGAGGCAGGGGCTGCTGAGAGGTCCATGTGCACCCTGATGTGCAAAACTAAGCGGCAGCCCCACGTGTCCAATACAGACCAAGCTCCCAGCCACCCCTCAGCACCCCAGCCTCCACCCAGGGAAGGAGGCCACCACCATGGTAACAACCAGGTTCTTGGCTGCTTCTGAGCCTACCATGGAGACAGGCAGGCTCTCAGGAACCATGGCTGGATGAACACTTCCATGAAGCCGGCGAGTGCTAACGGCCGGGGAGGTGTTCAGCATTTACTCTCAGTGTGGAGATCTGGGACGCTTCTCAGAGGTGGCGGTGCATGAGTAGGGCTCTGAGGGATGGGCAGGTGGGACGCCATGAGAAGGGCACCTCAGGCAGAGGGCGTGGCCCAAACAAAGGCCTGGAGAGGGGACCATGCGGGGCCATGCTGCTTACCGTTCTGCTTGGCTGTCTCGTAGTCTTCCTTGCACACCAGCCGCCCGTCCTCCATGAGGTAGAATTCGTCCCCCGTGGCCAGCTGCCGGTTGCAGATGATGCAAGCAAAGCAGTGCAGGTGGTAGACAAAGTCCTGGGCCTTGCGGACCACCTGGGTTGGGGGGATACCCTGCTGGCAGGCCGTGCATTTTGTGCCGAAGCGCCTGTCAGGGCAGCAGGAAAGGATTAGGGCACACAGGGAGCAAGGGATCTGGCTTCCCCCAACTTCCTGGAGCAGCCTCCCTCCTACCCCACCACTCCGGGACTCCATGAGCCTCACCCCCCAGTCACCCAGAGCTTACCGTCTGGTCCTCTCTGCCTCCATCTAGCTTCATTGCTTTGTGCCTGGGACTCTTCAACCACCAAAGAAGGGACTGATGAGAACTAGAGTCTCCCTCAGGTACCTTTTCCAAAGCTGATGCCCCCGGATTCCAGCTGCCCGATTAACACCCATCAATTCACAGGGGGAGCAGGTGGACTTTCTAAGTCCCTCAAAGCAGGCTGTCTCCCCCTCCACCTCCCAGCTTCCTCACCCTTATGGTTGATCCCAGAGGACATCCTCACAGGGAACTGTGTGTGCCACAGGCTGTGTGTAGAAAGCACCCAGCAACACCTTTTCACACACTCCCAGGGAGGAGGCCCTGCCTGGCCAGGGGACAGCACGCTGCAGAGAAAATGCACTTTGTCAGCAGAGCAAGGCTGTCCTGACAGCTGTTCTCTCTCCTTTGCCTCCATTTCTCCCCTCACCTCCATTCTGCACACACAAAGCCCTCCAAGCCTACCTCCATCCCCTTCCTATGCACGCACACAGCCTGGGGCATGGTGGTTTGGGAAGGGCCCAGGAAGCTGCACTTTTCAGCCCCTACAGCATTCGGGACAAGGAGTCTGCAGATTACAGTTTGGAAAATGCTGCTTCAGACCTCTCCTTGGTCAGCACCTTTCCAGAACAACACCGAGGCAAAAGGAAGCTACCTGCTGCCACCAAGGCAGCTTCTACCAAGCAAGCCACCCCCTGCCAAGGCCGGGAAGGAAGGAGAAATTGACACTTAAAAGTATCGTCCAGTGGGGTTGTTTCCACTCCCTTTCCCCATTCTGGTCATAGAGATCAACAGAGGCACACCGATGGTCATAGGAGACGAGGGAAATTTGGGGGCCGACAGGGACAGTGAAGGAGGGTGCGTGGCTGCAGGTGAGCCTTCCCCGCTTCAGGAGGGAGGCGGGAGGCATTGGGAAAGCAAGGGCAGAGTTTAAAACAGCAATCAACCTAATTATTCATGACATTTCACACAGCAGAACTTTATCTTCTTCAGGATGAAAGACTTCGCCTAATGGATCTGGGGAAGGTTTGATTTTAATGGTCCTTTTAACTAATGCTTATAGGCAGCCTGATTTCCCCTGAAAGGACAGTACATATTTCATCCACATTAATACCAAATAAATTAATTATGGTCATGGCTATCATGATGAATACCAGATTAATGCAGAATGATAGGTCTGTTATGCAGTAATGATACCTGCTGAGGGGGTTATGGGGGCCCGGAATAGGCATGGCCAGCAGCAGCCTCAGACGCCCCCCACCAGGGACACAGCATCCCAGAGAAAAGTGGGGGTTCTCTAAGTCTGCATGGGTAATCCTGAAAGACCCAGAGTGTACTTCAGGGAACACTCTTCTGAGATGGGTATAAGAAGGGTGTTGGGGTGTGAGGGGCTGAGAGGTGGTGGCTTGGGAGGACCCCAGGCTTCTGAATTCCTGGAATGCCTCTTGGTTTTCAGAGAGATGGGGCCCATTTAGAGCAGGAGTTCTCTGCGTGAGGGTCAGCATAGGCCTGTAAACCACCTGCTAAGTTGTTCAAAATTGTGCCTCAGGAGGGGACCTGGGTTTTCATCAGATTCTTAAAGGGATTCAGGACCCAGGAAAGTAGAGTTAATATTTGTTGAATAAATAAATCAGCAGATAAAGCACCATACTTGTAGAGGATGTGCACGGAGATGGCCGAACCTGAGGATGTAGAACAAAGCACACAGTCGGCTCTGGATGGTTCTAGACCTCCCAGAACACAGGTGAGAACCAGGTCCTCCACAACTGCTGTGTAACCACATCACCTGGATCAAAGAGGAAGGCTGGCAGGCACCCACCTCTACTGTGTGTGTGTGTGTGTGTGTGTGTGTGTGTGTGTTATGTGTGTGTGTATAACAGAGAAAGGAAGCCTACACATGTGTTACTAGAGAGTGTTTTCAAAAGGCCTGTATATTTAATATCCAATCCCAGCCAATTTGCAAAGCAGGTACTGAAATGAAACAAGGCACCAGGTGTGGTGGCTCACGCCTGTAATCCCAGCACTTTGGGAGGCTGAGGCAGGAGGATCACTTGAGCCCAGCCTGGGCAATATGGTGAATCCCTGCCTCTACAAAAAATGCAAAAAATTAGCCGGGTGTAGTGGTGTGCACCTGTAGTCCCAGCTACCTGGGAGGCTGAGATGGGAGGATCACCTGAGCCCAGGGAGGTTGAGGCTACAGTGAGCCAAGATCACGCCACTGCACTCCAGCCTGGGCAACAGAGCGAGACCCTGTCTCTAAATTAATTAATTAAAATGAAACAAGGCTTTCATCATGCTTGTTGCGAACCCTCCCAACAAACCACGCAAATCTGGAGAATGTGTCCTAACCAGAGATCCAAGGAGAGGAGGGCTGAGAGGAGACCCCGGAACAGAGGGAAGACCCTTCAGCAGCCTCCTCCACAGGGGCCACACTCTCTCCCACTAAAAAGCAGGCAGGGGGCTTTCAGTCACCGGAGGCCCAGCTGACACCAGCACACCAGAGACATGAAAGATAACGGGGGTATAAATTTAATCTACATACCGACAGTGATTCATGCATGAGGGTGGCAAGTGCACAAGAAAAATGAAAAATAAGTGGACTTCCCCACCAGCGTTTTTTAGCAATTGAAGCAATTTTCCTGATTGTGGGATTTATACTGAAGGGAAGTGGAAGTGGCTCCTCATTACCTTTTCCCCTGGAGCACAGCCAGCGGGACCCTTGCCGAGGGAGCCGCATGCAGCACCTCCTTGGCCCACAAGGCTCCCCCGGCCCAGCCCAGCCCTGCAGATCACCCTCCACCCCATCTCCAGTCAGAGCCAGTGTATCTAGAATACAGGGCATCCTACAGGGGTGTGTCTGTGATGGAGACACTGTCCCCATTCCCAGATCTTAGAATAGCCAGAGTCACAGGTGAGAAGGCCAAAGCCTGGCAGGTCACATGACTTGCCCTGCGACAGGCAATAATGAGACACACGGTCATGCCTAGAATTCCCTGGCCCCACACGAGGTAAAACTGTGAACCCGGCTGCTACACAGAGAACCAGAAGTCTAACCAACTGGACCAAATATGAAGGACGCTGGGGTAAAGAGGGAAAGGCTGGACTCCAGCCAAGGAAGAGGGCTCCCAAGGGCTTTTCCAAGCAGCACCCCTTAACACCGATCACCGGGCACCCATGCAGGGGCACCAAGGGCACTGGCCTCACCCTTCAGAAAGATAAGCCTGCTGCCCAGTCCTGCTAGCCAGGCCTCTGGGGACAACCAGTCCCCCCAGGAGAGCAGCTGGAGCTGATCCAAAACCACAGAGAAAATGCAAGGAAGACTTGCTAATGGCTCATATTATTTTCATCCTCTAACCAACACCACTGGAAATTGTCTTATCCCTGCCCAGCACATAGTAGGCAAGCCACAAAGACCCAATGAATGAATGAATGAATGAACGAATGAGCAAACGAATGAGTGAACGAACGAACTGCTTCTTAAAACATTTGCCTGAGTAGTCAGGGGAGGCTTGGCTCTCCATAATGGCAGCTCTTTTCTTTTCTTTTTTTTTTTTTTTCAAGTTTGGTATTAACTTTGTTCTATTTTTGGTCTAACTTTAAGTACCTAAAGATTTATTTCCACAGGCCTCAGAAAATGGGTAGAAATCACAGGACAATCCCTCTTCCCACCAAAAAAAGTTGCATACTTTGGTAAGTGTTTATCCTAGAGGGAAAAAGCTGAAATTTACATTAGCAGTGCTGTGCAAGATTCTGACATAAATCACGACCTCAAACCAGCCTGCAGTGGAGGTTCTAGTCTTCTGTTCAGGCACTTGGACAGAAGCCATAGCTGATGAGCATGACAGGGAAAAGGAGGCAGTAAAGACAGGTGACAGGCACCTTGTAGGGAAGGAGGATTCAGGAATGCCAGGCTCCTTGGAATGGTGTGCTGTTTTTCCTTTTTTTTTTTTTTTTTTTCCTTTCAAAGTCATCTCTGTAGGAAGGTGCTGGGCAGCGATCCCAGAGAAAGAAAGGTCCAAGACTCCTTTAACTGTCCTGGATGAAGGGCAGTGCTACAGCAGCTAGTACCGGAGACTCTCCTATCTCATGGTTGAGGCAGACCCAGGATAGAATAGAGAATAAAAGGAATGCTTATAGGAAACCATTTTGCATGGAATGCTAGATGGCCAAGCCTCAGCCTTTGGTCCAGTGCAACCCTTGCCTCACTTGTCAACAGTGAAAAATTAGTTTGGTTAGAGGAACCATCTGGAAACACACCAGCTTCTGCTAGCTTCATGTTCATTGCTAGAAAAAGATTAACCAGTGTGAACATTCTGATCTGTTAATTCCTGGGATTGTTTTCTTCCCGAAGGACTGTTTGTTGGTAGGATAACCCCCAAAAGCTCAAAGCTAAAATGCATCATCAGTCCTGGTTGGCAGTTCCTTAAGAATGGACTGGCGGCGTGAGCGAGCTGATATGGACAAGCTGCCCCTTCCTGCAGAACATCAACTGACCTACTATCTCACCCCAAATCTCTGCCTGAGGTATATTTCAGTGAAGGCAGTTAGTTGTGCTTCTCAGAGCAGAGAAGCAGTTTTAAGCTCTTTTCTTTAGGGGTGAGGGGATCTCACTCGGTTGCCCAGGCTGGAGTGCAGTGCCACAATCATAGCTCACTGCACTCGAACTCTCAGTCTTCCCACCTCGGCCTCCTGAGCAGCTAGGATCACAGGCACATGCCACCATGCCCAGCTCATTTTTTAAGACATGTTTTGTAGTGATTGGGTCCTACTATGTTGCCGAGGCTGGCCTTGAATTCCTGGTCTCAAGTGATCCTCCCACCTTGGCCCCCAAAGCACTGGAATTACAGGTGTGAGCCATCCCCTTTGCCTCTGCTGTCATTAGCTTCCCCTCTGCTGGCTCCTTCCATCCATGTACAGGCATGCTATGATCCCTGCCTGCCTCCCTTCTCTACCGCCCACTCCCCGCACCCTTCAGGGCAGCGCCCCACTCATCCAGAGCTGTGCTGCAGCCCAGCGGTCAGCTCCCCTCTCCCCGGCCTCCCGAGCCTCCCGACACACCTGCTCGCCGCCTCCTCCCATCTTGGCCCCCAAAGCACTGGAATTACAGGTGTGAGCCACTGTGCCCAGCCAAAAGCTTTTCTAAGAAGGGCATTAAGTCCCGGGTTGAAATGAGGCCCATGGTTTACTAAACCACAAGACTTTACATCCCACTTGCTGTCGCCATCACACTGCCTCCAGACTGTCTCCTGAGCTCCTAGCCTGAAAGGTGGGTACTGTGACACCTTTTAACAGATAAGAACTGGGGCTCAGAGAGGTGAGGTGCCGACCCCTAGCTCCCAAGGGCAACGAGCGAGAGAACCGGGGTTTGCAGTCGGTGCTTCTGACACAACACAGCGGACATGCGGCGGGCTTCAAGGGCAGCAAACCCGGCCTTGGTGCCCTGACCTAGGCTGGAGCTCGAGGAGAGGGCCTGTCCCCCTCATGTGGCTCTGAGCCCCCTGCATGAGGCTCCCAGCCCTGCAGTGCTGGGGTGGCCAGGGAAGCCCTCACCCCCCAGTGTGTTAACCCCAACACATGTAATTGGCCCGCTGTCCACCTTCCACATCCTCCGGCTGGCCCAGGTGTGGGCAGAGAAGAGCTGAGACTTCTCGGCTGACTCTCATGGGCCACTCTGGACCCCAGGAGAGGACTAGGTCTTGTGTGCTGGGTCCCAGCCTCTGCACCTGAGCTCCGCCTGAGCTCCTGCTGCTGTTGATTTGTCCACCCCTGCTGCTCCCGACCACCTGGCTGGGCTGCTCACCAGTGCAAGACAGGCTTGAGGGTCTGGACCCTGTAGAAAGGGGGCAGCAGGCAGGCCCTGCAGGGACCGAGCCTTCTAGAACCAGGGGTGCATAAATCCTACACCCTGGCTGTCTGGCACATTCCTGATGGTAAGTTCCGACCTCTGAGCAGACCCGCATGATGTACCACAAGTGGGTCACTGAGACGCTGGTAATAAAGGCAGCTGCCATTCTCCTAGCACCAACCTGTGTCCTGTGCAGAGTGGGCCCTGCACATGTGATCTCATCCGACCCTCACCTCCAGCCCTCAGCCCAATGCCCCGGCACTCACCCCGTGGCTGCACTGCCACCCTGCTCCACTTGCTTCCCGCCTGGGTGACTTAACTCAGGCTCACCCTCACTCCCACCACACCCTTGGTGACTGCAGTCCCCACATAGACCATCCTTCCAGGCCCTCCCTCTCAATTCTTTGACCTCCTGAAGGCTGTGGCCTCTACCCTCCCTCCCACCGCTCACTCCCCCAGACCTTGTTGTTACCAGCAACTGCCACAGCTCCAGGGGTCACTTCCAACCCTCCCACCATTGGACCCCGCTGTTCTTCCAGCTCCCCAGGGCACTGACTCACACAACCCAGGGACTGCCCTTCCCCTTGGGCTTGTCACTGTCCCTCGCTTCCCTCCTTCCTTACCCAGCAGACCCCAGGGCGATCCCACCTGTCCCTCCCCACACACCCTGGACCCTGCCCTCTCTCCGCCCTGCGCCTGCCCCACCCCAGCACGGGCATCCACAGAGCCAGGAAAGCAGCCCCTGCCCACCGGACTGATGGTGCCTCGGGGGCCGGGGGTCAGAATGCACCTCCCACCCGCTCCCCCACTGAGCCCCAGGCTCAGCTGCTGGCGCCCTCCCATTTCCCATGGAAGAGGGAAGCCCGGCTTGGACCCTCCCCACCTCCCACTGTGCCTTCCACTCGCACACCCGGGGCCCCAGCCCCTGCCTGCCACCCACAGGTGAACCATGCACCTCCACCAGACACAGCTCATTCCTTCTCACGTAATGAGACTCCCAGCAACCATCCCCTTTGCCTTCTGTGTCATTAGCTTCACCTCTGCTGGCTCCTTCCATCCATGTACAGGCATTCTATGATCCCTGCCTGCCTCCCTTCTATACTGCCCACTTCCTGCACCCTTCAAGGCAGTGCCCTACCCAACCAGAGCTGTGCTGCAGCCCAGCGGTCAGCTCCCCTCTCCCTGGCCTCCCAAGCCTCCCAACACACCTGCTCGCTGCCTCCTACACTGTGCTCTCCGGCCTCTGCTCCTCTGCTCCTGCTCCTCCTCCTCCCACACCTCTTCTCTGCCCACCCCGCTCCCCTGGGGATCTCACCTCCAGCCCAGACCCCTGGGCTCCAGACTGGGGCTCCACTGCCTCTACAGCACATGGATTTGGAGTCCAAAACCAAACTCCTACCAACACCCCCCGCACCCTCTGCTCCTCCCATAGCCCTTCCCATCTCAGACCACTGTAACTTCATTCTTCCCACAGCTCAGGCCAAAACCTTTGGGCATCCGTCCCCATCTGATCTGTCAGCAAATCCTGTTGACTCTACTCAGAATAATAATAATTATTATTACTATCATTATTATTACTATTATTATTTGGAGACAGGGTCTCGCTCTGTTGCCCAGACTGGAGTGCAGTGGTGCAATCACAGCTCACTGCAAGCTTGAATTCCTGGGCTCAAGAGATCCTCCCGCCTCAGCCTCCTGCGTAGGTGAGACAATAGAAGTGAACTACCACGCCCAGCTTCTACTCAAAATTATATCATGTTGGGGACCACTTCTCACACCCACACCGCCTTCCCTAGCTTGGGCTGCCATCAGCCAGCACCTACAGCTGCCTCCTAACAGTCTCCCCGCTTCCGCCCATGCCCCTACAGGCACTTCTGCACATGGTCGCCACAGTGGGCCTAAGTCACACCCTCGCCCTCCCCTGCTGAAACCTTCCAGTGGCTTCTACCTCACTCAGGGTCAAAGCCACAGGCTCCCTAACGGCCACCAAGGCACTATGGCATCCCAGCGCCATCGCCTTTCCACCCTCCCTCCTCCACTGCCCAGTCCACTCCGCCTCCTCCTGGGGCCCGGGCACTGCTTCCCTGCTGGCACGCTCTCCCCCCAGGTACCTGCATTTCCTGCAGTGGTCCCCTGAAATGTCACCTGCTCAGGGGGACACCCCTGGACCCCTCCCCCTCAGCACTTCCTTCCCTGCTCCACAGCACTCATCTCAGTAGATGCGCTGTGCACTTATTTCTTGCTGACCCTGTTTCCCCCTCTCTAGAAGGCAAGTTCTGCAACAGCAGGGTCTTTATCCGTCTTGTTCACTACTGAATCCAGCACCCAGAGCAGGACCTGGCTGACGATATGTGCTCAGTGCATGTATGATGAATAAATCAGTGAGTGACCCAGTCCTGCGCAATGCTTGAAGGCCTGTTCTTCATTTGGACATGAGGACACTGAAGTTCAGAGAGGGTTAGTAACTGCCCCAGACCTCACAGACAAACGGTGGAGCTGGGATTTGAACTCAGTGCCTCTCCTCTGGGATGTCTTCCTTACTCTTGGCTATTGAAGGCAGTCGGTGGGGACCAGCCCAGGACCCATGTCAGCCTCCTGTGCGTGGAGCTGCCATGGAACGGTGCACCGTCCTGAGGAAACAAAATACTGCACAAGTTGATTTTATGCTTTAATTGCTTGGCGGTGATTTACTGCTGGCCGTATATTTTTTTCCCAGCTGACACTTCCCTACATGTATTTCTTTTATCTATCACCACACTTGACAGGAAAGTTGCTGATATTTACTGTTACTGTATGTACCAATATTTCCAACATATATCACCGCCCACTCTAAGGCCACAGCCATGTCATGGGCACATAAAGTTCTGCCCCAGAATGGGCAGCCTTCTCCAGACACAGACGGGGGTCCTATTTGGAGAAGGCCTGACACCAGAGAATCTTAGAGCCTCGGGGGCTGGGGACACAGCCCCCATGTCACATGCACACATTCACACATATACCTCCCAGCCCATGGGAACAGCCCCTCAGCAATCTGCTTTTTATCAGGATTTTAATCTAATGTTTTTATTTTTAAAGAATATTCGATATTATCATGTTGAGATGAATGCTGCTGGAAAAGCTTTAAAACCAGTGACCTAGTCCAAGGCCCTAATTTCACAGAGGAGGAAATGGGGGCCCAGAGACAAGCAGTGACTTGCCCAAGATCACACAGCTCCATCCATGGCAGGAAGTGGACGAGAGCCCAACTCTCCCGTCCATTTGGCCTCAAGTCCTCTCCTTCCCTGCTGGGGGCAGATTTCCTTGAAGAGGCAACGGGACGTGCAGGACCTGAATCCCTTCTAGAAGAGTCCAGACCACCAGGTGTTTTTGTAAACAAGCACGGATCATGTCATATGCACCAGGCAACTTCATGCGAGGCATCTCATTCAAACCACACACCTGCCCTTGTAGGGAGGGATTAGTATTCCCTTCTTTCTGACAGCCACAGGCTTGGAGCAGTCAGCTGCCTGGCCCAAGGTCACCCTCCCTCCTCTCCCTTACTTCCCGCAGCACCTCATCTGCCCTTCTCACTACAGGCCAATCAGCCTCTGCCAAGCTGCTAGCTCAGCTGTGAGCAAACTCCCCCGAGCGGGAGACGCATCGGGGGTGCTTACTGAGAGAAAAGCCACCCCTGACTCCCACTTTGGGGCCCAGAACCCACACTTTCCAGCCCCACGGATGGCCCAGTGCAGCGGTGGCACAGACCACTCCTACAGAAATCCTGTCACCTATGCTCTTAGCCCACCTGGGCATCTGCAGGTCACTCATCAATTGTCAGAGTCCCAAAGTCCCTCAAGACTGAGGGCCTCATTCTCCAGACGGCGCATGGCAGACACCCGCAGGAACTGGAATGGGTGTGTGGGAGAGAGGCCCCCAGGCTGACCTGCTGTCTCATCCACAGTGCCCACCAGAGACCAGCCCTGTGGAGAAGCTCGTGGCTTCTCAGAGTGGGGCTTCCAGAGACACGAAGGCCTCCGGGGACCAGAGTGACAAACTAGACACTGGCTCTAATGGGACCCTGGTGTGACCTTGGCCAGAGGACCAGCAGGGAGTAAGGCTGAGCCAGATCATGGGCCCTTGAATGCCCAGCCAGGATGCAATGGGGACAACGTGACCAGATGGGCGGAGGGAAGAGCCAGACGGGCTGAGGAGGGAAGGAGGGGAAAGGACCACAATTAGAGAAGTTACAGTGGTGCAGAGGCCCAAAGACAAGGGCCTGAAGGCACAGAGGCTGCAGGAATGTCCAGAGAGGGCCTTTTGGAGTGGTGAACCCCATGGCATGGCACCTGAATGGCCAGGGTAGGGGTGAGGAGAGGAAACCGATCTTCAGCAACGGAGGGAAGGCAGGTGCCGCTGGCTGCTGTGCTGTGCCTGGGCCAAAAGAGGGCTGCCCACAGCTTCCACTCCCATGTCACCCAGATCCCACTGGGGACCCCGTTTCCACAGCCCAGATGCATCTGATCCCCAGACTAATTTGCAGCTAGGTGATTCCAAACAGATTCCTCTAAGCCAGAAAGTCCCTGAGATGTGTCTTCCACAGATGTCAGGAGGCCTTCACCCCAGGCCCCACTCGGGGAGGGTGGCCCAGGCGACTGCAGCTGAACTGCACGCTCTGGGGCGGGCAGACAATCCTCCTCCGACTCATCACCTCCTGATTTACAGCCTCGGTCCCTGGGGGAGCTTCGGGGCTAAGTAATTGCTTCTGCCTTGATTACAGGCCGGCACAAATGACTGTGGGCCTGGTCCCACCAGTGTGTTTGAATCTTTCAAATGTCCACACGCACAGCCACTATCCGGACCATCTGATCGTTACCTTAAAAGGTTTAATTTGCTTAGCGAGGAAATTAGACTATAAACTATTCAGAAATTATGGAAAGTCACACATCAAAGAGACACACCCCTGTGCATTCCTTAAGCACATTCTGCTAGAGCACTGTGTGTGTGCATGTGTGTGCACGCGTGTGTGCGTGTGTGTATGCATGTGTGTGTGCGTGTATACATGTGTGTGCATGTGTGCATGTGTGTGTGTACGCACGATCATGCCTGCATGGCCTGGCAGGTGTGTGGTTATCAGAAATAATAAGTGGCTCAGCAAAAGTCTGACTCCACACTGACTCTACGACCAACCCCAGAACTGAGGCTGCCTCTTTCTGGGGCAACAGGGCACAAGAAAGCTTGAGACAGTGGAAAGCCACCCAGGCGCGGGCTGCCGCCTCCCACCAGGCTGGCCCCGCTCTTTGATGCGAGCGAGCGCTGAGGGCTGCGGTTCCTGCCCACAGCTCTGGACCACACAGGGAGGGAGAGCATCCCATGAGGAAAATGCAGGCCGGCTCCTCACTGAAGGGTGGGCCTTTGTTCAATCCCCTGACCACCACTACCACTGACACAGCCTGGCCAGCAACCCCAGGACCCCGTCCTTGCCAGCCTGGTCCCAGGCCCTCCTGCTGTCTTCTTTCCTCCTCCCTATGTGGGGCACAGTGTAGATGCCCCTCATGGCCTTCCTAAGAATGGACTAAGCACTTCCTTGCTGCTTCTGACTCAGTCCTCACAGTCACTCAGAAAAGTCAGTATTTTTCTTCCGCCTGTAGAGATGGGAAAGCGAGGCTTGGTGATGTCTAACGCCCCAAGTTCACGCTGAGCCTGGACTCAAAACCCCGCACCTGCTCTCCATGAAGCCCACCCCGCAGAGGGGTCGAGCCTGTTTTTCCCCATATTAGCCAATGTCCTGTGGGCAGCTGCCCCCTGCAAGATGAGGAGCAGAGGCCCTGGTCACCAGAGTGGGCTAAGGTCACCAGTGAAGCCCTGTCTGCAGCCAGCACCACCACCCTGCAGCCACGCCAGGCAGAAATGCGCTGTTCTGGACTGCGGAGATAAATGGGAGCAGCTCCCGGGCTCCCAAGGACGCTGCCTACCTGCCCTTGGCGGACAGCCCACCTACGGCCTGCAGACTGGCAGGCTGGGGGAGGGGCACCGCGGGGAGCAGAGGGAGATCCTGGCCTGGCCCAGCAGCCGCACAGCTCCCCTGCGACACAGCGGCCTCCATCCCGCTACCGGGAGCCTCTGGCGCACCCATCTCTGCCTGCCTGCCTTGCCTTGTGAGGGCCTCAGGGGCAGGGAGACCCCTGAGAAGCATGACGTTTTAGACAGGAACCTCCTGGAGTGGCAGCACCCTCAGAACACCCGAGAGTCACTCCACGCCCCCTGACGGGCAGATGGAAATATGGAGCCCCAGTGGCTGGGGGCACAGCTTGAAGCCCCCACAAGCCTGGATTGTCCTTGAAGGCTTTGCCCTTGACCTTACAAACGTGTAGGAACGTTGCCCTCGCTTCAATTCCACAGCTCTGTTTGTTTTCACTCCATAATGGTTTGTTTCTCAACTCTTCACAGAGATCCACATGGCAGGTTTCTCCCATGGACCACAGCCCACCCCGTTCTGCCAGGCTAACCCCCCACTAACTGAGGAGCTCCAGGCAGTTAAGAGTCATCTCCATGGGAAGCTCTCAAGGCTGGTACAGGGGAGACCAGGAAAGCCAGCGCAGGCCCCGCCCTGAGGGAACTCTGACTACCTGACCCTGCAGGGCTGCGGGTCAAGGGGCCACACGGCAGGGCCTGAAACCCGGCAGTGTTTACAAAGCACCTAGCATTCTGCTGGACCCGGGTCACACACGTCTTCTTCCTAGCTCGGTGGGTTAGCGTGAGCTCCTCTCCACAGACAAGGGAATGAGGCTCAGAAAGACCTAGTTACCTGTGCTGACAAACTGCTAACGAAAGATAGGACAGGAATTCAACTGAGCTCCTTTTGGGTTCACCAAAAGGAAAATCACTGCTGAGAAAATCACTCCTTTTGAGAAATGCTCCTGGGTGCCAGGGCTCTTAGACAGGCACTGTGAAGAGGACATAGATGCTCAGAGATGCAAAGAAACTTGCCTAGGGGCACCCAGCTGGCTGCCGACAGGCAACACTTGAACCCAGCTCCAAGAGGTCTGTGCTGTGCTCCAGAGGAAGGCAGCTGCCTGGCTCCTTCCAGGACCCACCTGGTGATAGCAAGGGGACCCAGAAACCCCACTCCTGGATCCCTACTCTCTCTGGGCCCTGGTCCCTTTTTGAGGAGACATGAGAAGGATCCATGACATGCTGGACACATGGTCTGGATAGGACCTGCTTAGCAAATGCGACACGAGGAGTCATTGCCCCGCAGCTTGGGATTCAAATTATAACAGGGCTCGGGACACCCTCTGCACCAGGGGTGGGCTCTCCTGATGTTTGAAGCCGCCACTGAACTCAGAACAAATCATGGTCCCCACTGTGCTCCCTTAGTCAACTCAGTGCCTTTCTTCTTGGGTCTCAGAATTTTATTTCGTTTGGAAAAAAGGAGAGCCAAGGACACAAGCAGCAAAAACAACAAACAACAGCAAAAATCAGTCAGTGTTACTGAGCAAGACAGAGCTCAACAGCCCCCAAAGAAAAATGCAACAACCACAGAGTACAATTTCCCAACAATCCTTCTTGCCTCCTCTGTGTCCACACCAACATCGCCCCCTGCTGCCAGTTACCAGGATCGCCACATGCCCCTGTGGAAGGCTGGGGAAGTCCTGACCTCCCGGCCTCCTTCCACTTTTGAGATATTACAAGGTACTACCCACCTCCAGTGGGTACTCTCCGTATCTCCGTATTGATCTGCAGAACTTCACATAGAATATGACAGGAGGATGCCCCCTGGAGTTGTGCAAAGCAGTGGCCCTCTTCCTTGTTATGGGCAAAGAGATTAAAGTATTGATCCAGGAACTTAGGACCACAGTGCTAATCAGGGAACCAATGAGCCCTGCCCCCACCTCTGAACAGGGCTAGGAGGAGGTACCAGAAAAGGACATGCTTTTTCTTTTTTCTTTTTCTTCAAGGAGCGTGGAAAAGGGACTCTCCCTAGCTCTGACCAGCTGTCTTCCAAACTCCACAGCTAAGAGCATCAGAGGTCTGATGGGCAAATTCAAGTATGTGGCACCTGCTGTCCCTCTCACAAGGTGGCCACAGATGTGACTTCTATAGCCGAGGGTGAGCCAGGGAGGGACCTGGGGTTCCACGGACTGCTTGCCCCCTCCTGCCCCAGCACGGTCTCTGTCCTTACTGCACCTCCACTGTGTGTGTGCCCCCATGTGCCCTCTGAAAGAGGTGCCTGGTGACATCTAATGAGATGGGATGAGGAGCAGGCTGCCCCAGAGCCCCAGGTGGCCAGCAAGTCCCAAGACCCCTGGGGATGGGAGGTGGGACCACTCAGATGCTGGACAGCCTGCTGCCTCCCTGTCTGTACCTAGGATGGAGCCTGCAGCTGTGCCTTCCTGTACCAAACAGCCCTGGTCCCCAAGAGCTTGGTGAGGGCTATGAATCCACCCACTGAGGACTTCAGAGCCACCTGGTCTTCATCTCGGGTTGGCCCTCCATTGACAGGAGGGAGAATCACTTCAGCTTTGAACTCCCCTCCTCACAGCACCCCATCACAGAGTCAATGGCCCAAACTCAGCACTGAATCCGTGGCCAGATGCCCTGCATTACAGAAGGACCCAGCCCTGAGAGTAGGTCATTTCATGAAGCAGAGCAGTGCCGGGAACAAGGGAAGTGACCGTGGCTAAATGATGGGCCTGAGCATTTGCAAGCAGCCTGGGCCTCCCTCACTCAAAGACGCCTTGCAGCATACAGAAGAAACTGGTCACCAAAGCTCGTGTAAACTCACTGGATAATTTACTTGTTGCAGCATCAAACCCAGCAGTGGCCTATGGACAAAGCGCAGAGCCAGGGGCTTACACAGGGGACAGAAAAATGAGTAACAGATAGGCCTTTTCCTCAAGCCAACAAGGAAGATAAACCAGGCACACGAGAAATGGGCAAACCAAAGCATTCTGTGCTGGGTCACCCGGGAGAGGGGAGAGACAGGAAGTGATGGCTCCACTGGGGATCCTGTCTGCCGCGGAGCTGGACTCTGAGGACCCTGGAAGGATGGAAGCCCTGGAGGGTGGGCACCGTCCCTGGAGGATGAAACAGCCTGGGCTGGCGTGTGGAGGCGGCAGCCCACCAAGCATGCCTGGGAATGGAGCATCCTGCTTGGTGGGCGTCAGGTACCTGAGGAAAGCAGCGGGCTAGGACTGGAAGGGAGCGCCGGCAGGAGGCTCTGATGCGCCAGTGCCTCTGGCAGGCTCTGTGGCATATTCAGGGAAGGGGCAGGCCCTGGCCTGGGCTGTGGGGTGGAAGGCTCACCTGGCGGGAAGGCCCACCTGGCGGAAGACTCACCGGGTGGGAAGGGTTGCAGACTACAGGGAGGTGAGTGGAGGGACTAGCCAGAAGGTTTCTGCTGAGTAAGGCCCTGAAAGGATCCAAAAGAGGGCCAGGGCTTGGGGCAGTGGAGCCAGGGGCAAGGCCCAGGTGAGGAGCCGTTCTTGTTATTTCTGGTCTTGGGCCTTTGGCTCATAGGCCTGTGGGGATCCCTCCTCAGCACACACTGTGGGCGCTTCCTGGGTCTAGGGAGACCCTCTTTCCTGGTCATTACTTCTCCCAAACCCAACCCCACGCCTGCGCTGCCATCACCTTCCTCTCCACCCTCTCTTTCCAAACCATAGCCAGCCACTCAGGGTCCAAAAATCAGACAGGGCCCTGAGGAAGCACTGGGGGGTCCAAGGCAGCCCTCTGGCGATGAAGTCCTGGGTCAGTGGCCCTGCCAGGCTTTGCTCATACCCCACAGGCTTCCCTGAGCCGCCACACTGGACCAGCCAGAAACCAGTGGGGTCTGAGGTCTGACTCGGACATCCAGCACCTACCCTGCCCCGAGACGGGCAAGCGGAGGCGTGGCCTCTTGGCTTTCCAAAGGTGCAGGCATACACATCTGCACACACCTCATCACAGAAGCAGGGCAGCTCACCCGACCCCAAGGCTAGGCCCTGCCACCTGCCGCTTCCTGCCCTCTTCACACACACATTATGTTCACATTTGCACCCGGGTACATATGTCAACCCACGCGCGCACACACACACACACACACACACACAAACACAGGGAAATTCACTCCACCCAGGGTCCTGTAACAGCTGCTGTGGTGCTTGGCCAGGACATCATAGAGGAAGGAAAATAGAGGCAAACTCCTGTTGCCCACTGGGAAAGGATGTGGCTAGAGGGAATGGAATTGCATGAATGCCAGAGAAAAGGAAACTAGAGGAGGGTCAGAGGTGGGAAAGCAACAGGAAGATTGTGAGAAAGAAGAGCAGTACACAAAAAGCTCAGAGGAAGGACCAGAGGTCTGTCCTTCCACCCAAACATCAAGGACTTGCCGGGCACCCATGTCACCTGCTGCCCCTGCCTTCCTGTAGTCAACACACATTCACACGCTCACTCACACTCACACACAACACTCACACTCTCACACTCACACAACACTCACCCACACACACTCTCACACACACTGTCACACACACACTCATACACACACTCACACACGCACACACACGTAGGGAGCAGCACATATCTGAGCAAAGTACCGTGGTGACAGTGAGTGCACCCTCTGCACACAGGCGGGGAGGCAGCCCCACGCACTGGTTACCAAGATCTTTAATGTGCTCTTCAACTCACTGCACTAAAGAAATGTGAGAATCCTCAGATATTCAAATCACTTATTCTCCATAGTGAAACCTTTGGGAAGATGTGGGAGAAATCGTATTCTGTATCCAGGACTCACATTTCTCCCCATTACTCCCCCTCAACCCCCATCTTCCGAATACACAGCTTCAGCATGAGGTGCCTCTATGGGGCTTGGTTATCTGGGCTGGGTGTGTTCAGCCTTTGGCGAGCCTCCCTGGCGCCCCCTGGGCCACCCAGGCTGGTGTGACTGAACACAGGGCTCAGCGTCACTGATCCCTAACCCCCACCTCCGGCTCTTGGCTTTGCTTGCTGCCAGCTGCTCCACATTGGCTAAGGCACCAACATCACTGCCTTGGGTAATAGATTCTGGGAGAGAAGTCAAGGACTAAATGCCATGGAAAACACCTTCCAGGAGGTCTTCTCACCCTGATCCAAAGCTCCAACAGGAAGTTTTTGATGAACCCCACCCCAGAAAGGAAAATCTCAGACAGTCTTAAGAGCTAACACTCAAGTGTCAGGCACTGTCCTGAGGACTTGATGCATAAATAGACTTATTTAAAGCTAATAAAAACCTCATGAGGTAGGGACTACTACTGTGAGCCCCATTTTACAGATAAACAAACTGAGGCATAGAGAAGTTAAGTAACCTACCCAAGAGCACACCGCCAATAAGTGGGTTCGAATACAGGCAGAGCCTGGACTCAACCATCACATGAAACTGCCTCTTTCTTAGTCATGTTTCCATATAAAGTGACGACATTGACCGAGCCTGGCTTGCCTCCTGCCAGAAGCAACTCTTGCAAGCCTCTAAGGCCCTTGAAGCAGGCTGTGCAAACACAGTCACAGAGACGCCTCTGGATGTGGACATGAACCTAAAAGCAGCTGCTCTGAAAGTTGTGGGAATGTTACAACCACATGCCCTGAAGCACCAATATATCAGGACAGAAAGAGCAACTCTTTCTGTTGCTCTTTGGAGCAACAGAGGAGATTTGCAGAACTTTGTCAACCACCCTGGAGAAATCTAGCCCAAGGCCTCTGGCTCCTCACCCCTGCCCCATGCAGAGATCAAATGAGGTCTAGAGGCTGAACCTCTGGCAGTGATGGGCCAGTGATCAGAAGGGGGACCTCAACAAGGGGCATCCTCTCAGCTCCAGGATTTACCTGCCCCTCCCAGAGTGGACTCTCCACCCTCCCTGGCCTACCCTGCTGCAAACTTCCCCCTCACTGCTTGGGGAGAGGCAGAGACAGGCCAGGGCCACGAGACGGACCGTTCTGACTTACTTGAAGAAGTCCTCCTTGCAGTAGACGCTCCCAGCCCTGGAGAAGCACCTGTCCGCCAGCTGCATCTGGCAGTCTGCACACTTGAGGCAGGAGCTGTGCCAGTGTCTGTCCAGGACCTTCAGGATGAACTTGTCCAGGATGTGCTGGTTGCAGCCAGCGCACTGGGGAATCTCTGTGAGGAAGAGGAGAGAGAGGCACTGTGAGCCTTCCACACAGCCCTGCTAACCAGGCCAGGCCCTGGCGGGTGCCTTCCCACTCTGCTGATGGTGGAAACAGACATGGCCCAAACCGCAGAGCTGTTGCATATAGTTGTACAGGTTATACATTGCACACAAACGTACGTAGTCAAGGAACAAGTGGGGACTGAAAGCCAACCCTTGCTTTGCTGGCCAGGCTGTGGATTCTGGCTTGGGGTGACTTTGGCCCAGAGGAATCACTCGTTTCTAAGGGCACCACAAGGCTAGCAGCAGCAGCTAACCCATTTATGTCAGCTGCAGTTCCACAGCCAACAGGCCAGGAAGGCTCAGCAACATCCACCTCTGTTTCCACGACATTTTCACAAGTGATTGGAAGCTCTGCTAAAAACATCAGCCCCCAAAGTGAGCCCTGCCCAGGCCTGGACTGAAAGGCCATCTGTCCTGAAAAGCAAATGATAAATATGGTGTGGGGGAGGGGGCGGGCAGTGATCAAGGTCCAAGCCTGAGTGTGCTCTTGTAGAGAAAATCTCAATATTTTAATGAACTGCAACTGATACCATAGATTGGCTGGATCAATACCTCATCCTAATGTGCCTTCCGGTGCTGCAGATAGGAAAGCTAGAAACTGCTTTTCCAGATGCCCTAGCGGCTCACATTTTGAAGATGATTGAGTCTTCCAATCAAATGCTCTTGGGAAAGACTTGAATTCAGAACTGAGCTAAATGTCAGGATAGCTGAGGGGCAGGCTCCCATTGTGCTGGTGTGCGTCACGGCGGAGGCGATGAAGTGCTTTGGTGGGTATTGCACTGTCCTGATCAGTCACAGCAGAAGCAGTGAAATTCTGGGGGCTGAGAGTTATCCTGGAAGCTCCAACCAGCTGGCTCCACTGAGTTGAAAGTCACCTGCCACCTGATGAGTAATCACTTTTCACTTAAATAGTGAAAGAAGACTCTATTGTCTGCAACAGAACCCTAACCACTGCCCCATCCGGTTCCTGTCCTGGGTGACTTCCTATCTGAGGTCTGTTTCTCCACCATCCCATCTTTCCAAGGGATTGCTTGCGAATTTGATAGTATTTTGAGTCACTGACTGTTTCAACATCTACAAAATGGTCAGGTTTCCGTGGTTGGATGAACAAACAGTACTAGGATCTCTAGCCATTTTCCCCTGTGCTTTTCAAAAAAGGAAGGTAACAAATCAACAAGTATTAAGAAGAAAAACAAAAGTGCAAGCGTTTGGCCTCCTACAGTATCCTCCTGATACAGCACTCACGAGGCTGGCAACCCCAGGGTTTACCACCCCTATTATAAAAGACACCTTTGCTCGTTGTTTGTCTAAACGGTCACTGCCTAGCACGGTGCCTGGCACACAAGGGTAATGCCATAGATGTTTATCGCTAAATAATAAATTGATTAAATCCTGTCTGAGAGGCTCACCTTGAAACAGCTTTTCACTAGTATCTCCTGTACACTCCAAAATGTCAACAGCAGTAAAACCAAATCTCTCATGAATCATACATGGGTTTTTTTTGTTTGTTTTGTTTTGTTTTGAGACAGAGTCTTGCTCTGTCATCCAGCCTGGAGTGCAGTGGCACAATCTCAGCTCAGTGTAACCTTCACCTCCTGGGTTCAAGTGATTCTCTTGCCTCAGCCTCCTGAGTAGCTGGGATTACAGGCGCATACCACCACACCCGGCTACTTTTTGTATTTTTAGTAGAGATGGGTTTCACTATGTTGGCCAGGCTGGTCTCAAACTCCTGACCTCAGGTGATCCGCCTGCCTCGGCCTCCCAAAATGCTGGGATTACAGGCGTGAGCCACCACGCCTGGCCTCATACATGTTTTTGATTCATATCATATTTGTTGGTTGTGATATAATTTAAAAAGTGTTAACATAAAGGAATTACCCTCAATGTACTAAGAAAAATTTTAAACACATCTAAACCTATGTAGAGAGAAGGCTTTCTTGACTATTAAGACGTTTGTACTTAAACCCTATAAATAGGCTATTGGGACACTCACTAAATGCCATCACTAGCCCTGTACACAGAAGTACCAACTTTGGGCCCAATTAAACCCCAACCCCAGCCTATTCCCTTCATGGCCCCAGCACTACCAGTATTTGCGTGGAAGTCAGGCCTGGTATACATGCTTTGCCTGTTGACCCCTTTCTCAGACCAAAATATCCCATGAAAACTATCAGGTGTCCCACTTGCTAATTGTCCCAGTACATACAGGATTCTTTTTTTTTTTTCTATCTCCACAGTTTTCCTCCTTGAGGAATACGCAGTCCAGTCAATCAGTACTTACCCAGGAGTTCCACTGTGCCCAGCAAAGTACTGAACAATGACGGCCACAGGGGTTTCCACCCAGTGAGGGCATGGGCAGGACACGGGGTGGGAATGTGGATTCTGGAGCTCAGCTGCCTGGGTTTGGATCCTGGCTCTGCTTTTTAAATTGGAAAAATGACTTAGCCTCTCTCTGCCTCAGTTTCCTCACCTGTAAAAGGGGGTGATGATGACAATAGTGCCTGTAGGATTGTTGTGAGGAGCAAACGGATTGACACATGGACAATTTTTAGGACAGGCCCTGGTATACAGTAGGTGCTCAAGACAGGCTTGCTATTATTAGGAGATAACTGTCATGCCCACGGAAAGGCAAGTTAGGCACCCATGTTCGTGGGCATTTTCTTATGGAGCCCTCATAAGAATCCCTGCAGAGATGTCATGACTCTCCCGTGGAGGCCGAGTGGCCGCCTCACACAGCAATTATGCCAGCGGCTTGGGGCCATGCCTGTCTGCCCCATGCAGGTACTCACTCAGCCACACCCCTGGTCTCCCTCCAGGGGCCATCAGGGGCCATCAGGGGCTGGCTGGAATCCCTGGAGGGCCCTGGAAGGTCTTGGTGAGGAGGTGACACATGAGCCCACCAGTCTATGAAGGGTGGATAGCCAGGAACTCCTTTGGTGTGACGCCCCCCAGTCTGAAGCAGGAGAAAGTAGGGGACAACTCAGGTCAGGAGGGTTATGAAGGGCAAGGGGGAGCGGGTTTCTCCAGCATGAGCTGAGTTCAGTGCCCTTGCGGTCTGCTGAGCAGAAGAAAGGCTGAGGGAGGAGGGGTCAGGGAGGACTGCCCAGGCCTCCTCTTGCAGGGGAGAGGAGGGGAGACCCAACCAGGAAGCCCTGCCAGCTCAGGGAAGTGAGTTAAGTACAAAGGGCATGCAGAGCCAGCAGGAATGTGTGAACAAGGCCTGCTGTGTGCCACAGGGCAGTGCTGTGTGCCCACTGAGCCCCGACAGCGGGGCACAGCCGTGGCAGGAGGCTGCTAGGCACAGCTGTGCAGGGAGGGCTTCATGCCCCAGTGGCACAGCCGCACCTCTGCCCTGGGAGTCAGGTCAGGGACTTCTTTGTGTGATCTGGATTTCCAGGAGCTGGACTCCCAGGGGGGCAATTAACTCTTTGAGAACCCAGATGAAGCACCATCTTCTCTGGCCCTTGGCATGCAGGCTGGGAGCTAGCCCAACTCCTTGCACCTCCCTTGGCTCCTGGGCAAAAGGGGCCACAGATTCCTACCTAATTGTTGTTTGGCCAGCCCTCTGAGAAGAGATTTGGCTATATTTCTCCTCCCAGCCACAAATACATGGGATGAGGGTGAGGATATATGCCCATAAAATTTATTTTGAGCAGGATATCTAGTGGGAGCCTTAATCTGATGAGTATTCAAGAGAGAATACATTAGGGCTAATGTATGCAGGGAATGGTGGGCAGGGGAGTTTTAGAGGCTTGTAAGCAGAGACAGCATCACATTGAGGAACAACACTAAAAGCAGACAGACAAGTCGTTTCAGCCTCGAGCTTGGAGGAAAGGATCCGCGCTGGGTCACTCTGGGCTGCCCAAATTAGAAGTCCTCACAGAGAGGCCTTGGGACCAAACCGGGGCCCTCTGGCTTGGCAAAAATGGAAGGGGCCTACCAAGGGTGCCCTTTAAGTTAAAAATTAAAAACCTTTTCTATTCCACTGTAGATGTTGACGGGGGGATTAAACAAAGATAATTTGGAAATGCTCTAAAAGATCTCCAATATACCAATCACAGTAATACACGCAGGCATCAGAAGCCTGTTATGAGCCACGTCAGGGCTTGAGTGTGTATTACGTCAGTGAGCCACTCTCAACGAGGAAGGAATTATCATCCCCATTTTACAGATGAGGAAACTGAGCCTTCGCGAGATCAGGCGATGTGCCCAAGGCTGACGGTGGGGGAGCCAGAATTCCAACCAATAGACTGTGCTGCTGCTTTCCTGAAGATGGACTAACCCAACCTGAGAGCTCAAGGGGCCTGAACCATCCCCTTATTTGGCTTGAGCCTGTCATTTTTTTAGATAGGAAATTGTGGCAGAGAGAGTCTCAACACGATTCCATGTACAGCAACAAGGGATTATAAGACCACTGGCCTCTTGAGCTCCCTAACAGCTGGGTAAATGGAAATGTTAGAGGCAAAAACTGAGATGACACAGGCATCTAGTGTGCATGTGTCATATGGGATGGATGCCTAATGTCCACAGGAGGGCGGGAAGCAGCAGCCTCTGTCCACAATCTCCTCCCCCAGCTACAAGGTGTCTGCCTGTTGATGGCGCCCATCCCTACTTGTGAGGATGTGGAGACCTGTGAACTCAGACCCCACACTCCAGGCAACATGGCCCCTATTTAATTATTTAGATTAGTAAAAAATATAAACTATCTGGAAATTTTTCAAAGAGCAACAACATAAGCCTCTTAATTAAACCTGTAATAAATTATTATTTTTACAGTTTAGAAAGGCTAAACAGGACAGAGTTTATCTAGGTTTCCTACCAGGAATAAAGTTCTGGTGCATGAACCGGATCTCCTCCTCCTGAGGGAGGAGGCGTCGAGGAAGACTACCTTGGCCTCCTCTTGCAGGGCAGAGGAGGGGAGAACTCCTCCCCTCCCCTCCCCTTACAGAGGTACAGTGGCTCACATCTGTAATCCTGGCACTTTAGGAGGACGAGACAGGCAGATCATTTGAGGCCGGGAGTTTGAGACCAGCCTGGCCAACATGGTGAAATCCCGTCTCTACTAAAAAAACAAAAATTAGCCAGGCATGGTGGTGCATGCCTATAATCCCAGCTACCCAGGAGGCTGAGGCATGAGAATCACTTGAACCCAGGAGGTGGAAATTGCAGTGAGCCCAGATAGCGCCCCTGCACTCCAGCCTGGATGACAGAGCAAAAAAATGAAAGAAAAGAAAGAAAGTTGTAACCAAAATTTCCAAGGGGCAAGACAATTTCCAAATCCCCAATAAGCTCAATGTATTTCATGCAGTATTTAGTATCTCAAAATTCCACATTAAAACTGCAATTTACATAGATGCTTGGAGTCACTAAAGACAAAATTTGATCTATTAATATCAACTCAATATGAGGAGTCGTTTCACTTAAAATGAAAGTTTTTCTCTTATCTGCCCATAAGCATTTCGTGACGATGCTCTCTGCTGGGGCTCTGCAGAGGGTAAACTCAGAAACAAAAAAGTAATGTCCCTGGAACAGCCAAAGAATCTTTGGAAATGCTAAACCACATAGAACAACACACTACCCATCTGCAAGGCCCGCCCACCAGAGCATTCCTAGTCATGCAGAGGGACATAGTCGAGGCATAGACCTAAGCCCACATGTACCTGCATGAACACATACAGACATCCTCACACGCACTCACATACACACTCAATATACACGCAGATATATATATATACACACAGATATATATACACGCCCACACCATACTTATATACATAGACATGCATATAACACAGACACGTACATACACATACAGAGAAACACAATCACAAATAAAGATACACCTTGAGACACATACATTCCTACATATACAAAGGCACATGCATGTACCAGTCACATGTACAGACAAATGTACATGCATATTCACATATACTCAAAGACACATACTCACATGTACACACACACACACAAACACATGCACTCACATCCTCATACATGGGATGAGGCATTGCCACTCTGGAAAAAAAAAGCCAATTCTGAAATCAAGCTCTGTCTGTGGAAAGGAAGGCTTAGCCGAATGAGGGAGCTGTCCAATCCTGAAGCAGTGGGGAGAGTAGGGAGTGAGTGAACTAGAAAAGCAGAAGGAAGTAGAAACATTGTTTCAAATACTTTTTTGGAAAGGGCTCAAAAATACTGGGAGATCAGCCTGGGCAACATAGTGAGACCCTGTCTCTACAGAAAAAAAAAAAATCGCCAGGCATAGTCGGGTGCACCTGTAGTCCCAGCTACTTGGCAGGCTGAGGCAAGAGGATCGCTTGAGCCCAGGAGTCCAAGGCTGCAGTGAGCCATGATTGCACTACTGCATTCCAGTCTGGGCAACAGAGTAAGACTCTGTCTCAAAAACAAAAACAAAACAAAAAGAAAAAAAACACAAAAACAAAAAAAATCAAAACAAAAATTTAAAAATATTGGGAGAATTTGAAAGTTTTCTGTTCTGATCAGAGTTTAGATCTGCAAATCTTTAGGTCTTCCAAATGCCAATAAATCCCAGATCTAGTCAGACCTGAGCTCAGATCCTAATTCCACCCTGTATGTGATCTTGGGCAAACTGCTTAATGTCTTCAAGCCTTGATTTTCATATCTATAAAATGGGGATAATCATACCACTCTTTCGAGGTAGCTGTGTTATGGCCACATCAGGTAATGCATGTAAAACACCGAGCCCTCACAGTGCCACTGTCCAAGGCCAGTGGTCAGCTCTCTCCTTCACTGTCTCATAGCCAGTTGCCAACAAGATGCATGTCTATAAAGTGTATCAAAATTACTTCATGCTTCATTATTTCCCAATATACCTTTTCCCTCCCTCAACCCCCTCCTAAACACTCAGAACTCTCCTCCACTCCCTTAATTCTAAAGCATTCCGAAGACACACACTCTTTTTTAATCAACGTGATCCTGGAGTATAAACAGCAGACAATGCAGTATTACAAGGGCTCAGTCTTTCTGGAATAAAGGGATCTGGCAGACTCTTTCCTCTGCAGAATGACAAAGTTGCCAAATCTTGGTCTCTCCGAACATGTGGATGGTAAAAATGAGGAGGTTGAGGCCACAACTGCCTGATCTTACTTCACTGTTGCTGTAATGTATCCAGGTGAGGGTAGATTGGGTTGAAATTGACGTTTGGGGCTTCTAGCATTTTTTCCTAGAGACAACTAAATGCCCAAAGGAAAAGAGACTATTTCTTACTTGATAAGAAATGGCTACAGACCCTTCCCCGGTAGCCATAATCTCCTTCTTCATCGAGGAAGCTTTTAAAACTCACAACGTGATAGCCAGCCCTCAAAGCACCTGAAGCATTGTGACAGAGGCACATTGGGCTTATTTTTCACAGTGGCCCATCAGAAACTGGATTCCATTTTTAAATCCCCAAATTCCTCCATTAATGGTTTCCGAAAGCTGGGAAGTGGAAGAGATCAAAAGGTCTGATGTGATCCATGGCAGACCAAACTGCCCACACCCCTCTGGTGAGAGATAATAAATATCATGCATTTGTATTCCCCACTCACGTTTCTTCATTTCCAAGAAACTGCTCTCAAGGAACCAGGGGCCACCATGAAACATTTCACAGAGCGTTTGTGTTTGTTTGATCGATTTTAATTATTTGAAAAATGGTGTTTTCTATCCCTTTCGTCACGGAAGATCAAAAGGGTAAAGGAAAAAAAAATTCCACTAAAGAGACTAATATGAGAGCCAACATATCCGACAATGACTTCTAAAATATATTTAAGAAAAGGCACCTTTCTGGGGAAAGGAGTCAGAATTTCAGATCTTTCCATTGGAATCATAATGCTGATGTGCTACTTAAATATTTTTAAAACTTTGTACTGATAGGAATGTTTAGGCCGGGCACGGTGGCTCACACCTGTAATCCCAGCACTTTGGGAGGCCAAGGTGAGAGGATTACTTGAACCCAGAAGTTCGAGACCAGTCTGGGCAACATAGTGAGCCCCTACCTCTATTATAATAATTTTAAAAGGGAATAATGTTTATTTAACGATGCTCTGAGACCAGATTAATATTTTGTAAAGTTTGTACTTTGATGTGCCAGCTTGATGTGCCTCCTGTGAGGCTTTTGCTTTTTAACTCCCTTTGCTTTTTAACTGCCTTCTGGATGAAGTGTTCTTTTTGTTTCATGCTTTGACTTGACAGCCTAATGCTCAGGACAAGGTTTTTCTTGCTCCTTTCGAGAAAAGGAGCTGGGTCCATGGGAGCCACTTCCGGGTCTCCCTGTTTGCAGACCCCACAGTATTCCCCCTCAGGTGGCCATCCTCTTGGGACAGCCAGCAGTGCTCCCAGGGGCGGCTGTGTCTGTGAAATGGGAGCTGTGATCCCAGTCTCTGAGTGCCTTAAGACCACCAGCACTCCAAACTTGGTCAAGTACTTTCAAATTGGCAAGCTCATTCCCTCCTCCCAGACACCCTGTGAAGCGGACATTCATTGTCTACGTTTAAAAGGTTCTGAGAATAAGGGGCTTCCCTACGGGTACACAGTTTGAGGCCGAATTAGGACTAAACCTTCTTTTACTCTGGGTCTGATGGCTTCCACCTGTGCTCAATCAAAGCCACCTCCATCTGGGATTTTTGCCCAAAACCTTTTTGCTGGTGATTTCCCTCCAGAAGTAAGCAGTTTTTTGAGCTCTGTCTCAAATAACATTTGGCCAATATGTATTTCCAAAAACGTTTAATTTTATTTATTTGTTAAGTTTCTTTACTGACTACTAACTGAAAGGAGACGCCAAATGGGGCTTTAAGGAATCACATATGCAACTGAAATAGTATGCAAATGTTTTTCTTGAAATTTTCCATTCCTTTCCCACATGTAAGGAAGAGAAAACAACAAATTGCAGACATTGCTGTTCTGTTGCCTCAGGTTCCCTGAGTAAGAAAGAAGGAAGATGGTTTTCTAAAGGCAGGCTTGGGAAATACTGTCAGTGGGGGGCTCATTGATTTAGTCGGGGAATAACTAATTCTAAAATGCATCAACAAGGTGAAGCTACAGGATATACCAAGCTGTGGCACACCTGCCTAAACACATACCTGAGTTCTGAAATGTCCAGGTCAAAGATTTATAACGGAGGTATAGTTACATTAAAATTAAATTAACTAAGAGGTCTATTACTGGATAAATATTTCAAAAATAAAACTTTCCATTTCAAAGTAGCCACCATCACCGCTGATGATAAAATCCTGTTTTCTGGTCACAATTCCCCTTTTAAATCACCTGGTAATTGTGACCAAAGGAAGAAGGCCTGATTCATCCATGCAGTCCCCACGCAGGGAAAACCTGAGGCCCACGACTCAGTTTTCCATGACAAATCTGGTGTGTGCCGCCCCCCAACCCTGGCTCTTTGTCATTAAAGAACATTCATTTTTGTTGAACCGTTTATAGTTCTCGTTTTTATATTTTCACTTATTCTAAATCAGCGTATCTTGAAGAGACAATAACAGAATTTTCCAAAATGTTTTTATAAAATTCCTCTTAAGGGATTTTCACAACCTAGTAATAATCACATAACACAGCTAAAGCACAAAATTCCAACATTAATTCTTTAAAACATAAAGAGAAAAGGCACATTGAACATCAATGATGACAGCAGCATTAAAGAAAGAGAGCTGGGCCAGCCACAAAAATATTAGAAAAATTCTAATTTTAAAAATTAGCATCGCATTGAAGGTAAATCATATTCTCTATCATCATATGCACTGACATGTTTTAAAATGCATCAGTGTACTCACGTCTTTTTATCTAATTTCTAGTTTTTTCTAGTTTGTCTTGACAAATGACTAGCAACCAGAAAAAAAGTCAGAAAATCCTTCTTACATCAGAAATGATCACACCTGAAGCTGTCCTTTCCCTTCACTTGCTTTCCGGAATCCTTCCCACTTTTACTGTTTGCTTTATTTGGTGGCTTGGGGTGCCTTTGAAAATCTCCTTTGTTCTTTTTCGGCTTAGTCAAAAATAGAAACCTCTTCAATAAAAGAACAAATTCAAAAGTAAACTGGAGATAATTTCGATGTTATCATTTTAAGGCTGTAATTTGGATATTTTAACATAAGGAGTCGAGTAACAAATGAAATACACAATGTAAATATGTATTTGCAGGGATTATCTCCTAGGTGATATATTGTCACGTAATTAGTATTCTTCAGTAGGATATCATATATCTCAGTAATTGCAAATAAAACAGAAAATTACATTAAGCAAATCCATGTTTGTGTATGGAAATGTTGTAGACACGTCTATTTCCACTCCATTTTCACATTTAATCATTGCTAAATCTCTACAATGTATTTTTCTAATGTCTCACTCTGTAACAGTATTCCATATGTTTGGCAATCTTTCCCTCATAGCAAGAAACTTTCAATTAATTTGGCTGCAAGTTTTGTCTCTATTAAGCTATTCCCAGAACCAATCTCTTAACCCCCTAACATCATAATTAAAGCAAATTATACTTTAAAGACATGTGGGGGTGAGGTACTGCAGTTAAACATCTGTGGCTAGACCCAGACTGACAGAGGGAACAGGGTGGGGAGATCTGAGAAAAGAAATCCACCAAAATTACAGCAGGAGGTAGGACTCACCTCCCAAGACGACTTTCCAGTCAGCCGCTCATACAGTTAACCCCAAAGTCCATTTTCCAAGGGAGAATCCATTTCATTTTCACCAATTAAACCCAACCTGTCCACCTACCCCCAAAAGCAATGCCTCAAAATGGTTGACTTGTGCTCCATTTTGATCAGGGATCCTATAAAATTGAGGACTAAATAAGGTAAAACCTCACAGTGGCATCTAATTTTAGTTGATTTCTTCCTACCACAGACAATAAGAGCCCAGCTCCAGGGCGGCTTCTGTCCTATACCCAGCACCTGTGCTTCCCTCCCAGGGCGCCTAGAAAGAGAGATGGCTCCACCACGGTGCAGCCTGCTGGACACACGACCGCCCTCCTCCCCGCCCCCCCCGCCGAGTAAAACCCCTGTGTCGTGAATTCCTGCACTATCCCATGTTTCTCCCTGCAAAGATTTTGCAAAGGAAGGAAGGGATAGACAGAAGAAATTGGGGGAACAGGGGAAGGAGAAGGAGGGAGGAAGAAAGAGAAATTCAAGCCACCAGACCGCGATGGAATTTTACTAAAAGCAGTGGACCCTATTTGCCCACATCTCTGTTATGGGCATTGTTAACACTCATTCCAGGAAGGGAGAAAGGCAAAACATTGTTACAAAAGTAAAATCGCCTCAACGGCACCCCAGCCAGCCCTCTCCAAATTCAGCCGTCTATGCAGCCATGTATTTGGTGCTGCCACAGCAAACTGCTGCTTCAGTCTGTCTCCAACCGTGGGTTTCTCAAAGTGGGTAATATTACTCCTTTTGTCCTCTCTTCAGCTAAACTGGTTCCAAGTCCCTATGCGTCCCAAAGCTCCTCAGCTCTATTCCTGAAAAATTTCCTTAATTGAAAGAAAAGGCACAAGGTCCCTTTATCCGATTCCACCTACCCGCCCCCCATCCACAACTCTTCAATAGGAAGAGGACACAAGTTTCCCAGCCAGAGAAATCCACTAAATACCCACCATTCCCGTCCAAAACAAGAAGCTCAAAGCAGATTTCATAACAAGGTAATAGAAAGAACAGTTAATTCCTGTTAACTAATTTTCCATCCCTGCAGGACTGCAAGCCCCATCCTCCTTCCCCCGGCTCCTCCTCTCCTCCCAGCACTGGGGTCTCTGGCTTCAGTCTACTAATGTGGATGCTAAGTAATCACTAATTGACTGTAACGCAGAGTGAAAGGGCATTAAAATCCGAGGCAACTGGGAAGTTAGGACAATGCAAATATTTAGGACTTGAGGCTGTCTACACCTGGCCAGCGGGGTCATCGGGTCACTGTTCAAAATACAAGATGCCCCTGTGGCCCAAGTTTTTGTCTACTCAATGGAAAGAAATTGCTTTGCTGGTTTCCCGGCTCTCCCACCCCCACCCCACCTCTAGGAGCACTCGATTTTTAAAAATGGACCCTGGTATTTGCAGCCCTGTAGGCGGTCTCCGAGACGTCTTGAGGGCTCGCGTTACCCTAATCCTCACAGCATTTAGTCTACATTCTTGCCTTAACCCCCCTTTGTTTTTGGCGTGTCAAGAGGCAGGTGCAGATACACCTAGCTTCGGTCGTCCTTCCTTCAACTTCCTGCTGCTCCCGGTTTTATCCCTTCACGGCTTTTCTAGTAATTCATTTCCTTTTTCATTAGTTTCACCCTTCGGATCTCTTTAAAAGACACGTTTGCCCCACTGTCTAAAAATAATAAGGTCCCATCCTGCACAAAGCAAACCCCCTGAGACACAGGGATGCGCTCGGTCCCAGTCCAGCCGCGGCCTCTCGTGCGGTGAGTGCACCCGGTGGCCCGCGCCACCTC
This sequence comes from Homo sapiens, assembly GCF_000001405.40. Taxonomy (NCBI): domain Eukaryota; kingdom Metazoa; phylum Chordata; class Mammalia; order Primates; family Hominidae; genus Homo; species Homo sapiens. Next base: position 180,235,775 of record NC_000001.11, on the reverse strand, counting down.
GCCTTCCCCGGCGGCGCACAGTGCCGCCAACTCCCTTCCCTGGTCGATTTTAATTGACATCCTCAGCCGCCTAGGTAGAGACTCTGTCTCTCTGGAGCCTGACACGTTTCCAGCGCTCGTCAAGGTCCACTAAGCTGCGGAACCGAGTGGGGAGCCGAGGCTCGAACACCCGCAGAACGCGCGGGCCGGGCACACCCGCCGGCGGCCTCCCCGCTCCGAAGAGGAGGAGCCCCTTCGAAAATGGGAGCATCGCTTTCCCAGGGTTAAACAGTCACATTAGACTCGAGCCGCCAGGGTTGGGGTTTAATTTTGTCATTCCAAATGCTTGGAACGAAATGGGTCTGGAGAGGAAGAGAGGTTTTCACCCGGCCTCCTCCTAATGGGCGCGCCGTCCGCACTCGCGCCTGCCGCGCCTATCCTTGCTGGAAAAGTCCCTGCCACCACTCTAAAGGGCAGCAAAGGGGTCCCAGGCCTGGCTAATTCCAGCTCAGTCGGACCTCTGGGCTACCTGAGATAATAAGCTCCGAAAACGGGCGCGAACCTCTGGGCGGATGGACTGCAAGGGCCAAGGCGCAGGAACCTCTATTGCAGCGCACCGGGGAGAGAGAGGCGGTCCCTCCCTTGTCCCCTTCTGGGCTACGACCTTTACCCACCGCTGCGGGACGCAGTAAGCGCAAAGCCGGCTACCCGCGAAGGGCCGGCCGCCCTGTCCACATCTACCTCCACCGGCGAGTCCCCCAAAACCCAGAGCACGCCCGGGATTCCCGGGCGAGTGCCCAGGATCGTGAGCCGCCCATGGGTGCGCAGCAAACGCTCATTTAAAGAATTCATCGTCTGTTCCCCGGGCCACCCAGGCCGGCATCTGCCCGCGGGGCGGAGGAGCCCTGCCCCGGTCGTAGCGAGGTCATGTGGGTCGCGCTCCCAGACCCTAGGACGCCACTCCTGCTCAGCCCTGCGTAGCCCCGCCTAGCTCTGGTTTTCCACGAGCCCGGACCTCGGCCAAGAGAGGAAATAAACTTGAGTTAGGTCCTGCTTCTTCTCAGTCCCGACTTTACGACTTCCCGGGACACTGCGGACTGCTCAATGCAGACCTTTGCCCCTCACCTGCTGCACCTGCGTGCTCCGTGTCCGGCTTTAACAGTTAATTCCGCATGCGGAGCGCACTGGGACAGCGGCTTTCCAAGCTTCCCTCCGTGCTAACGGCCCTCTCAGATAACAAGGCCCTGGAAAGGAGGAGGCCGGAGCCCTCTCGCCCCTTGGGAGTCCTCAGCCATCCGCTGTCCCAAGCGGGGCGCTGCCGCGCTTACCCGGGTTTCTCCAAACTCCCTTCTTTGTGGTACACAGCTCTGGCCAGGGGCTGGAACGGGATCCTAGCAGTTAGGACATCGGAACCCCCAACCCATCAGGCCCGAATCGGCCGGCGGGGACAGCTGACCTCATCTGTAAAAATTGTCTCCTGCCTGAGAATATATTCTCGCGACGCAGGGAGGGAGGTCTATGGTGCCTACAGCTGCTATATCGGAATGTTCGGAATATGATAGAATCTCAATCTATTATATATATATATATATATATATATATATATATATATATATATATATATATAATTTGTGTGTGTTGTGTGTGTCTGTTTCTCGCACTAGGAGACAAGGCAGGAATGGAAAGAAGAGCGAACAGCACCAGCGTTTGAGTGAACTCCTGTCTTGGACAGTGAATCCATCTCACCCCCTTAAGAAATGTCCTGCAAGAAGGACAGTCAACAACCCCGGGGACTCGGATCTGCAACTCGACCTGCGCTGGGACATTACCCCACGCACCCCGGAGGAGCCCCAGGAGAGGAAGTCCCAGGGAAAACCTTTACCCCGACCCTACCAAACACAAAATAAAATACCTTTTTCCTACAGCTTCGGGGTTCGCCAGAGCTTGCCGGAAGCATTTTAGGAGACAAGGAGGGGGACAGAGACCCCCAGGCCTGCATTCCAATTACCACCCCCAGCGGAGACCCCGCGGGGCTCCTCCTTCTCCCGTGCGGGCTGCCCTCTCTCCCGCCAGCGATCCGGGCGGCGGGCTTCCGTCGTCCTTTCCCTCGGTGCCTGGGGAGACTACATGGCAGATGGGTCAAAACCGAGGCGGATAAAACGCCCCACCTTCCTATATGCCTCGCTCTTTTCCGCGTCTCCTCAGAGGGCATGGCCGGCCAGCAGGGCCCCGACGCGTGGAGGGACTGCTGAGGTCCGCGGGGAGAGTTTTGGAGGCGGCTCGGAAGGCTCTCGCCGTACCCGTACCCAACACGGCCCCGGGTCAGGCGCTGTGAGGATTCGGATCTCGACGTCCCTACAGCCCGGAGGGAGGTGGCGGGGACGAGCTGTCGGTGCGGGCCGTAGGGACAGCTGTAGGGCTGTCGGAGCGACGAGGCCCGCACCGGGGGCCGCGCGACCAAGGCGCGGTAAAAAACCAGGAGGGCTACGGCGCGAACTGCTAAGTCCGCACGGGAGCCTGCGGGGGCGGGAGGCCGGGACAGAGTGGCGAGGAAGAGGCCAAGTCTGGAGCAAGACCAGAGATGAGAGAGAAATTATTACATCATTTGGAAACGTTTTCCTAAAGGGTATGCCCCTCACCCATCCCCAAATAAGCAAAGGAATAGTCCAGCTGCCGCCGAAATAAGCTGGATTTAAATCACTTCTTCTAAAATGCCCCTAGAGGGGAGGGCACTAGAGGCACCGAGCTTGGGGACACCTAGACCTGCGTCCCCAAGTGCTCCATTCGTGGTGACTCCATGTGATGAAGAGGCAAACATGTCTGTGTTGAGAGGGAAACCCTTCTAGTTGGCGACTGGAGGGACCCCTGTGGGAGAGCGTTTCTTTTGTCTCCCCTCCTCTAGGGTTTAAGAGCCTACTGTCCCGGAAGGCCCAAGGGTGTGCCCCACAACCCCTCGAGCTTCCCCCCTTCTTAGGCCACTGGGCCCAGTCCCAAGAAAACTAATAGTTGTGTATATGTGGGTGATGGGGACCTATCCCGCGGTCCCAGCACCAACAGCCTAACAGCCAGAGGCCAGATGTGCTGCAAGGGAGGCTACAATCCATTCACATTCCAAGAGGAAATAAAAGCTGGATCCAGAAGTCTTCAGGGAGTGGGCCCCTCAATTTTGGCCGATGCCTCCTCCAACCAAGGTCACGAAACTCGGACAAAGGGAGGACTGACCACCCCCTCTAGATTAGACATTGCCTCCCTGGGCCACCCTGGGGGGGTGGGTGTGGAAGTTCCTTTGTACACCTCAAGTTTTCCACAGTGTGAACCTAGACTCAGCCTTGGCAAACTGTAGCTCTGAAGGTGAGTTCTGGGCATTTTAGCAAAGCGACTCCCTGACGTCGAACATCAAAGTTGTCTCTGAACAGGGAAGGCAAAAAGTGAGACAATCAGAGTGTCACTCATCACAAGAAAGGCCGTCAGAGCAGAGACCATCGTCCTTCATTGGGGTCCCAACAGACAGGTCACCTACGGACCACAGCCATGAAAGCACAGACGTACTGGGTACCAAGGACACTAGTAACACACACACACCCTTCCCCCACTCATGCAGTCTCCTCACTCGCGCAGAGCTACAAGCAGCTTAAGGACTCGGTGCACCTTTGCAGGGTTTCTGTTTCCGTCTTTGCAGGGGCTGAGAACCCACTCTGTCCCTGCCTGTGTGCGGGGTGTGGGGCGTAGTGAATCTCCAATGCCTTCTATGAAAACATCTTAGCGGTAAACTCCCCAAGGCTCAACACAGACGTGGAACTGATTGCCGGCAGTTGACACGAAAACACTCAAAGAATAACTGTAGAATACAGCCAAGAAACAATCTAAATAGGCTTGGATGAAGCTATTCTTTTCTAGTCCCTTCTCAAAAACTTCCCAGGGAAGCCTACGGTACGCCTGCCCTCCGAAGGATCGCCGGACAGAAACCCTGCCATGGAAACCCGAGGCGCAGGAGGGCGCGCTCGTGCGCCCTAGTTTGTAGGTAGTCACCATCCCTGGATGAGCCGGCCCTTACTTAAAGTAAACCCCGAAGATGTAGCTACCGCACCACTAAAGAAGTCGCAGGCGGAAGTACAACCCCTTGGCAAGCGGAGCGAGGAACTCCTTGGTCTCTCCAGGGTGCCCGGGGCGCCCTGCTGAGCGTGCAAGCCACAGGGGCAGGACTCTCCCGGCGCTTGTCGCGCGCGCGCGCGCGCGCGCGCGACGACTGGGCACCTGTTCTGGCCTCTGCACAGATTCCCTCTCGGGGACTCTCGCTCAGGAGTGAAGCACAGAGACGGATTCCCTTCGGGAAAATCTCTGCGCGCGCACACCCATACACACAGAGAGAGACTTGGGGATAAACACGCCGCGAGCTCCGGCTGTCTCGCTAATTTCGGGCGCGGGAAGAAAGCGGGCGGGCAGGCTAGCAAAGCTCCCACACACCCCCGTCTCTACCCCTCCAAACCCGAGCCACCCTGAGCACCTGCCCTCGCGTGCGCAAAGGCTGAACCCGGAATTCACAACTTGCGGTCGCTTCTCCCTCCCCTGCATTCCTAGGCTAGCTGGAATGCGCGAGCAGATTCCCTCACAAGGAGCAGTCAGTTTCCCGCGGCGCACGCGGCGGGCGCCGCGGGCAGTAGCGGCTGGGGACTCACCCGGCACGCACGCCCGGGGCGCGGGCCGCAGGGACTAAGAGTGTGGCCGGGGCTTCTCCGCCGCCAGCCCCAGGGGCGAGAGACGCGCTCTCCAACTTCCCGCCAGCTGGGGTGAAGTTGCACTAGCGGTCCTGCAAGCGCTGACCGTCACGCCGGCGAAAGAAGATTTGTGGGGACCACCCTCGCCCTCAGGCCTGGCCTACAGCTCGTACCCCTGGGTGTCCCCAAACAGCACTCTCCCCAGCGTTCCAAGAAAAGCCTTGGGCTGGAGATGCGGGGTTCGGTACTCGGCTCGCCTCAAGCATGATCCAGGAGGCGTTCACATTCGGCCCCAAACAGCCAAGAGCCTGGCCCCCTCAAACGCACTCTGGCTGGTGCCCCTGCCCTGTGACCGCCTCTGCGCCCCGGCCGCCAGCCCCTCCCGGCCCCTGAGCGGCGTCCGGCCCGCCCCGCAGCGGCTGAGGCTGCTAGCTGTCTTGTTAGAATTAAATCAGCGAGAAAGGGGGGTGTCTTACGTTGCATCGGCACACCTAGCATCTCCGGGAGCCCCTTGACAGCCCCTTCCGCGGGGACAGTCGCACTCTGCATCATCTCGGAGCGAAAGCCAGCGAGTCGCAGTCTACGGAGATCTCTCGCTCTCTCGCTCTAGCTCGATTCAGAAATTTCAAAATAATAATTAAAACCCCAAGCAGGCCGCTGGAGTCACGGTGGAAGCCGGGCCCTCCGCTTCTCAGGGAGGACTCCACAGGCTGGCCGGCCCCCTCCCCCCGCCAGTCCCCAGTCTGTTTCCAGTCCCTTTGATCTCGCTCTCCGGGGTTGGTGCACATCCCAGGTTGAGACGCTGTTGCTGCAGCTCTGGCTTTTTTCCTCTTCCCTCCCCCGCCCGCTCCTTCCCCCTCCCCCTCCACCCTTCGCGTGCCGGCCGCCCGGGAGGCCGCGGTCACCCGGGCGTTTTGATTCATTCACACTGCAGGAGCGGCCGTGACGTCGCTTTCCGCAGGGAGGCCCGCCCTTCGGCACATCCCCCAACCCGGCGGCGGGCAGCCGACCCCGGAGGGAGTGGGGGTCCCGGCGCCCCGAGTGAGGCCGGCGGGGCGGAGGGGGGCGGGGCGGCAGGGAGCGGGGCGGGGCCTCGCAAGCCGGCACCCCCCCCCCCTCCCCGCCTCCGCCTCCGCCTCCGCCCAGCCGTGGCGGGCTCGCGCCCTGGGTATAAATTCTGCTGATGGCCTGCCGCGGCAGCAGGTGGTCGGAGACGGCGGCGCCCTGGGTTTGCGGGTCTTCGTGGGTTCCAAGCCCGCGCGGCTCGTGTCCTCCTCACTCCTCCGTTCGGACCCAGGGGCGGGGCGGAGCCGAGCCGGGGCCGAGCGGGGCAGGCGGTCCGGAGGCCGGGGACGGGGCTGCGTCGCTGTGTCTTCGCCTTGCGCGCTCTCGGTCCCCGGCTTCGCTCCGCCGGACGGAGCGCGCTCCGTAACCGATGACTCCATCTATCTTCCTCCTCCTCTTTCCCCTGGCCAATTCCTTTCCTGCCGGCACTTCCCAGCCCCTGCTCTCTCTCCCCCGCGTCTGGCTGAGGCTGGGCCAAGGGACAGCCCGTACTCGGCCCGGAACGCGCGAGTCACGCGGCGGGCGGCGCCGGCCCGGGCTGGGGAAGGGGACCAGGGGCTGTGCGCGGAGGTGGCGGGACGCAGGCCCCCCGCGCGCGTCCCCGCAGACCGCGGCCTGCAGCCGGAGTCCGCACTTGCCTCCAGTTCCGCAGGGTAGGGGGCCCAAACCTCCCCGCGGCGGGGCCTCCCCGGCCGCCCTGCCACCAGTCGTCCAGCTCGGCCCTGTCTTAGGTCCCTAGAGCCCGCTCTGCCTCTCCGGCTGCCACCGCGGGTGCTTTGAACCATCCGCGACCTCGTGCGTGCAGGGCGGCAGTGAGCACACGGACGCCGGGGTTAACCAGCGAAAGGGCTTGCCATGCTTACTGTATTTACGAGATGCATGGACAGGTAGAGAAACGCTTAAAACAAATTCTCCTCAACGCGAGTTTCTGGCAGAAATACAACAGAAGGCCCAACGCTGGGACGAGGTCTCCTCTGACGCTCCATCAGGCGCTCGACGCCTCCGGGCTGCAGGCGCGGGAAGCCCACCCCGTCTGCCCCAAGACCCAGCCGCTCTCCTGCCCCCAGCCCCCACGGCATTTCCTTCCAGAAATGCAGACATACGTGTCCTTCCAGCCTAGTGGGGTTCAGCTTAGGCGGGAAGGGGGACTGTGTGCCCTCCCCAGCCTTCCAGAACCTTCCCTGCTGTTTCCCCTGGTGTCATCTCCAAACAAGGGACACCTGCTCACCTTTAAGGGAGGAGCATGGGGCGGGGGAGAATGGCCTGGTCGTCTGCGCTGCTTAGAATTTGTCTCCAATGAGGTCACAGTGACTTTTGTGTGTCCTGGTACTGGGTTGGCATCATCTCTTCCCTTGTTTACCTGCGAGGTGACTCCGCGCGCGAGACAATATACACAAGAAGAAAAAAGCAAAAGAACCCAGTGACATTTTTAGTGTTTACCAAAATGTGTTCTATAGAAATATAACTAGTAAGCAAACACGGGGAAACGCCAGCCTCATTTGCAGTGAAAAACACGCAAGACAAAACAACACGTGCACAGCTTTTTCTGTTTGTGAGATGCCCGACGCGCGGGAGGGGCATCCTAGAGTTCAGGACTGGCGAAAGGGGCTTGGACACTCACCAATACTGCTGGGTGCTTATAAACTCTTAACATCCGTTTGGAAAGAAATTTGGCAATATGTATCAAACTCATAAATTTTTCATACCCTTTAGTTTATGTAGTACTTTTGAATGTCTGTTCCACGGAAATAATCTAGAATTTTTTATAAAAGTTTCATGCGTGAAAATGTTTATTACAGTATTATGTTTTGGAGAAAAATAACCTAAATAGCCAACAAAAGAAAAGTGGCTTAGGGAAGTAGATTAAATTGTTTGGTAGTATGTTATGGAATCATGGAAACCAATTATGAAACCCAATAACATGGGGATGCTTGTGAAATACTATTTTTTTTAAAAGCACAATGCAATAGCATAGGATTATAAATATGTAAAAATCTTAGTCAAATGTAAGGGCAATGATAATACCCATTGTTGGTTAGGCTGTGGGGAAATTAGAAAACAATTTCCTAGTGGGGATTGCAAAGAGGGGAAATGTCTTCTCAGGACGTTTTGGCTACAAATGTGATGCATTTGACCCAATCTCTATAGAAATTTATCCAAAGAAAATAATCAAGAATGTTTGTGAAGATGTAGTTACAAGGATGTTTATAAGGTTTTTAAAAGGGAAAACCTAAATATCCAACAATAGGGGATAGTAAATAAGTTACAGTAAATTATTAAGTAAAATGGAATGTTATGAAGTCTTAGAAATAATACAACAGAAGAATATTTAATGTAGAAAAGGGTTTGAGATTTATTAGGAAATGTGAAAAAAGAATATGAAGCGGTATGAACTTCAGGAACTTTTCTTAAAAAAAGCATAAACACTGTACACTTAAAAATGGTAAAGATGGTAAATTATATGTATATTTTACCTCAATAAAAAATTGTTTAGGAGGAGTAAAAAAAATGCCAAAGTGTAAAAGTGGTTATCTGTGCAGTGGATATTTTATTTTATTCTCTTCGCTTTTTTCAGTTTTCTCAATGAGCACATTATTTTATAAAGCAGAAAAAAACTAATAAAATGCTTTTTAAAATATTAGGGAAAAGGTAAGGAAAGATACCAAAATACTATTCAAAAGAATATTTGGAAAAAGGTATATTAGGGAGATGTATTATGGAATTTTTTCCTTTTTCTCTTTTCCAGATTTTCTGTAAAGTGATTATTTTTCAGTAACATTAGTAAAAGATAACATTCAAATGCAGTGAATGTAAAGCATATATAGTAATTACTTTTATAATTTAAAATTATATTTTAAAAATGCTCTCTGCAGCTCCTGCTTCTCTGATTTGAACCTGCTGGGGTCCTGCCCTTTTCCCATTGCATGTCACTAGCCTGTCAGTAGGTGAGGAACAGCCTTACTGTGGTGGGGACTTATCTCTGCCCAAGACTGATTCAGGGGATACCACTTTCACCTGTGTCGTTTGGCAGACAAGCCCAGGAAAGTCAGCTTAGCTCTCAGTTCTTGCACCTGTAAGCAGCAGCTCCAACATACCTTGCACCCCCATGCCCACACACACAGTGCAGCTCAGCCAATAAATGCCCTTTCCACATTCTGAGGCTTTTTTTTCTTTCTTTCTTTTTTTTTTTTTTTGAGACGGAGTCTCGCTCTGTCGCCCAAGCTGGAGTGCAGTGGCGTGATCTCAGCCCACTGCAAGCTCCACCTCCTCCCGGGTTCACGCTATTCTGCCTCAGCCTCCCGAGCAGCTGGGATTACAGGTGCGCACCACCACGCCCAGCTAATTACTGTATTTTTAGTGGAGACGGGGGTCTCAGCATGTTGGCCAGGTTGGTCCCAATCTCTTGACCTCGTGATCCACCCGCCTCAGCCTCCCAAAGTGCTGGTATTATAGGCGTGAGCCACCACGCCCGGCCATTCTGAGGCTTTTCTAAAAGCATTCGCCTCTTGTATGAGCTGGGTCCCATTCCCAAGGTCCTCCAATAGCATCTATACCAGCCAAGACGCTTCACTTCCCCTGGGACCTCAGCTTTCCCATCTGCAAATGAGGAACCCCTAGCAAAAAGCTTTCCTTAAACAGATTTTAGTGCCTACTGCTGTTGATGGTAATAATAATAATAATAACAACATAGTAGCATATGGTAGTAATAATAACTAATATTTATTGAAAGTTTGCAACTGTACTAGGCACCAAGGCAAGTGCTTCTACCTGCATAATTCTACCTATTCTTCATGAGGAACTGATGCATGGTTTCATCATACCTACTTGGTGGATGAAAAAACCGAGGCTAGCAGGGGCTAAGCTGTTTTCTACCCCCAGAGAATGGGAGAATGGCTGAATCCCACAGAAGTCCATTAATCTCTACTATGGAATGGCCCAGAAAGACCCTTGGGGTGGGACTCAGTTTGGATTAAAATCCCTGAGCTGACTCAGCAGGGCTTTTCTCACTACAATGCACCCAGGGCTGGCAGGTGACCTCCCAGGAATGTTCCTCAGAGCCAGCCATGTCCCTTTGGGCCAGGACCTGGTTGGAGGTTGAGCACTAGAGGATGGGCCTGTGGTGGGGTGATGTGGCTTTCTTCAGGTCTAAGTTCTGTCAGAGAACTTGAACAATAGCCAGTACAAAGTATCCAGTACTTGCTAGACATTTATACATTCCATTTCTGGAAACCAAACCCAACATGTCAGGGGATCCAATTCAGAGGCAAGACACTCAATTTAGGAAAATGATTATAGCTTACATTTATCTAGCATTTTACATTTTACAAAGTTCCTCCACATATTTTATCTCCTATTATCTTCATAATTATGCCCGGGCTTGGGTATGATTATCAGGAAACAGAGAGGTTAAGTGGTTTGCCCAAGGTCACACAGCTAATAAATTGCAGTGCCAACTGGAAATTAAATCCAGTCTTTTAAGTCTCAACCTGGTGTTCTTTCCACTCGGCACAGCAGTCTAGTGTGTCTTCTAACCCTTCCATTTTAAGAGCTTCACAGAGTAGGCAAGTTCACTCTCAGATGCCAGGAATCCTGAACCCCAGGCTCTTTCTCCACTGAGGGACGAATCTCACTGCCCCTGCTCCCCTCCCTGTCATCCCAGCTCTAATCATCTCCTCCTCATCCTCATTCCTCTCAAGGCCCCTTTCATTATTTGCATTTTGAAACTGTTTCCTTAATTATTCTCCTGCTGTTGGAAACCTGCTCTCCCGGGGCTCTGTGGCATCCTTTGATTTATCTCTGTCTGGATAACAGCTCCCCGATTCTCCTTGGGGAATTCAATTTTCATTCATTTTTCTGCTGGGCTAGATTGATATAGACCCTCTGCCCCGGTCCGTATTACTCATCCCCGCAGAGAGAACCAGGGAGACCAACCCTAAGCCCAGCCCCTGGGGAGCCACTGTCTTGTTCAGGGAGCCACAAGGAGTTCTCCAATAAAAGGACAGGGGCCTTTGCTCTTCTCCATCTGTCCACCCAGTCCTTCCAGTCATTTGTCACAGGGCCTTTCATGGGCCCACCACTTTGTCATTTGTCTCATTCTCTTCCCAGAACCTTGCAGGGATCTCTCCCCACCAGGATGCTGATCAGAAGGCCGTCACTACTCATCTTAAACCTGCCCTGTGTCCTTGACACAGGAATTTAAGGGATATGGGAAAGAGATGGTCCTGTACTTGGCCATCTAACTCTCAAGATAAGATTCTGTCTCAGTTAGTGGCTAAGAAACAGGACAAGAAAAGGGCACTGGGATCCTTAGAGGAAGACGGAAAGCAACAATGGCTCACACTTACATTGCCAGCCCTGTTCTAATGCTGCATGTATATTCCTCATGAAACCCCCACAGATCCTTAGAGGCAGGTACTATCATTATCCCTATTCTACAGATGAGGAAAATGAGGCACAGAGAGGTCAAGTGATGTGCCCAAGGTTGCACAGGTGGTAAGCAGCAGAGCTAGGATATGGTCACAGGTAGTTTGGCTCTATCCTTGCAGCATCACCAGCATCATCAAATAATCCTTATTTAAGGGTTCCTGGGCATGGCCAGGTGAGGGGTCCATGCAGAGTACATGACCCAGCAAGGCCAAGTCCTCTAAGCCCATCTCTGAAGCTATCACATCCCATGGCTGTGTGTATGGGGGAGCTGGGGAGTTTAGTCTTGTTCCAATTTCAGAGTTAATTCTCTTTATCTCTCAAAAGTCTATAGTACTGGCTGGGCATGGTGGCTCATGTCTGTAATCCCAGCACTTTGGGAGGCCAAGGCAGGCAGATCACCTGAGGACAGGAGTTTGAGACCAGCCTGGCCAACATGGTGAAACCCTGTCTCTACTAAAAATACAAAAATTAGCCAGGCACAGTGGCAGGTGCGTGTAATCCCGGCTACCAAGGAGGCTGAGGCAGGAGAATTGCTTGAACCCGGGAAGTAGAGGTAGCAGTGAGCCGAGATCACGCCACTGCACTCCAGCCTGGGCGACAGAGTGAGACCCTGTCTCAAAAGAAAAAAAAAAAAAAGTCTACCTAGATCATTCCTTAATTCGTGCATTCATCGGGCATCTATTGTATGCCAGCTCCATGACAGGCCCTGGAAGGCAATGACCTGGAGTGCCAAGTGCAGACAGTTCACAGCTTACTTTGCTCCAGGACTGGCAACATTCCCATAAAATTATGTCAGCAAAGTTCTCCAGATGCCTGTCTTCCTTGTGTTGGGAAGGGGTTGGAGAACTGGGTTAGTAAATGTTTGGGTTCTGGGCTTAGATGACGTGCATTCAAATCCCAACTTGGATACATTCTGGCAAGTTCCTTTTCTGCTGTCCCTAAAGTCACATAGCTAATAAATTGTAGTGCCAACTGGAAATTAAATCCAGTCTTTTGACTAAATGGGGTTAACAACAGCACTCTACTCACAGATTGTTACCCACCGCACCTAGTAAGCATCATGATTATACCCTCTGCAATATTTTGCTTTTTTTTTTCTTTTCCTTATTTTACATTTATAGGGGAAACCAAGGGACAAGAAACTCTCCTGGGTGTTCTTAAGTGAAGACTAGACTTTGGGAGCTCTTCTTTCCTAAGCATGCATTTGGGATAGAGAGAGCCCCATGGCCATGGACTGTTCTTGGTTTTCCCCTTTTTGCAGGTGGAGGAAACCTGCTCTTTCAATTCTGCCACAAGCTGAGGTCAATGTGCCAGAATTGCTTCTTGGGTGAAATTTTAGCTATCTTGTGAAAAGCTCCACTCCGTCATGGCAACAGACACCTTGCTTATACGAAGCAAAGGGGACAGGAAGGTATAGCTGGGCTGATTCTGTATTTTTCCTTCGGAAGCTGTTCTGCCCACACTGCCTTGCACCTATGTTCTCTTCGTTTTTGTTTGTTTTCTGATTTGACTTAATCTCCAAATTTATGTAAAGAAGGAGCTTAGATTCCAGATGCTGCACAACTGCCACCTTCCCCGCTTCCCCCTTTCCTCATCTTCCCTCCAGGATTCAGCGGCATCTCAAATCCAAGAATGGTCTTAGTGACCAACATTTTTTATAGTGCTTGACAGTTTACTAGGTGCCTTTCCATACCCCATCTCACCGAAGCCTCACAAGCCTCACCGAAGCAGGTAGATCACGTCATACTCCAACCACTTTCTAGATGAGGAAACCAAAGCACAGAAAGGTCGTGCTGTCTGGGCTTGACCTAGGGCTCTGTCTCAGAGCTTCTAACCAGATGATCCATTTCTCAGCTCTTGAAGAGGACGCTAGAAATGGTAAGGAGAAGGGGTGGAAAGCCCAGCCTGGCTCCATTTTAAATAGCTGCAGGTGTCAAAGCTAATCTATAAAACAATCCCGTCATTGTCTTGGCGAAAGATTTTTACTAGAGGAGTCTAATTCAACAGTTTCCCTTCAGGAACTGACTTATAACCAAAACATGTAAATGTGTTCGATGTGGGCAGAGGAAACAGGAGGAAGGCCCAGGAGGTGTGTGTGAGGACAGGCTGTGAGGCAGGGGCCAGACTCCCGATTCTGGAACCCGACAGACTTCAGTGTGGGTTCCAGCCATGCTGCCTGCTGGGTGTGACCCCGTGTGAGCTTCCATTTACTTATTTGTGTAATGGGATAGTGACAATTCCTACCTAATACCATTGGCAAAGGAGGAATAAAGCCTTTAGCACAAGGCCTGGTGCAAGCAAGCCCCCATAATTGTGATGCTGTTTATTGTCCAAGAACAGGGGGTTCCCTGCTTGGCCTCTTCTCACTTCTCACATCCTGGCTCACTATGAAGAGCTTGCCACTGGTCACCAAAACTTTCTACTTGAAAACACTGACCTGCAGAAAAGGGACCAGGTCACTAGAACTGTGGCCACTTTTGGTGGTCAAGGAGGAAATATTGAGAGCTTTGGGGGGGCAAAGGATTTCCCCCCAGACCTCACCTGAGGAGGTACTCTGCAGAGAACATAAAACCTGGCTCTAATCTACATCTGAGTTTTATGTCTGTGGGAAGTTAAACCCCGGGAGCCTCTGTTTTCCCATGCTTAAATGGGGGTGATACTCCCATAATTATCCTGAGAAGAGGCTGTTGGGGATCAGGAGATCCCACAGGCAAAGCTCCTAAGGCAAATGCTCCACGAATATTCCTTCTACTACCGGGCCTTTCACTGAGCTCCTCAGACTTTCCCATGCATATCATCACCGGGTGCTGTTCAAATGCAGGCTCTGACGCCATATGTCTGGGCCTAGGATTCTGCATTTCTAAGGAGTTTCCCAGGGATGCTGATGCTGCTGGCCTCTGGACCTCAGGGTATGTGGGGACGCTCCAGTACTCCGCTGCCCAGAAAGCAGCTGCTAGCCACATGTGGCTGCTGACCACTGGAATGTGGCTGTGAGAACTGAGATGGGCTGTAAATTGAATCATGTACTAGATTTTGAAGGCTTAATACAAAGAAAAGGATGTAAAATATTTCATTAAGATATTTTAAAATTATATTATATGTAGAAATAATAATTTAAATATATTGGGTTAATCTATTGTTCACATTAATTTCATTTGTTTCTTATTTGAGCGTGGCTACTAGAATATTTAAAATTACATAAGTGGTGGCCGGGCGTGGTGGCTCACGCCTGTAATCCCAGCACTTTGGAAGGCCGAGGCGGGCGGATCACGAGGTCAGGAGATCGAGACCATCCTGGCTAACACGGTGAAAACTCCTTCTCTACTAAAAAAAAATACAAAAAATTAGCCAGGCATGGTAGTGGACGCCTGTAGTCCCAGCTACTCGGGAGGCTGAGGCGGGAGAATGGCGTGAACCCAGGAGGTGGAGCTTGCAGTGAGCCAAGATCACGCCACTGCACTCCAGCCTGGGCGACTGAGCGAGACTGTCTCAGATAAATAAATAAATAAATAAAAATTACATAAGTGGCTGACATTATATTTCCATTGCACAGCGCTGTTCTAGGGTGCTCTGACTTGTATGGTACTTTAAAAAAAATGGATTCGGGGGTACCTGTGTGAGTTTGTTATATGGGTGTGTTGTGTAATGCTGGGGTTTGGGCTTCTAGTGAACCCATCACCCAAATAGTGAACGTCATACCCAGTAGGTAGTTTTTCACACAGTTGTGTCCTCCCTCCTACCGCCTTTTGGAGTCCCACTCAGGTGTATGGTACTGTCCACACACACACGCACTCATACACAGAGCAGTCCCCTTTCCTCCTATCCCCTAGCACGGTTCCTGGTACCAAGTAAGGGCCTAATAAGCACTGCCAGGTGGAGGAACGGAAGGCTGCCCACAGATGGAGCCACATGAGCAATGGGCCCACCTCACACTGAGGAGGAGATGTCAGCTGCACAGGTGGGAGCTGAGCAGGTGGCTGTGCCTGAAGAATGACAATCTCCCCCTTGCAGTTGACCCTGACCTGCCACCCACCCATTCTTTGTCATCCTCCTCCCCATACTCTGCTTTTTCCAAGACTCTGGTGGCAAAGAAAAAGGAATTCCAGTGCTCCCTCCCCAGGTTTTGCCAGATAAGAGGACAGGGCTAGAGAGGGATGGGTCACGGGATTGCCTGAAGTCCTGGAACACTGCATCCCACAGGCTTCCTGCTAAACGGGAAAGCCACCCAGGATGACTCCATGGGCCCCAGTCCTTTTCTCTGCTCCCCTCCTACAGTTCACATCACCTCCTCGGCTTCTCTTTGGGGTCCTCGCCCCACCTCTGCCTAGGGTAAACTCATGGCCATGGGGCACAGGCCAGACATGAACCTGCACAGCCCTCCCTAAGCCTCTGTTACCTGGGAGAAGAAGCCCCAAGCAGCCCAGAGGAGTTTCACAGAAAGAGCTGGAGCGCCGCATCTGAAGATGCACCACCTCCCACCCAGAAAGAACGTGCACCCCGAGCCTGGACCTCCATGGCGGCCCTGCCTCCCACCCAGAAAGAACGTGCACCCCGAGCCTGGACCCCCACAGTAGCCCACTCCCAGTGACCAGGTCAGGTTTCAGGGCCTGTGATCTGAGGTCTGGGGTGGGGGTCATCTGGAGGGAAATCCAGCCCCGGGAGAGGCACTGGTGAGCCAGGAGGAGGCCCAGGGTGCTCGAGAGCTGGGCTGCACCCCAAACTGCAGGGCTCTGAGTGGATCTCTGCCCCTCCACAGAGGCCCCTGCTTGTGTGTCCACGTCGCCCACCCCTCCTTCTGACTAGTCCCCCTCAGTAAGCGCAGGGCACTAAGCAGGACAAAGAGAATTCTCGAAGCATGTGCACTTACCAGAGGTCAGGGGAAGAATCTGCCTTCACGGTGAGGGTTTGGAGGAGGAACAGCCTGGGAGCAGAGATCCTGGCAGGGCCCAGGGCTCTAGAGAAATCAGGGCGTTTGTAAGTGGAGGTAGCCTCCCTGTGGGGAGGAACCTGGAGAAGGGGTGCCCTGGGTGGGCCAGGGCGTTCCCCAGGAGGAGGCCAAACCTGAGGGAGCGCACAGAGCCCCGAGGATGCCCCGCTCCTCTTTTCTCTAAGAGAAGGTGCTCTGCTCCCCCTCGGAAGCTGGGGAAATGAGGGTCTGCCTAGGGGGAGGGTAGCAGAGGGGCTGGAGACCGCCTCAGAGAAAATTAAATTGCACTTGAGGGCAAATTCTATTAGGGAATAGAGCCTGTCTCTCAACAGCCTGCGTCCATTTAGGTGATTAGCTTGGCCCAACACTTCCACCCAGAGCCTGGTGAGCTCTGTCCCTCCGCTGGGGGAGCCAGGCCGGAGGTCCAGCTGACCCGCTCCCCTCTCAATCCCCGTCTCACCATTCACAGCCCCCAAGCTCTTTGACAGTGGCCCAGAGGGACAAGCATCTTGAGTCTCTTCTGGAGCACAGAGGGGGTGGGCAGCTTCATGGAACACATGGAGAAAAGGACAAGCAGCACCCCAGGGACAGAGACAGATTTACCCTGCTTCAGTCTGGAGCAGGGACAAGGGAGGTCAGAGGTCAGGTGGGGGAGAGCACTGGGCACTGGGGTAGTCAGGGGGCTGGACTTGAGGGGCTGGGAGGCAGGAAGGATGGGAACGGGTGGAGGAGACGACGGGGGAGCAAGAGGCCAGGAATACAAGTGAGGAGATGGACAAGAGAGAGAGTCTAAGTCAGCAGGGTTCGGACCCAGGGAGTAGGAACGGAGAAGACAAGTGGCTGGCGTCTGATGATGCCGTGTAATGGTAAACTAACGGAACATAATGGTAAATGGTCAAATAAATCCACCCGTGAGTGGGCATCATAAAAATAACATGCACCTTAGGCTACTGTGTTGCTTTAGCACACGTTCTAAGAGTTCAACAAATGTTGGCCAGGTGCAGTGGCTCACGCCTGTAATCCCAGCACTTTGGGAGGCCAAGGCTGGTGGATCAGTTCAGGCCAGGAGCTTGAGACCAGCCTGGCCAACAAGGCGAAACCCCGTCTCTACTAAAAATACAAAAATTAGCAGGGCGTGGTGATGCGCGCCTGGAGGCTGAGGCAGGAGAACCACTTGAACCTGGGAGGCCAAGGTTGCAGTGCGCCGAGATGGTGCCACTGCACTCCAGCCTGGGCAACAGAGAGATATTCTGTCTCAAAAACAAACAAACAAAAAACAAAATCAAAAAACCACAAATGTCAGGGCCATCGTGAGCTGTTGGCCGTATGTTCATACACTTCACACTGTCTCCACACTTTGGCAGAAGGGTCTAGATCTGAGGCCCTTCCAGGGCCCACTTGCCAATCCATTATTTCCTAGCACCAGTGGCACCACAGGCCCCTGATCCACAGGCCCGTCTCAGCCAGCTGGGCCCTCCTCTGGGGCCATCTGTCCATGAGAAGATGCTCCCTCCTGTCCTTCATGTTGATCAGTGAAAGAGTTTGCTTGATTTCCCTCAATTTCTGACTATAAAATTATTTCATTTGCTTAACAAAACATTATTATGCACACACAGTGTGTTCTGAGGAGAGCCAGTGCTGTTTCTAGAACATGGAGAAACATAAGCACAAGCAATTTAAAATGAGCTCTGAGCAGGAGCATGGATGGAGCTGGAGGCCATCATCCTACACAAACTAACTCAGGAACTAAATCAAATACCACGTGCTCTCACTTATAAGTGGGAGCTACATGATGAGAACACATGGACACACAGAGGGGAACAACACTGGGGTCTATCAGGAAATGGAGGGTGGCAGGCGGGAGAAGATCAGGAAAAATCACTGCTGGGTACTTAGGCTTAATACCTGGGTGACGCAGTAATCTATACAACGAACCCCTATGACACAAGTTTACTAATATAACAAACTTGCACATGGACTCCTGAGCTGAAAATAAAAGTTAAATAAAATGAGCTCTGAGAACACGTAGTGGTGTATAAAGCATTGTCTCTGACCGGTGGCATGAGTTATTCTAGTTTAGGGGACCCTCTCTCGCAGGCTCTCCTAAGGCCCACCATGTGCCCTGAATTCCAGGCCCAAGTGAGCTTCACCCTTAAACCAAAGTACTTATGTTGCTGGGGTGGTTGCACTCCCCCAAAGAGCAAGGGGGATCTGTGTTCTTTGGGGGAGCGAAGGGGAGGGGGTGCTCAGAAAGGGAAGACCCCTGAGGGAGGGAAAGAGAGTATGCAGATGTTCCCCAGCTGTGTTAGCTGCGCAGAGGGTTGTGGCCTGTTCTGCCGACACTCTCCAGCCCAGGGTCTCCCTTGAGGGGCGGCTCCTGACCAGAGATGGGTTCCAATGAGCCCCTCCCCAACCCCTGACGCTTGCCCAATTTCCAGGGCGCAGGCTTAGCATCTGAAGGCACGTGAGGAGTCCAGGAAGCTGGCTGGGGTTGCAGATGGCCTGGCACCCTCCCAGTGGAGGCTGTTCAAGTTTCTTTGGACACACCAAATAGCACTGACAACTGACAAGGCCCCTGTTTCCTGAGAACACTCTCTCCCCCAACCCCCGTGAGCATAGGGGTCAGTTCCCTCCTTGGGATTCCAGCCATCTTCATGACAACACCACCCCTGATAAAACATGCTCCCGTCCTTCATGGGGCTGGGGAACTTCCACCATGTCCCAGCCACCCACTCCTGGGGACCCTCTCCAGTGGCTTTTAGAAAGCATTTGAGAACCGCTGATTCACATTAGCTTCACTCTCCAAGGACAATCAGTGCCCCAGTGCTGGGTGGACGCTCCCCACCAGCTTGGAGACCTTGGGCAAGTTATTTAACCACACAGATGACTTCCTCGTAGGGAAACAGAGAGGGAGTCCCTGGCTGTCAGGGGCAGACATGAAATCACTGTGCCGAGACAGTGATTTGTTATACTAGTAAAAGGGTCCTCGGGCCCTTTTACTCCTCTCTACTGACAGCCAAGATGTGGTCTAGCGCACTGTTATATTTCCAGCTCGAAGTACAGCGCCTGGCGTATTATGACTTCTTAGTAAATATCTGTTACAAGATTGAAGTGAGTGAAAGAATTTCTAAGTGATCCAATCCACTGCTCAGGCCCAAGAATGGAAGAAACCTGAGCGCATCTTCCCTGGGTCAGCAGGGCTGCGGAGGTGGCATCCGCTCTCGGGAGCAGCTGAGCAGCCTGTGGTGGCTCTGTCGGGCCTCGTTAGACGACTGGGCCTGTTATTGGTGTGGGCAGCTGGCTAGATCCTCACAGTGCTGCTGCTGTCAAGGCCCCACTTACCCTTCATCTGTAATGGTTCCTGGCTTTTTATGTACTTCCTGCTCTTCCGCGGCACTCTACAGACTCTATTACATTTGCCACATGGTCTCCTGTGATGAACACTCGGGAAGAAAGGAAAAGCCTTCGAAAACGATCCAGAAACCGAGGCACCAGCCTTTGGCTTCAGCCACTGGTGGCTGGAATAACGCTGGAGTTCTGGCCTATGCACTTTCTATGTGATTCTCCGGGCCCAGGAGGCCTGTCCCGCTCTTGCTGCATTTCCAAGTCCTGGCCGTTCCTCCAGCCAGCTCAGGAATCAAGACTCATGCACCTCTTAGTATCACAGGATCATATCATCAGATTGGAAGGCATCTTAGAGGTCTTCAAGCCCAACTGCCCAACCCTTGCTGAATTATGTCTGCGGCATCCCTGGATGGCAGCCATCTGGCCTCCTCGTGAACATAGCAGGTCTCAGGGGCTGTCTGTTTTCAGAGACAGCCGGGACCATTGCTAGGCAGTTCTACAGCAGGACTACTTCTTCCCACAAAGTTTTGCCTTTGAATAAAGTAACTTGAAGGTTTGATTTTCCTGGGTTGTATGTGTGTGTGTTATTTAAGTGCTAATTTAGTTAGCACTTAAATTACTGTAAATCAGTACTTTCAAAATGACTTTAACATCTGGAGTTGCTTGTTTTTTCCACTATTTCTTTAACCCACAATAATAAGAGTAAGAGTTGATCTCCAAACTTCCACATTAGATCTTTGCTTTTTCAAAGTGGACAGCTGATTTTTAACTAAATTTAAAATTGTTTACTCTTTTCTTTTCTGAGACCAGGTCTTGTTCTGTTGCCCAGGCTGGAGTCCAGTAGTATAATCATGGCTCACTGGAGCCTCAACCAATCCTCCCACCCTCAGCCCCCTGAGTAGCTGGGACTATAGGCTTGCACCACCATGCCAGGCTGATTTTTGTATTTTTTGTACAGATGGGGTTTCACCGTCTTGCCCAGGCTGGTCTCAAACTCCTGGGCTCAAGGGATTCACCTGCCTCAGGCTCCCAAAGTGCTGGGATTACAGGCGTGAGTCACTGTGCCTGTCCCATTATTTTCTTAAAAAACAAAAATGAGAGGGTGTTTCCATAGTGTACTGGTTATCACATTCACCTAACACGCGAAAGGTCCTTGGTTTGAAACCAGGCAGAAACAAGCAGTTATTTTCCTTCTGGCTGGGCGCGGTGCCTCACGCCTGTAATCTCAGCACTTAAAAAAAAAATTGCTCTAAAACATTGGGTTGCCACTTACATGATCACACCCTTAAAGATTACACAATAGGCCGGGCGCGGTGGCTCACGCCTGTAATCCCAGCACTTTGGGAGGCAGAGGCGGGCGGATCATGAGGTCAGGAGATCGAGACCATCCTGGCTAACGCGGTGAAACCCCGCCTCTACTAAAAATACAAAAAATTAGCCGGGCGTGGTGGCGGGCGCCTGTGGTCCCGGCTACTCGGGAGGCTGAGGCAGGAGAATGGCGTGAACCCGGGAGGCGGAGCTTGCAGTGAGCCGAGGTCGCGCCACTGCACTCCAGCCTGGGCGACAGAGCGAGACTCCGTCTCAAAAAAAAAAAAAAAAAAAAAAAAAAGATTACACAATATTGGCCAGGCGCGGTGGCTCACTCCTGTAATCCCAGCACTTGGGGAGGTCGAGGCAGGCAGATCATGAGGTCAAGAGATAGAGACCATCGTGGCCAACATGGTGAAACCCTGTCTCAACTGAAAATACAAAAATTAGCTGGGTGTGGTGGCATGCGCCTGTAGTCCCAGCTACTTGGGAGGCTGAGGCAGGAGAATTGCTTGAACCTGGGAGGCGGAGGTTGCAGTAAGCTGAGATCACGCAGTGCACTGCACCCCAGCCTGGCGACAGAGTGAGACTCTGCCTCAAAAAAAAAAAGATTACACAACATTATGTGTGCAACACAGCATTCTCCCATATGGAGTAGGCCCTTGGTGTTTATACTGCTCAGAAGAGGCCATGGCACTGTGTTGCACAGGTGGCCCCAATGAACCACATCTCTGATATTTGAATGTTCTTGTGGAGTCCTTTTTTCTTGAGTCTGGACTGGACCTGTGATTTGCTTTAACCGACAGAAGGTACCAGAAGTAACACTGTGCCCATTCTGGGACTAAGTTTTAAGATGGCATGGCACTTTAGGGAGCTTTGAGCCCCCATCTGTGCAAGAAGTCCAACTACTTTACCAGAGAGACCTTGGGCCTTGTGGAGACACTATATGGCGGGGAGTGGGGAGAGAGACGGGGGTGGGGAGAGAAAGGCCCAGCTGTCTTGTGAGTTCAGCTAAGCCCAGCCTTCAGCCTGCCCGCCAGCTGAATGCAGCCACATTAATGACCCTGGCAAGACCTGCAGAAGAGCTGCCCAGCTGAAACTAGCCCAGACTGCAGAGTCATGAGCAAAGAAAATGAGTGTTGTTTGAAGCTAAGACATTTTGGGGTGGTTTGTCAGATAGCAGTAGAGAATTGAAATAGGCCAGAATACAATGCCGCATCAGATTAACCCTCAAATCTCAGTGGCATAACAAAAGTACAGTGTTTGGCAGGTGGCTCTAACATTTTATATCTAGAATGTGTGGTTTCCTTTGTGGCCAAGACAGACGAAGGGAAACTGGAGAGTTGAGCACCTTAGCCCGCTCTAAGTTACGGGCATCATTTCCTTTCCGGGAGGTGGCGCTCGCTTCCATCTCATTGGCTAGAATTAGTCACGTGACCCTGACTCCCGGCTGGAGCCTGAAAATCTGGGGAGCCGATGGACTGGCGGGAGCATGATTGCCTCTGCCAGTGTTCTTGGACTTAACATTCAAATGTTCAAATATGTGTGAGTGACTTGGAAATGCTCTGATAAGTAGGAGATAGTCGTTTTGCTGAAGTAGAAATTTTCCCTATTTTATTTTTCTTGCAGAAGTAATACACATGCTTTGCAAATAATTCAAACATCTAAGCGTCTATAGTAGCAAATGAATATCCCCCCACTACTGTAAAATTCTATTCTGCAGAAGTAACTACCAGTAGGAATTTGATGGATAATGTTTCAAGCTTTTCTTCTAAGTTCCTAACAGATAGGAATGCACATATAAACCAATATCTTTTTAATTCAAACACGTTTACTGTTTTCAGTAAATCCATACTGTTCATACTGTTTCAGTAATCCATACTGTTCTTTGGTTTGCTTTTATAGTTGAATAATCTATTATGGATGTTGTGTCATTTCAGTGCATATTTGGTTTTCTTTACCTTTTTTTTTTTTTTTTTGAGACAGAGTCTGGCTTTGTCACCCAGGCTAAAGTGCAGTGGCGCGATCTCGGCTCACTGCAACCTCTGTGTCCCGGGTTCAAGCAATTCTCTGCCTCAGCCTCCCGAGTAGCTGGGATTACAGGTGCCTGCCACCACGCCTGGCTAATTTTTTTGTATTTTTAGTAGAGATGGGGGTTTCACCATCTAGGCCAGGCTGGTCTTGAACTCCTGACCTTGTTATCCACTGGCCTTGGCCTCCCAAAGTGCTAGGATTACAGGCGTGAGCCACTGCGCCTGGCTGGTTTTCTTTGCTTTGCTTTTTTGTTTTTGAGCCAGGGTCTCACTCTGTCTCCCAGGCTGGAGTGCAGTGCAATCATGGCTCACTGCAGCCTTGAACTCCTGGGCTCAAATCATCCTCCCACCTCAGCCTCCTGAGTAGCTAGGAGTATAGGCATGCACCACCATTCCCAGCTAATTAAAAAATTTTTTGTGTGTGTGGAGATGGGGGTCTCGATATTTTACCCAGGCTGGTCTTAAACTCCTTGCCTCAAGCGATCCTACCACCTTAGCCTTCCAAAGTCCTGGGATTACAGGCATGAGCCACCATACCCTGCCATTTGTTTTTCAGTGGTTGTTGGATGTTCCACAATGTTACTATACAATAATTTTGTCACCTGTTGATGGGCAGACTATTTTTTGCTACTACAGATGCTGTCATGAACATTCTTGTACAAATATTTTTCCATACATATGCATATATTCCTACAGGTTAGATCCTGGAAATGGATTTCCTGGATAAGGGTAGGCACCTTTACCATTCTGAAAGATTACTGCCCAAAAGCAGCATATTCGGTAAACTCCAGAAGGGGTTTACCATGTACAAATCTAATGCTGTTTCTGAGAACCTAAATATCCTTTAAAAAATACTTTTTGGTATCTCTCCTCTTCCCAGGATGCTGAGTGAAACCAGATGAGAGGGAGTTTAGTCGGCCTGGGGCAGTTGAGTCGTAGCAAAATCAGGAAGTGTTTTACTTAGTGGTGGGAGTTGGAGGCTGTGTGTTCATTTGTCAGCCATTAACTGAGCAGCCAGGGTGACAGAGAGTTACAGGATGGTGAAGATGAGCTCCTGCCTTCCTGGAGTTCACAGTCTGACAGGGAAGGCCGACGAGTCGGCACACGACGTCAACAATGCGACAGGAACTGAAAGAGGGGACAGGGATGGTGCTCACTATGGCCTACCCACCAGAAGGAGAGCCTGGCTGCAGCGAGGGCGAGGTGCCCAGGGAAGGCTTCCAGAGGAGGTGGCATGTGAACCCAGGCAGGAGTTTGGTAGGGAAGAATTTGTGGTGGGGAGAAGAGCACATACAAAGGCCCAGGAGTGAGAGAGCCTGAGACTCAGGGGACCCACAGATCCTACAGTCCTGCCTGGGTTGAGGGGCGCTGGTGGGGCTGGGCAGAGGGGCAGCTGGAGAGGTAGGCAGTGGCAGAGCGCCCACAGCAAGGTCCTGCCACTATGCACGAGTTAGAAAAACTTGGTCCTGAAGCCTGGACTTCTTGGCCAGGACATCTTCCTAAAAAATACTTGAGGCGGTGCCCTCTCCTGCTGGAACACCCCAGTGGCCCGCTGCCCACAGGATCCAGCCCACTTCTAGGCTGTTCCTTCACTCCCACGTCCCACCTACTCACTCTTAGTCACTCCCCGGCTGTCCCCATCCCCACCACTCATGCTAACCTCCTGGCAAGCCCCCTGCTCTTCCTGCATGAGCCCCACACCCCCACCTCTCCCGCACCCCACCACCGAGAGGAGGAGGCAGCTGCTCAGGGCTCCCACAGCCCCTGGTTGCCTGTGTCTGTCCCCTCTCCTCTGGACTCCACACTCCCTGAGAGCAGAGGACCTCATCAATATTTGCTGTGAATGTTACCACGCCCGTCTTTCTTCTCCCTCAGGAGAAGCCCACCCAAAGCTCTCCTCTGGAGGGGGACAAAGTTTCAGGAACAGCACTTCTGTAGGAGACTTTCTCCCACGGTTGGAAGCATCTGGGACTGTGGCCTCCAGTAACAAGTTTTTAAAACATGTTCCAGACAGGCTCAGTGGCTCACATCTGTAATGTTCCAGCCGGTCTCGGTGGCTCACACCTATAACCCCAGCACTTTGGGAGGCCAAGATGGGAGCATCGCTTGAGCCCAGGAGTTTGAGACCAGCTTGGTCAAAATAGCAAGACCTCATCTCTACAAAAAAAATTTAAAAAAATTAGCTGGGCGTGGTGAAGAACATCTGTAGTCCCAGCTACTTAGGAGGCTGAGGTTGGAGGATCCCTTGAGCCCAGGAGTTTGAGGCTGCAGTGAGCCACGATCACACCCCTGCACTCCAGCCTGGGTGACAGAGTGAGACCCTATCTCAAGAAAACAAAAAAAAACACATCCAGACATTCTTTGACACCTCCCTCCCCTTAGCCCCCAACACACACACGTGGATTTGTTCTTTTCAGTCACAGGAACGAGACAATGGTGACAAGGAGTGTTGCTGGAGCCACAGGCTGAACACAGAAAGGAATTCTTTCACAGAGAAACAGAATCAGCCCCACTCTGTCCCTCAGGCCTGGGAGGTGGCAGCTTCCTTCAGGCTGGTAATCCACCATGAAGGCCACATTTCACACTTGTGCCCTGGGATAGGCCAGCAGGGAATTGTTTCTGGAGAGTGAAAATTGGAACTCATCAGGGTAATTTGTCTGTTTTACCACACACATTTCAGGGTTGGTGCTCAGCCTCTGTGCTGTGGCAGCCGTGACTGAAGCTAGTATCAGAGAGATGGAGGGCGGAACCTCTTTACTCTTGTTGGAGAGGCTTGGCCAGCTGACCACAAACCTGGCTGCAGGCCCTGGCATGTCATTCACCTGCAGTGTCATCTGGATTATTCATCTTAGTGCCTGGACCCTCCCTGATGGGAGATGGAGGGGAGAGAATCTCCTGCCAGGCCTACTGGACAGGCTTGTCCTGGGGTCTACAGGATGATGGTGGCAGCAGCTTTGGACACTGCAAATATCTTCTCCCAGAGAGGAGGATCACTTGAGACCAGGAGTTCAAGACCAGCCTGGGCAACATAGGGAGACTCCATCTCTACAAAAAAATGAAAAAACTTAGCTGGGTGGGGTCATCCATGACTGTAGTCCCAGCATCTTGGGACACTGAGGCAGGAGGATCGCTGGGGCCCAAGAGTTTCAGGCTGCAGGGAGCCAAGATCAGGCCACTGCACTCTAGCCTGGGCAGCAGAGTGAGACCTTGTCTTAAAAAAAAAAAAAATTCGGAATAAGATTGTTGAGTTCTATTTAAAAAAAATCCATGCGGACTTTTGATTGGTGTTACATTGGATTTTAGATTATTTGGAAAACTTTGATCTTTACAATCTCTAGCTGTCCATCCATATGCATAGAATCTCTGTTTAGTGAGCTCTTTATGTACTTTGTAAGAATGTCTTATCACTATGAGAGATCGCTGTTCATTTCTTCACCTGATTATAATCTGTCTCCTTGTATTAGTCCATTCTCATGCTGCTATGAAGAAATATCCGAGACTGGATAATTAATAAGGGAAAGAGGTTTAAATGACTCACCATTTCACATGGCTGGAGAGGCCTCAGGAAACTTACAATCATGGCAGAAGGCACCTCTTCACGGGGTGACAACAGACAGAACGAGTGCCGAGCAAAGGGGGAAGCCCCTTATAAAACCATCAGATCTCGTGAGAACTCACTCACTGTGATGAGAACAGCATGGGGGAAACCGCCTCCATGATTCAATTATCTCCACCTGGTCCTGCCCTTCATATGTGCAGATTATTACAATTCAAGGTGAGATTTGGGTGGGGACACAGAACCAAACCATATCACTCCTCCTATCATCTTGCCACAGAAATGTAATCAGAGACCTCTATTTTATTTACCTCTATTCCCCCCTCCAGCCCCCCAGTGCCTGGATGTTACTGGCTCTACTTTACTAATGAAAAAACTGAGATTTAGAAAAGTTGGGCCAGGCATGGTGGTTCACGCCTATAATCCCAATACTTTGGGAGGCCAAAGTGGGGGTGGATTACCTGAGATCAGGAATTCGAGACCAGCCTGGCCAACATGGTGAAACCCCATCTCTACTAAAAATACAAAAACAAGCCGGGCATGGTGGTTCACACCTGTAGTCCAGCTACTCAGGAGGCTGAGGCAGGAGAATCACTTGAACCCAGGAGGCAGAGGTTGCAGTGAGCCAAGATTGCGCCACTGCACTCCAGCCTGGGCGACAGAGTGAGACTCGGTTTCAAAAAAAAAAGGAAAGTTGAACTTCCCAAGGTGGCACAGGTCATCAGCCACAGGGCCATGGTTTGTAGTGGAAGAACAGGGAGAAGAGTGTGTAGGGGCCAGCTGGTGGAAGGCATGGTGCTACACTAAGCGGTTTGGCCTTTACCCCATAGGTGAAAGGGAGATTCTAAAAGATTGTGAGCAGGGGCCAGATGACAGGAAAGAGGCTCTACAGGCAGTGAAGCAGAAGCAAGACAGGGTAGATTCCAGGAGGCACGGTGGAGAGTCAGCAAAAAGAGGAAGAGAGGCAGGAGAGGCCTCAGAGCAAACGGAACCCATCAGGAAGATGGGAAGAGGCGCCTGCTAGTCCTGGGGAGAGGGAAGGAAACTGTGGGGGGCCAAGAGAGGAAACAGGTTTTGAGAGGAAGACAAGGAGCTTGACTTTAGACACCTGGAGAGTTGAGTAGCCAGAGATGTGCCATGGAAACTAGCAAGTGGCAGCCTAAGATAGAAATGGAGTTCAGCAGTGAGACCAGGAGGAGCTGGAGATTGGAGAGCCAGACAGTGCCACTCCGCCCTTTGCCTATGCTGACATGGAAGGGTCTGCAAGGTACAGGAGACCCGAGAAAGATCAGGTGCTGAGTGGGGTTGATAGTGTGTGTCTTTCCTTGTATTTGTATAGAACAGGCCTGTAAGGACACCAAAGAACTGTTTCAAGGAGGGGAGCTAAGTGGCTGGGAGGCAGACAGGGCAGAGACACTCTGCCCTTTTGAATATTTTGAATACCTAAACATGCATTACCTATTCAAAACAATTAATGAAATTAAATTTTTTTCAAAAAAAGGATGAGAAAGGACTTTGGGATGCATAAAGGACTTTGAAAACATAGTGGTTTTGCCTTTGAAGAGTGGTACTGAGCCTCTGGAGAAAGGCCCTCTATGGAATTCCCCAGGGGCAAGGCAGCACCCTCATTTCTGGTGCTCTTCGGCCATAATGGAGTGGTCAGGACACAATGTCACATCTAATGCCCAGTGCCCAGCACCTCCTGCAGCCGGCTCATACTGCTCCTAATGGTGCTGGCTACCTGGTTGTCCTTTGTTGCTTGAGTAAGTCCAGCCCAATTCCTGGCCCACTGTGATTGGTAAAGAAGGCTGATGATACCGGTGATAAGAACATGTATGGAACTCCTTCTATGTGTTGGACACTGTTAGCCATACCTTTAACCCTATATTCTCTGTCCTCTCTCTCTCTCTCTCTCTCTCTCGACAGGGTCTCTCTTTGCTCTGTTACCCAGGCTGGAGTGCAGTGGTGCAATCTCGGCTCACAGCAACCCCCACCTCCCAAGTTCAAATGATCCTCCCATCTCAGCCTCCCAAGTAGCTGGGACTACAGGCCTTCACCATCACACCCGGCTAATTTTTGTATTTTTTTGTAGAGACAGGGTTTGTTGCGCAGACTGATCTCAAACTCCTGGGCTCAAGTGATCCGCCTGCCTTGGCCTCCCAAAGTGTTGAGATTACAGGCATGAGCCACAGCCCAGCTACATTATCTTCTTTACAGATGAAGGAAACTCAGCTTCAGAAAAGCCAGTGCCCAAAGTTCCATGACAAGTATCAGGATTTGAACCTCAGTTTCCTTGACCCTGAAATCATTCTTTTTCCACGATGGTAGCTGCTTCCTAATAATTTGTTATTCACTCATTTAACCTTAATAATCATCTCTGATGCTCAGAGCTCCGTGCATAGCACTGAAGGGGTATAAAGATGAATGATGAGTTTTGAGAGATCTGCATCCTAGAATGTAGAATTCTGTTCACTGAAGAGATATTTATTGAACCTCTATTATGTGCGAGGGCCCATGTTAAGCTCAGGGGCTGCAGTGAGAGAGAAGACTGTCCAGCCCTGGTGAAGCTTAGAGGAGGTGGAGGAGACAACAGCCAGGTAGCCACGCTGCAGTGTGCTAAGCACTCCCATGAAGGCAGCCAAGGGTGCTCCCGCAGCTTGAAGAGGGGTACCTGGCTCAGGCTTGGGAGGCCCAGGGCTTGCCAGAGGGAGTGATGTATCAGCTGAGTCTAAAATAAGAGTCACAACTCAAATGGCTATAGGTCAGGCCCCTGAGGTAAATGAGTGAAGTAAAGGTCCATTCTTAGGCATAGATGTTCTCTTCCTAAATACCAAATACATAGCAACATGCTTCACTTCTATATAGATAATGCTTTTTTCCATTTTTCTTAAAATATGGCCCATCCCAGCACTCTGGGAGGCTTAGGTGGGAGGACTGCTTGAGCCCAGGAGT
This sequence comes from Homo sapiens, assembly GCF_000001405.40. Taxonomy (NCBI): domain Eukaryota; kingdom Metazoa; phylum Chordata; class Mammalia; order Primates; family Hominidae; genus Homo; species Homo sapiens. The sequence goes on along the minus strand of NC_000001.11, from coordinate 180,206,468 downwards.
TCAAGAACAGCCTGGGCAACACAGGGAGACCCCCATCTCTCCAAAAAATAAAAAAAATTAGCCTAGTGTGGTGGCACACACCTGTGGTCCCAGCTACTCTGAAGGCTGAGGTGGGAGGAGTGCTTGAACCTGGGAGGTTGAGGCTGCAGTGAACTGTGTTTGTGTCACTGCACTCCAGCCTGGGCAACAGAGCAAGAACCTGCCTAAAGGAAACAAGCCAAAAAAAAAAAATGCAGTTAGAGACACAGTGCAGGGAAATATTTCCCTCTTCCAAATCAACAGCACAAATGTGATGATAAATGGTAATTGCCCCTTGGCCTTCGTATTGGGAAGCAAAAGGGAGAGATGCGGACTATGGCCCTGGGTGAGGAAGGGGGCCCAGCTGACTCTTGCCCTGGGAATTGGGCCCATGTAGATATGTCTTCTGATTGGATTTGTAGATTGCTCCAAGTTCTAGTCAATATCTCTGATTATTTCCTTAGGATAGATTTTGAACACTAAAATAACTGAACCAATGGGCATAAACTTTTTAAGGTTGATACATATCATCATATTATTTCTCAGATATACTATACAGTATAATTGCATTATCACCTTTCCAGTACCAAACTGTACTGCTGCATACTATATAAAAATGATATCGCACTAATCTTTCACCTCTTTGATTATTGTTCAACAAGTAGAATACTGTTTCACGTAAGTATTGCTCTTTGTATATCTTCTTTTGTAAGCTGACGGTTCATATTCTTGGCTCATTAAAAGTGTTTAATTATATACTAATAAATATTTAATAAAGGTGAGAAAATACAGATAAATAAAAAGAAAAACAAACAGCCATAATCCCACCAGGGACCATTAACCACTATTAATGTTTTGGTGTCTTTATCCTAGTTTTCATCCATGCATTCAATATCCATAAATATATGTATTTTCTTTTTTAAAAAATAAGATTGGCCGGGTGCAGTGGCTCAGGCCTGTAATCTCAGCACTTTGGGAGGCTGAGGCGGGCAGATCACGAGATCAGGAGATTGAGACCATCCTGGCTAACACGGTAAAACCCTGTCTCTACTAAAAATACAAAAATTAGCCGGGCGTGGTGGCGGGCGCCTGTAGTCCCAGCTACTCAGGAGGCTGAGGTAGGAGAATGGCGAGAACCTGGGAGGCGGAGCTTGCAGTGAGCCGAGATCACGCCACTGCACTACAGCCTGTGTGACAGTGCGAGACTCCGTCTCAAAATAAATAAATAAAAAATAAATAAATAAAATAAGATCATACTATACAGAACTGTTTTTGTAACAATATTTTCCATTAACAGTGTGGTGTGAAAATAATTTCAGGATAAAAATATATACATTCAAATAATTTGTATTTATTTGTTATTGTTTAGAGACAGAGTCTCGCTCTGTGAAGTGGAGTGATCATCGGTCATTGCAGCCTTGAGCTTCTGGGCTCAAGCAGTCTTCTCACCTTGGCCTCCCAAAGTGCTGAGATTACAGGCATGAGCCAACACACCCAGCCCTCAAATCATTTTTAGATGTTATATTGTATTCCATTGTAATTGTGTACCAGAATTTACTCAATATCCCATTTTGGACTTTAGTTTAATCTTACTTTGATACTATAAATATTTATCATGTAGCAAATATTTACTAAATATTCTCAATTACTTCCTTAGGATAAATTCCAGAAATAGAATTGCTGGATTAAAGGTTATATATTTTCTTAAGGCTTTTAAAAGTATATTACCAATTACATTACATTATGAATTATCTATTTCCCAAAACTTGTATCAGTTTATACTACCACTAGCAGTATATGAGAGGACTGGGGCGGGGGCAGATTGTAGTTTCTTAAGATGGCTGCAACAGTATCTTCCATCTCACAGTGTTCCAGAACTCTGTCACACCCGTCAAAGGTGAAGCCCAAGGTTCCTCCCCTTGAACCTGTTCAGGCCTTTCTATCTGCATCCTGGGCGAGCCGTTACATCAACCTCAACCAACAGAAAATCGCAAAAGTCATGCTAGGTGGCTTCTGAGGCTAGCACATGAAAAGGCCACCCTGAAGGGCCCAGCCACCATGCCGTGAGGAAGTCTGAGCAGCCCATGGAGAGGCCCATGGGTAGAGGACTGGAGGCCCCTCCCACAGCCCCAGCTAAGCTTCCAGGCAGCAGCCAACACCAACTTGCCAAATGAACTGTGCCTAGATACCCTGCACGGAGCAGCCAGGAGCTGTTTTCTGCTGAGCTCTGATCATGTTACCAATTCATGAGCAAAATGAGTGACTGTTGTTTCAAACCATTAAGTCTGGGAGTGGCTGTCACATAGCAATGGATAACTGATACATCTCATTTCCCCTCACTCCAGCAACACTAGGTATCATCATCATCATCATCATCATTTCTTTGCCAATAGGTTAGCCAAAAAAAATTGCATCTCTCATTCAGTCTTTAGGCCCTTTATTTTCAGTAGGGATTTAGTGCTTTTATTATTTACAACAGAAGTTGTTAAAAACCAAAATTATAACAAATTTTAAAATCTTACTTGGCTTTTATGTATGATTCAGTAATTGGACAGCCCTCAGAACCCAGAACAGGTTCAAAGAACTTCAGGGCTGCAGTGTACTCAGAGAGAATTTAGGGACAGAAAACAGCAAGTGGGATATACAGTTTAACTGGATTGCCTTATCTGAATCTATTGACCACCTACAATTGACTAAAGCTCAGAGGCTGTAACTGACACTTAGCCACTTGTTATATGAATATACTCCTAACTAGTTTCATTTAGCATGAATGACTCCATATTGGTTTGGTCTGTTGGTTACATCATAGGAGCCTAGGCCAAATCAGTGGCCTCCTACAAATTTTATTGAATGGGCTTTAGTATCCTTTAATCCTATTTATTTTCCTTGCTATTTTTGCCTTCCAAAAGAAATATTTTATTACAAACATTCGAAAACATATTTAAGTGAAAGCCAGGACTAGGGCGAGGCTACTGAGACACTCACTGTCAGGGGCTCTGCAGTTGTGGGCCCCTGAGGTCAGGTGTCTCCTTAACTTTTGCATCCTGGCACCTCACTTGCCTTGCTCTAGTCCAAGCCCTGACTTAAGTTCATCCTAATGTTGCTTTCTAAATATAACTGCTATTCACAGTTCAGTGTGTATTTTTCTAGACTTTTTCTAGACAAACGTTAGCATATATATAACAATAGTAACTTATGTTTATAAAAATGTGTCCTTCTTGGGACATTTTATCAGGTCAATAAATGCAGACCTAGCTCATTCTTAAAATGGTGTGTTGCAGAAGAGTCACAGCCCTTTGTCATATTTACAGCATATATTTCCCCAGCTTTTAAATATGTAGCTTTACTTTATTTTTTTATTTTTATTTTTTTATTTTTTTGAGACAGAGTCTCGCTCTGTCCCCCAGGCTGGAGTGCAATGGCGCGATCTCAGCTCACTGCAACCTCCACCTCCCAGGTTCAAGTGATTCTCCTGCCTCAGCCTCCTGAGTAGCTGGGATTACAGATGTGTGCCACAATGCCTGTGTAATATTTTAGTAGAGATGGGGGTTTCACCATGTTGGCCAAGCTGGTCTCAAACTCCTGACCTCGTGATCCACCCACCTCGGCCTCCCAAAGTGCTAGGATTACAAGCGTGAGCCACCGTGCCTGGCCTTATTTCTTAAAAGTGACGTCAAGTAGATGGATTACTCACATCAGTTGCATTTTCCATTGTTTTCATGCTTTCAAAAACAGTGAAGTATTCAATTATATTTCCCCTTTTTTTTTTTTTTTTGCATTAGCTTACTAATCTACTGAGATGTATTTTGGTATATGGTATGAAGGTGAGATCTTACCTGAATTTTCCCCCAAATAATCACTATTCTCAACATCATTTGCTAAGCAATTCCTCCCTCCCCAGGGCAGAACTCTGTAACCATTGGAACCCGGGATGGTTAAGAACTTGATGGGGACATTGCAGAGCAGATTCAAACTAGGTAAAAATTTTAGCCCCTTCCAAATGTGAGCTGCTCTTCCGTGGTGGGCAGAGGTTCGCAGGTAGACACAGGTGAAAGGCATCAAAGCACTGCAGCAGGGGAGGCAGGAGGTTTAATAGGCAGCACCTGAAGCCCACTTTCCTATGGAAGAACATGCAGCCCCAGGAAAAGAGCTTTTGCTCTCTCAGTATAGAGACGACCAAGTCTTGCCAAAGCAGCAGCTGGAGCTACCAGCACTATCAGGAGGATCTCACCCTAGCCCTAGAGTCTGTAGATGTTCCCTGAGTCCTCCTCACCTAAGTAAGGTCAATGCCCCCATGGACTGCCCCTTAACTTTGTTCTCTCACATTGGCAAAGGTCTCCTCCTCTGCCTTGTGATTTCCAGACTCTCTTCCACTGTGACCCAGGCCTGGCACAAACCCCCTGGGCAGCAGTGCAACCTGGAGTGATGGGGCCAGTGAGGGTGGCCAGAGAGACTCAGCCGGCAGCTATGCAGTCCAACTGACCCTCGCCGAGGCCACTGGCTCCCACGGCCATTGGTGAGTGAGTTACAGGGAATTCTTCTGCAGGGCAGAGGCCAAGGCTGCGAGTGGGGCCTCCTCTGCAGCAAACAGTGAACTGTGTCACCGAGACCCCAGGAACTGGGGTCCCATGGCCCAGCCCCTCTCTATGGAGAAGACTGTGCTGCTGGGGCCAGGCAGAGGGCAGAGGCCCAGGGTGGGAGAGGAAGGGATGAGAGGGCAGCTTCTTACCCTCTTGGGTGTGAATGACCCTTGAGGGCAGCAGAGAAAGGGAAAGCAAGGGTCAGAGACAGGCCAGGTGTGACATCCAGGAGAAGCCAGGGCTCTGTCCTGCACAACAGCATGCCTGAGGAGGGACAAGGAGTCAGGTATGAAGATTAAATTGCTCCTCTTGAAGTTTGGTTTAGTTCTTAAAGCTAGGGGTGGGAATCCTATCGCCCTGCCCAAGGAGCACCTTTCAGAGGTGGTGGAGGGAGGGGTGAAAGGGGTGTTGAAGGGGAAGAGGAGGGATGCTGTGGAAGGATACTGGGCCCACCCTGGAGCTTCCTTGGCACCTGAGGGAGAATGAGGCAGTGATGGGGCTGCAGAGGCCTATGGGGCGCTCTGCCCCAAGACTGTCAGGCTGGTGTGAGTGAGCTCTCCCCTCTCACACCTGGCCCGGGATTCTATCAGGATATTGATCTTATAGGCTGTGATTTCCTCTGGCCAAGAATCCTTTCTCTGGAAGGCCCTGCAGGAAAAACCTCTCCTCTCCACTCTACATGTAGCTGGCAATACATGGATGGGAATCCCAGGAAGAGGGAGAGGAATTTAGCAGGGACCCGCAAACTAAGTCTGCGGCCCCAATTTCACAGACGAGCTGAGCCAAGGTCACGCCCAACGAACCTGGTTTCTTCCCCTCCTTCAAACGAGGCCTAAAAACAAGGACCCGAGACAGGGCACTTCAGCCTCGATGTAGGGAATGGAGCGAGAGCTCTAGAAAAGGCGGATTCCTTCAGGGTGTCCCCACTCCTTGACACCAACACACAACAGTGGTTACTGCCACTGTTGGAGGGAAGAAGGGCTGGCACCCAGCAGCACCACCATATAAAGTCTCAGGAAAGTGTGTAACTCTACCGATGGAACAGGACATGAAACAGAATCACATGTGTTAGAAGGGGTAGAGACTGCAGCTCCAGGGTTGAGTGGGTGGGATCTGGGGTCAAGTCCTGGATCTACCTCTCACCATTTGGGAGAATAGGGCAAATGTATTTATTTTGGTGGGAGTAAAGGGGATAGGATGTTTCTTAATCTCTTTAAGCCTCAGCTTCTTCATCTTGCGTTGTTGGAGGATTAAATGAGATTTAAATGAGTGCAAAGTTCAATAAATCATACACATCAATTCTCCAACAGCATACACATTTCAGGCATTTTAGGAGCCCCATCTCATGAAGGAAATCCATACTACTGTGGCAGATGGGGGTGGGGAGGCACTTTCCACTCAACACCTCAGTTCAACTCTGGCCAGTGGCACCTGCCGGGGTGGCTTGGGGCTTGCCACCTGGAGGCCCAGCTCCAGGGACACCCTTCACAGAATATCCTGTGGGAACGGCACCCCCCTCCAAGCACAACAGGGCCCCTTGAGTTTTCAGGTATCAAGACAGGAGACGACACGACATGAGCAGTGGGCTACCATTATTAAGCACTTAGTGTTTGCCCAGCATGGTACAACAATCTGGTAGGTGGGTAGTTTATCTCCAATGACACATGGGGACAAGGGGATAAGTTATCTTGCCCAAAGTCACACAGCCAGTGAGTGTTGGAAGCTGGATTCAAACCCAGACGTCAGATTCCAGAGTCCATTCTCTTCAAGGCTGGACTTGACCCCACCCTGACCCAGGGCCCAGATTTGAGGGCTCTCTCTGAGCCCACCTGACTTTCCTCCAGGGTCAAGGCTGGCTGGGTCCCCTGGAGCCCTCTCCTCCACCCCCACACCCAGAGGACAGGCTGCATCAGGGGTCTTCCCACCCCCACCCCATACCAAGGCTGCTGGAGAGGAGCCTGGCCCAAGGTGGCGCTGCCCCTCTTGGACCTCCAAGAATGCCGCATGGAGCAGCCCCTCAGGGCTGTAGTCCCTCTACACCTACATTGGGCCCCTCCAGCCTGGACCCCCACCCCTCCCACTTCCTGGCTTCCCATCCTTCAGGTCTCGCAGAAGCCTCCTCAACACCCTCCCTGCTTGGTCTCTATCCTTCAGAACCCTCATCACAACCTGTCCTTGCCTCTAGAACGGAAGCCCCATAGCAGCAGGGACCACGTATCTGTTTTAGCTTCAGTTTCTAGCCCAGTGCAGCATTGTGAAAATCCTTAGTAATATTTTTAAAAAGTTTTCGAATTCTACTTTTCTTTGCTGACTTGGCATGTGCTTTCTCCTCTGCCCGTAACCCCCGTTCCTCCTTATTTCCTTGCTAACACCTACTCGTCTTTCAAAGCTCCATGCCACTGTCTCCTTGAGGAAATTGTTCCTGTGCCCCCAGTAGGTAACACACCAGACAGAGGCGAGATTCTCTATCCCGCCCCAGACAAGGAGCCTTTGCTTTGCAGGGCTCCCCTTGGGACCCTCTCTTGCCAGGAGAGCCTCTAGAGAAGCCATCTAGAAGGGCATTCAAGACTCAGCAAGCTCCAGCTCCCAGCCTGGCAGACTGGGTGGGGGAGGGCCCAGCTGGTGGGCGAGGCTGGTTTATCGATGTTGCCGAGAGCCCTGGGGAAATCAAGGTGAAAGGCAGCCACGCTGCTGAGGAGGCCCACCCGTTTATCAACCAGAGGGGCTGGGGCCGGGCGAAAAGAGGCTTGGCTGCCAGAGGCAGCTGTGAGGTGGGAGGTCCACACCACTCCGTGGACCTGGAGGCTGGGCTACACACTGTGCAGCCCGGGCTGCTGCGACAGTGTTTCCAACATGGCGCTAATTCTAGGTAACTAAGTTTGGCTTTAGAAATACCGTCACTGGAGCCACAGGGCTTGCTGACAGAAATCCCCAGCACTTGGCATTGGGCAAGGAGCCCTTAGGGGGTGAAGGGCAGGCTTATTCAGCGGCCTTGGTGCAGTGGGCACACAGGGCACCGGCCCTGGGAGCCTCTGTCTTCCTCTTGCAGGCCAGGGTTGCCTCCTGATTGTGGGTTCCTGTCTGTCTCTCAGGCCCCCAGCCAGGGCCAGCCCAAGGGAGCAGGGGGTGCAGAGCACAACCAGGAGGATGGAGCCAATGGGTGCCTGGAGCAGGGGCACAGAGAGGGAGTCCAACCCAGGAGCCCAGCAAGGCGCTGCAGCTAAAGAGGTCGAGGGAAACATGCAGGGAGACTGCCATCCCTCCCCAGCCCCAGCTGCCCCATAGCAGGAGTGGCCTTGGCATCCCACCTGCTCCACATAGCACCCAGGCCATCTGAGCAGAGTGAAGATGTCAAAGAGAAAACCAAATCGGATTGAGGCTCCTGCTCCCCCTTAATGAGGTTCATTATCAGCAGCTCTGATCCTTGTAAAACCCAGCAGGCCGGATTAGGGGCAGGCTCTCTAATCCTGGCTGACTCCTCCCCACCGAGTGGCCAACCCTGCAGCTCTGACAAACAAGCCCTTGCTTCCTGGAGGAGCTGGAATTAGGCAGGTGCAGACAGGCTTCTCCCTCACCAGCCCAGGGCACTGAGGCAGGAGCTCTCAGGGAGGATTGGGGCAGGGGGTGGCAAGGCTGCACATCCAGAGGCCTGTCTCCGTGCATGAAAAGGCCATGGGGTTTGGGTGCAGACAGTTCTATGGGCAGTCTGTGGCCAGGAGCTGTGTGTGCTGAGGGACATCGAGTCTGGCTGCATTCCAGGTGAGGCTGGTCTCTGTGCATTCTGTCCAGACTGGACACTAGGTCTCCAAGTAGCAAGTTAAAGAACACACCAATGCTTGCCTTAACAAAAATAATTTATTCCACACACCTCCCAAGGCAGGGGGTAGCGTGGGAATCAAGCATGTGTAAGGCACTGCCCCCGCCAGACCCTTCTAACTTCTGCACACTGGAAGGTGAAACCTGGAGAGAGAAGACACTCCCCTCCCTAGCTTCTACCTGGCACCCTCCAAAGATGAGCATTCATCTTGGAGACCAAAATAAAAAAGGACAAAAGACCAGGCTCAGAGGGAGCAGAGCTCAATGGGGGGAAGTGAAAGCAGCCATCTTCTCCTGCAGCTAAGCCAGGGCAAGGCACTAGAGACCCACATCCTTCCCATGCCACCAACTCGTCAGGTCCCACCAAGCAAGCCACTCACCCTACAGCCCAGCAACCATGGCTTGCCTCACCTGGGAGACCAGCACGACTTCCAGAAGCTTCCAAACCCCACCCTGAAGCCAAACCCCACCCAGGAGGTCTGAGGAGCTGGAGGCTGGCCAGGCATAGAGGGCCCGGGGTGGTCCTTCCTCCCAGGGTGCAAAGGCTTCTTCATTGTCCGGAAGGGAGCAGGGTGGGCGGAGCCCCAGCAGCTAGTGAGGAGTTCCATTCCAGCCCACCCAGCTGGGGGACCCTCCTCTGGCTTCACTTGCCCCAGTTGAGGGCCAAGACCAAGCAGGAGAGACTGAGGCTCCAGTGAGAATGAGGCAGGACTTCAAATAAGCTGAAAAACAGGAATGTGGTGCTAAGAGGCCAGGGACTGAGCTGCCCTATGCCCACTGCCCGGGGCTGCCCTCCCTGCACAGCAGGGGAACCTGGACCCTGCTCCTGTCTTTTGTGTCAAAGGAGCTCTCTGTCCTAGCAACCCCAAGAAGCTTCACTGGAGCAACTCGTTTTCCTGAATTTCCCACACTTCTAGGCCAGACAAGGAGCAAGGGGTGGGAGGGGAGGGAATGGGGTCAGGGGGCTTGAGGTGCCTAGAGATGGCAGCTCCCTCTCCCGCCTCCTCCCCAGGTGGTTCAGGCTGCAGGGTGGCCAGCATGGCCCTTCAGGGCCCTTATCTTGGCCTGGAAGTAGGTGTACATGGCCAGCAGGCCCATGAAGGACAGGGAATAGAGCCCCACACAGAGGCTGATGTCCAGGTAAGAGAAGCCCCCTCCCAGCACCTGCAGCCACTGGCCTCGGCCCCGTCCAGCTCGGGCCTCCAGCTGGCCCTCAGGGATGTCGACCAGCTGCTTGGAGCTGCGGCCCACGCGCCTGACCTCCAAAGGGCCCCAGAGGCGGTTCTTCTCAGCCCTGGACTCAGCCAGCAATGCAGCCCCTGTGTCTCGCTTGCTCAAGTGCCACTGCCCAAGCGGCTGCTCCTGCTCATTCCTCTGAAGCTCTGCCATGTGCTCAGGAGGCTCCTGGCCTGGTGCAGCTCTGAGGCCAGGGTGCAGCTTCGGGGGTCGACTTGCCTCAGGTCCCTCAGCCGGCACATGTGGGGTGGTGTTTGTGGGGGACTTCATCATCTCAGGCTTCCCAGGGTCCAGAGTTGAATTCCGGCTTTCCAGCTCCAGGGCTCCCATCGCCAGCTCTGGGGCGGCTGCCACATTCTGCACATCCCTCCGGGCAGCTGACCCAGCTGCAGGGAAGTCCAGGATGATGTTGCTTGGGGAGAAGTGGGCCTTGAGGAAGTTGAGGGTGGCTTCCACGTCCCACACGGGCACATCCAGGCGTTCATTGTGGCAGGCAGAACAAAGTTCACGGGGTGGCCACTGCACCTTGGGGAACTGGGGGTCCTCGCTGGGGGCACCTACAGAGGGAAGCATACACAGGCTGGTGGTGACATCAGTCCCACCCAAAAACCCAGACCACACTCCTCCACTCAGAACGCCAGCTTCCTTGTCTGCAGAAAGGGCTCGCCACTGCCCTTCCAGAGGATGGGTAATTAGAAAATACAGATTACAAACACTAGCCCACAGTGGGAGCTCAACAGATGGCAGCATGGAGGAGGAGGCAGATCCACCTACCCCTCAGCCCCGGCCCTCCGTGGTTTTCCAGGGAAGCGTGAAGAGCGCCATCTCAGTCATTTCCCGGTGTTGGCCAGACCCACTGTCCTGCTATGTGGACTTTACAACCAGCCTTTACCCCAGTACCAGACATGGGAAAGGGCAAGAATACTCATTTTGATCTGTTTTGCAGTCTTTGGTCGGTCTGCTCGTGTTTGTCTTTTTTTGCATTTTTCTGACATTTTCCAAATTATACAAACTGCACAAATAGGTTACTTTGTCAATTCAAGGGAAAATGCGTTTTCAAGCAAGAGGCAGCTGCTCATGGCAATCCTTGCTTTTACCCAGCAGCAGCCCTCTGGGGTAGGGGTGGGCTCCAAGGGATAGTTGGGGGGAGACCTGAGGGGTACTTGGAAGAGTCAGGATGCTGCTGGGGCTGCAGGCTGTTGGTACCCCAGGTGGGCCCAGCCCTCTAGGCAGCCTCTGGATGAGTCCCAGAGGGTGAGCCACGGCCACCAGCCCCTCACGCAGTGTTGCCCAGGGAATGCATCAGCCCATCCCTTCTGTAGAAGCACTTCTCCTAAAGGTTTTAATAGGGGGACAAGTTGTTGACTACAAGGAAGCAGGAGCAGCAACAGCAAGTGGCATGCAAGTCAGAATGGTTACTTTGGGGAGGGGACAACAAGCAGAGTCAAGGGTCCAGTCATGAGTCATAGTGATCAGGCCTTGTGGAGGGGGCTCTCAGCTTGTGCCTGGTAATTTTGAGTTTCTTCTGAAAGGACCCCACCAGAGAGGGGAGGGAACCACCCTGCTTCTGGCCTCTCAGGGACAGGCCCAGGCTCCTGGCCCTCCAGCAGCAGCTGGGAGCCTGCCGAGGTCAAGGGGCTGAAGGGTCAAATGGAGCATTTGGTGGCAGGGGCGGGGTGGGGGAAGGAGAAGACAGGCACATGTCTTCCTTTCAAAGTTCGATAGGAGGCCCCAGGAGACCACGACCAAGTGCAGGCGCCTGCACCACCACCTGCTCCATTCAGCTCCTTTAACCTCGGCTCCGCCCTGGTCTCCCCCCCCCGGGAGGCTGTCACAGCCACGTGCACCGCTCCCTCCCGACACACAAACCGCCTCCTGTCCACAGATGGCTCCCTCCCGACCCAGCTCCCTGGAGTTTAATGTGTTTGCCTGTTAGAGCCATCAGACTCCTGATGAGGAAAAGGAAGCACCATAATGAGGGAACGCAGAGGGCAAGGCTCCCTCCTGGGAGCCGGTGCCTGGTATTTCCAGGAACGACCTGGTCTCCTCCAGCCCCTTCTCTCATCAGACCCTTCCCAGGGAGAGAGAACCCCAGCTCCCTCTGCCCTAGCAGTTTGAGTAAGGGGCCAACAGCCAGAAGACGGAGCAGGGGAGGCGGGAGAGGGACCCCAGTAGGCTAGAGAGGGGCCCTAGAGCAGGGAAAAAGTGAGCAACGGCATGGGAAGACCAGGGTCTTACAGTGTCAAAGCCTTGGCTTCCTCATGTCAAAAATGGGGCTGATGATACTGGCATTGGTTAACAGGCCTGGGCTGTGACTGAGGGGACAATGAGTGTCCCTTCCCCAAATTTTGGCCTAAGACTCCCAAGTATCCTCACCCCCTCGTCCCCCACAAGTGACTCCAGCCTTGGGGATGGTCCTTCCTTACCTGCAAGGCGAGCATTGACCCTGTTGTGGCTAGACCAGAGCCAGAGGACAGCGGCGTTGGGACTCCCCACCCGGTGCATGGAGGCAGCAGCCATCTGCTCGAAGTGGCTAGCGCAGTCTCGGCAGCCGAAGAAGTAGTGCACGTAGCCTCGGATGGCTGGGAGGACCTCCTTGGCCTTGGCTACAGGGCAGAGGAGATGCCACGCACCAGCCCTTCAGGCTGCCAGCCCCACAGCCGTTGCCTCCCCAGGCCACCCTGCCGCCCCCCATCCTGCCGTGGCCACCCCTGCACAGGTGCCACACACCCCAGCCTATGCCAGCAGAGGCCCAGTGTCCCCTTGTCTACTTCTCTACCTGCCATGGTCACTTTACAGGAGACCCCATCCCCCCAAAACTCCTAAACCTGGATCCCCTTCCCTGCCACTAACCTGGGTGCCTGTCACTCACACCCAGGACAAAGTCCACACTCCTTGGCAGGAAACTCAGGCTCTTTGTGACATGGTGAGAGAGGTCAGCAGGGGCCAGAGGGCCACCGCCCTAGCCCCTGGCCCTTCCTCCCCTGCCCACTCATGCTGCCTGTCCGACTTGCTTCCACCATGCGTCACCTCCCTCGGGCCTGGACCTGGCCTGCACATGCCCTTCCTAATCTGTCTCCATCTCTCCTCGCTCTCCCCTTCCATTCCCCCCACCCCCTCCCACCCACTGGACCCTCTGGACTGGCATCAGCAAAGACCTGTTAACCAGCCCCACTTTCTTGCTCTAACTGAAACCAGGCTCCCCGCTGAGGACACCACTCCTAATCCAACACGCCCCTCCTAAGCCCTTCACCCTCAGGCTCCAGGGCTGCTGGTGCTTGCCTCCAAGCTCGCTCCTTCCTACCGCAAACCTCCCAGGCCTTTAGAAGCCAATCTCCTGCTTTTACCCCTCCACGCAGCAGGACGTTGGCACCCTACTCTCCTCACTCCTGGCAAGGTGAGACCCGCAGCAGCCCACACCTGCCTCTCTCTCTCTCCTCTGCCTTCTCAGCTTGTTCTTCTGCACCCAGCACAGGTGCCCACCTCCCCACCACAAGGCCTCACCACACGGCCCTGGCGTTGCTCAGCCTCTGTCTCCGCTGCTGCTCGGGTTACCCCACTCCTCACCTCCAGGATTTCACTCCCGTTAGTGTTTTTTCTTTACTGCGTCATCCATTTATCCCCTGATAAGGGATCATTCCAACTGGGGAAAAGGATGATCATAAAGAAGTTCCCTCTAACCCAGTCATGCCCCAGTTCCTGCTCATTATCTCCAGAATCTTGCCTCCTGGTCTCTCTTCAGCCGAATCCAACAAGGCCATTACCTCCACTACTCCACCGACACAGCCCTTGCTAGAGATGTCCTCATCTTGCGCCACCTCCAGCTGCACTGGCCCCAGTGACTACACCTCTATCTTGAAACACTGGACTCTGGGGCCCCCTTGAAATCACCATGGCCTCCCCCGTTCAGCCTCCTTTGCTGGTGGTTTGATGCTCAGGATTCAGTCCTCAGCACTCTTCTCTACCTCCCTGCCAGGGAGCTCATCCAGTCCCACAGCTTGAGCTCTGATGCTACTAATGACTATAAAGCTAATCTCTCTATTCCCCACCTCTCCCTGGAACTCCAGACTCAACTGTGCACACCTCCATTGGGAGGTCTATTGACACAAAGCGGGCCATTGATTCCACCATCCCAACCCGAGCCCCTGACTCCTCAGCTTATGGGACCATCATCCACCAGAGGCTCAGGCCCCACAACCCTGGAGTCCACCCGAGTCCTGCTTCCCACATACCCTTCCTCCAATCTATCAGTAAGTCCCTCAGCTCTGCCTTTAACATATCCCCAAATCTGACCACTTCCTCCAGGGGCACACTGACAACCCTAGTCCAGGCCCAACCACCACTGCTGGGCGAGCATGCAGCTTGCTCCTCAGCTGCCCTGCCTCCCCCTGCCTGCAGTAGCCCATCCTCCACCTTTCTAAAGTGTTAACCAACTGTCACTTCCGTTAGCCTCTCCAGTGGCTTCTCAAAATGCCAACACCAACCTCCAAACCCTGCCCTCGCCAAGGCCTCTGAGCCCATGAGCGCTCACCTCCGCCCCCGGCCTGTCTCTGCAGCCTCACCTCCCTCCCTCCGGCCACAGCAGCCTTCTTTCAGTGCTGCCCACACACCAGGCTTGTCCTTTGCACCTGCTGGTCTCCAGCCTGTGCTATGGGCTGAATTATGTCCCCCCAAATTCCTATGTTGAAGCCCTAATCCCCAGCCTCTCAGAATGTGGCCGTATTTGGAGACAGGGTCTTTAAAGAGGTAATGAAGGTAAAATAAGGTCATTAGGGTGGGCCCTAATCCAATAGGACTGGTGTCCTTGCAGGAAGAGGAAATTTGGACATGGATTGGGAGAGGGACAACTGCACGGAGACACAAGGAGAAGACGACCACCGCCCAGCCAAGGAGAGGCTCGAAGAAACCAGCACAGACACCTCCACCTTGCACTTCAGCCTCCAGAACTCAGACAACAGACGTCTACTGGCTGAGCCCCAGCCTGACATTTGTGAGTGCAGCCCAAGGACACCAACACAGCCTGGGAGACTCTCTTCCCAGACGTCCCACACTGCCTTCTCCTCTCCACATGGGTCCCAGCACCGGGCCCTCCACAGGGAAGCCTTTCCCAGACCCCTCTCCAGACAGCACCCGCTCCGGCACTGCTTTGCTTTGTCTTCCTCAGCATTCGTCATCATGGCTGAAGCCATCCCTCTGTGTCTGTCTCCTGCCACTCAGATACTGGCCCTGTGGGGGCAGGGACCTGTCTCATATGCTGCTGTGTCCCCGGCACCTGCAGCGCCACATGGCATGGTGGAGATGCTCCATACACACTGGCTTCCCACACCACTGCCTGGCAGTTCCTCTGATTCACGGGGCTCCACACAGGCTGCTCCCTCTGCTGGGATGCTCCTCTCCTGGCGGAATCCCTACTCACCCATCACCCCTCAACTCACCCCGTAAGGCCTCGGGCCCCTTCCCAATGGCGTCGAGCCTGCCCTCTCTTCACCCCACATCTTTCTCTCCACCACGGCCCTAGCCCTGATGCACTGCAGGCCTCTCTGTCCCCCTGCCTCACACTAGAGGTCCACCAAGAGCGGGCACTGTCGCCCTTTTCACCCATGTATCTATCCTCCAAGCCAAGCCGCAGCCTGGTATAAACCTGGTTCCTCAATCAGTGTGGACTGAATTGGATGCGCATCCTTTCAGTCTTCAAAAGCAGGTGTGGGGCAGCGTGGCCGGAGAACATGGTGGTGCAGTTTGTGGACAATCCGAGGCAGCAGGGGAAACGTGTTTCCCCAACTTCCCCCAGGAAATTGTTTTTCAGTGGGAAGTGCAATAAAATTGCTCAAAGCACCTGCTATGTATCAGCTATGTAAACTGTAAAATACACGTTTTTTTCTTTGTTAAGAGTATAAAAAAATAGAATCACAATTTTTTCATGAAGACTGAAAGCAAAGCAAACTATAAGCCCGGAGAAAGACAGGGAGAAGCCTCAGCCCCAGAGCTCCCGGGGCCGAAAACAGGACTGGTTGAATTCCTAAAGTCTGCTCCCTCCTGGGATTGGTTCTATTCTGGCCGTGTGGGGCTACCTGCAGATAGAGCAATCCAGCCAGAGCCCCAAGGCTGACTCTCCCCATCTTCTGGCAGCTGGGAGCCAGTGGGGCAATTCAAGGGAGCTTCCCTGCCCCCTCTCCCCTTGGAGGGCCGAACAGAGCAGGGTTGGAGGCACAGTGGGGTGAACGGGTCCTGGACGTACCTGCTTCCTGTGAGTGGTCTACATTTTGCCGAGCTGCCTGCACAGTCAAGAAGTGGAAGAGGACCCACAGGGAGCAGGGAAAGCCCCGGAAATGCGGCTCACTCCCCTGGCAGCCAATCCAGTTCACCTTCTTGGCAAGAACGGCACCCTGAGGGACACATGAGTGTGAGTGCACATATGGAGAAGGAAAAGGATGGGAGAGGCAGAGACAGAAGCTTCTAGGAGACAGCCCTAAGACAAATGAGGTCCCTCAGTCTATCACCTCGAAGGTGGCATTTCCCTTTCACCAGTTCCACCCACTGAAGCAGCAGCAGACCTAAAAAGCTGTGACCCAGATCAAGCTGCATCCCGTTCCAGCCTCAACTTCCCCAGCTGTAACACAAGGGGGTTATCTCTGAGGTCCCTTCGAGATTTGACACCCTACAAGTCTACAGGGTTTTACACCTCTGCTGGCTGCAGTGACCCACTTTTGCAAATAGCAGCATGAGCAGGAGCCCAGAAGGTGCCCTGGAGAGGGCCAGGGAGGCCATGCTGAGCAGCACCACAAACTAAGAGGCAGCACAGGGTAGTTGTTAAAAACTCTGGGGTCTCACCAAGTTTTCATCCCAGCCCAAACACTTACTGGCTCCATGAACCCAGACAAGTTGCTTAACCTTTTCAAAGTACTGTTTCTTCATCTGCTAAATGGGGAGAATATCTACCTTCCACTAACATTATGAGGATTAAATGAGATGTGCGCATAGAGAGCTCAATCAATAGTCATTTATTGATTATTGTTAGGACCCAACGAAGATCACTGACTCCCTGGTGCAAACTGGCGAAGAAGGTCAGAAATGACAGGGTTAACCCCTTGCACTCTCATAAATACGGAGGATGGAGAGATCTTTATTTGCTTCCCAGACTCACCTCTTTCCTGTCGTCCAGGGCAGTTTTAAAGAAACTGTAGGGAATTTTATTTCTCTTCTGCCTCTTGAGCCATTCATTCACGGAGTGCAGGAAGTTCTGGACTAAGGGCCGGCCAGGGAAATACTGTGGGGAGGAACAAGCGGAAGCTGGAGAGTGAAAAGCAATTCCCCAAGTTCCCCGTCCTGCAGATGGTAGGAAGCTATGCAGAAGAAGGCGGGGGGCGGGGGGCGGGGGGCAGTGGGGAGGAGGTTGTGCAAAGTTCCAAAACCACCAGGAAAACATTCTAACTAAGACACAAATATGACTTCTGTACTACCTTTGCTCTGGGACACCTGGTAAGGCTAGAAGACAGGGTAGGGAAGGTGCTCGCTCTAAATGGGGTGGGGTCCTGGAAGTCTCCCTCTCTCAGACCTCAGGCTCCTGTGCAGCACCCCCCGACCATGTGCCACCACTGGGAGGAAGGCTGGAGCACTTGTGCCCCTTGCCAGGGCTGCTGGGAGCCCTGGGCCACACAGTCCTGTCTTTGGGTGGTCCTCGGATAGAGCTGACTTGCCAACTGACTGGCCAGCTGGGTTAGGTGGGCACGAGACCTTTCATTTGGATTCCATGGGCTGCCAGTGAGGACCAGCCAGGCCAGGGGCTCACAGCCAAGATCCAGATCTTGATGGTAACTCCCAGTGGTATCTGAGGAGCATGAAAAGCTACTCTGACAATAAGTCAACTCAAATCCGATTAGTATCAGCACTTTAAAACCACAAGGACTCCAGGGAGGAGGACATATGTGTGTATGTGTGTGTGTGTGCGTGTGTGCACGTGCACAGCACAAGGGGCGGAGGGCAGGAGAAAGAGGGACACAGCAGCAGGCTGATCAGATAAAACCACAAAGAGGCTGGCCGAGGGGATGAGGACCCTGAGAAAATCACAGCAAAGAAAGCAAAGACAAACATTTGAGAGGAGAAGGATACTGGAGACACGAATGGTAACTGAACAGGAAAACCTGCTAACAGATCCATTCCTCTGAGAAAGCCATTAAATATTCCTATCAAACGTTGGGCTGGACACCTTCCCCCAGAGTGAGAAATGGCCGGAAAAGACCACGCTTTGACACGTGCCCTCCTGGTGAGCCCACACGGGCCTCTGGAACTCACACACAAATTTACAGCTTGAAGTCAGCATTTCTCACTGACCTTTGCCATCATCCTGACTTAGAAACTTCCGCCTTCTAAGGCGACAGTGCCAGAAGGATGGATGAATTAAGGAGCTCTGGACAACTGGGAGCAAGGAAACCCTGGTGCCCACACGCCACCCAGTGGCCACTCCTACCAGCTGCTCACAGGAGGGAGCACAGGCTGGGAGAGGCCGGGTGGGAAGGCACCGGCAGGACATGCAGAGGGCCTCCTGACTGACCGGGCACCTGCAGGGCTGGCAGCTAGCCAGGGGGAGCCAGCAGTGTCCACTGGCACCCTTAGGGGTTCGGGCCTGTGAGCACCATGCACTTGGTGGTAATGGGCATGGGCTGGATGCGAGTGGGTGTGGCTCCCTGCCCAGCCCCTCACTAGCTGGAAGACCCTGGCAAGGTGCTTTAGTTCTCTGGGGCTTTGTTTCACCTTCTATGAAACGGAGATCATACTAGAAGCCATGCTGTGGAATCTTCTCTGAGAAACAGAATGAGGAGCTAATATACAAAGAACACTGCAGGCACCGGCAGGGCTGAAGAAATGATAGCTGCTAGGATACTACTATTCAGGAAGAAGCTACCCAAGCAAGGCAAGGGCCAGAATACTCTACAGACCCCAGGGGATGTGCGGGCAAAACCCAAACAGAGGGTCTCCAGGCCCATGCCCCCGATGCCTCTGCTGCTACTGCGGGGCATACCTGGCTTCCCTCTGTCCTCCACCCCACTGCCAGCCCTACCCCGAGGGCCCTGGCTCTGGCAGGGCAGGCACCTTCATCTCAAGCTCATTCCCAGCCCTTGCTGAAGGCAGAGACTCAGCAGGCACAGAGGGGGTGATGCCTCTGCCCAGCTCAGGGACTTTTCTGTATCTCATTCTTTTCCCCCATACCGGCTGCAAACAGCCCCACTGGGGACAAAGAAAATAGCAGGTTTGATCACAGCTGAGAGATGCGAGTGACACACAAGCCGATCTTCCTGGGGTGACTCCTTTGGAGAGTACTGGACTAGGGTGGTGGGGTGTCTGAGGCATGCCGGGAAAGCATGCTGGGTGCTCTCCCTCATGGGTCAGGAGGAGGGACTGTACGTGGGTCAGTTCTGGATTTTTCCCCTCTAAGTCTCTAGGTTGTCAACCCCAGGCCTCTGCACTGTGAGGACCAAACAGCTCTCAGCCTTGGAGGAAAGGTCTCTATTATGGCAATGGACTGAAGAACAAGGGCTCATTTTGCATGGGACTTCAGTGAGGGGCCAACGACTGTCCTGCCTTAGGCTGAAATGTCCCTGTCAGGCCCTCTCAGTGTCACCACGCATTCATGTGACCAAGCCAGGGGGCCAGGACAGGGAGGTGGGAAGGAGGGATCAGGCTGGCAGGAAGTTCCCAAGGAGAGGCACAAATCACCCGAGGGCAGCCCCAGCTTCCTGCAGACCCACACTGAGGAGGGTGGGCTCAGATCCGGGCCCCAGGGCCAAGGGAGGCTGAGCCAGCGGCCAAACCCGAAGCGCCCAGAGCCACATCTGACTCAGCAGTACTGAGCAGCAGAGTCCAGGGTTTCCAGCAGGGACGCAATGGCCAGGATCTGGAACCAAAGGGAAGGGCGCAGAGAGGGAATGGCAGCCACCTCTCACCTTCAGAGAGGAAGGAGCACAGGCTCAAGGCCTGACCACAACACTTTCAGGCTGGCAGAACGAAGGCATGGCACTTGAGCTCCCTGGGCCTCTTAAATCGGGGAGGACAAAATAAACCACCCACCTCGCAGAGTAGTTAAAAGGATTAAATCCTAGACAAACATCAAGTCCTCAATAAATAGGAGCTACCCTTCGTGGAGTAGCCACCTTCCCGGGGAAACTATAAAGGAATAAGGAAGGCATGGCCAGGGCCAGGGATCGGGTCAGACTGGGAGGGAAGCAAGGAGTATCAGAAGAGCATCCTCTCCTTCGCCAGGGTGTCCTAGGGGTCCTGCTTTCCCAGTGACCACAGAAAGGGGTGGGAAGCCACACTGGGGCTCTGACTGAGGACTCAGGCAGGCAGAGCCACAGTCACTGAATCAGCTGGAAATATCCCCAGGTGGGGGGCACGGGCCCTGTGTCCCACCCACACTGCTGCATGGGGCAGGGTTGTCCCTGGCAGTGTGGGGCTGGTGTGGGGTATGGCTGAGGCTGGAGGGTATCACCTATGGTGGACAGGGAGAGCTGTGGGTCCAGGTGTCCAGCCAGACCATGGGCTTCTGGAGGGAGGGGCTGACGGGGTGCCCAGCCTTACAGGAACGCACACTGACCATCCGTAGAATTGCACAGACAAGGGAAGCCATGGCCCTGCTCACCTTGGCCAGCACTGCCACAAACTTTTTCAGGGCCACCAGGCGCTGCCCTTCCAGGACCGGGAACCTGCCCACTTCTATCCGCAGGATGTAGTGCAGTGCAGATTCCAGGTCAGCCATGTAGATCTTGGAGCTGAGGACCCAGAGGGAGATAGAGAGAGAAAGAAGTATTAACCATGGTGCAGGGGCTGCAAGGAGCATCCAGGGCTAAAGGGAGAGAAGAGAAGGGGCACTGCTGATGGTCACAGAGTCTTGTAAGTTACCACTGGCTTCTGCCAGAAATGTGCTGTGTGACCTTGGGTAAATTACCTAATTTCTCTGAGCCTCAATTCCTCATCTGTAAGATATGAATAACACATTGCTCACAGGTAAGTTGCTGAGAGGATCAAATAAAAGCACAAATGTAAAAAACTCTCAGCAGCTCCTGGCAGGGAGTAGGAGTTTTCTCTCTCCAGGCCCACAGCCACCCCTCCTGCAACTCACTAATCAGGCCAGCTCCGAGCCAAGACCACTAGACATAATCAGACCAGCAGGTTCATACACACGACATGGCTCTGGAAAAACTGGGCCCTCTCTGAAAGACCAGGGTTTAGCTGCCCACCAAGTCTGGGAAATGGCGACTGGGGGCAGGAGGGGAAGCAGGGCCTGTATTTCTTTCAGGGCTGATGTGCTCACAGCTGCCGGACCTCACATCTTAGGTGGGCCCATCTCACACCTCTCCGCAGCCCTCATGGAAGGGCCGGAGGCTCCATGCTGGCCCCAGGCCCATCATGCTGGGGTCCAGGCTCAGGGTTCTGATGGCAGGGGCCAGGAAAGTTGGGTGCCTCTTCCCCTGTCTCTTGAGACCTGGGTTCTGACCTCAGTTTGACTGTGAGCTAGTTTGTGAGCTTGGGCAACTCAGTTGACTTTCCTGGGCCTCAGTCAGCTCACCTGTAAAACACATGACTTGCTCCTGACCCCTCCATGACAACCTCCTGAGGTTGGAAAGAGCCAATAAGGTCAACTAATGGGGTACGCATTGTGGCTGCCTATGCTCCTCCTCAGGGCAAGGTCTCCTCTGTGTTCCACTTTGCTGTCCTTGGGCCTCAGTTTACCTCTCCATTCCTGTGCCCTGCCTCCAGAAGTGGCCCCATGACTGAATGAGGTAACACAGGGAAGGTGCCCAGCACAGAGCCTGGCACATACACCAGCCCAAGCTATTACAAGAACGTCAATGGTTTGCATAACTGTAATGATCGAATGATTATGATGATCATTCATAATGACGGAATGATCATAATGATTACACCACCCCTCACTCTCTCTTTCCTTCTCCCTTGATCTACTAAAAGTCTCTCCATTTGGCACTTTCCACCCTTAAAGTCCCTCATGCTAGGATGCAAAGTCCTTCTTGCAATCACCTTTCCCCCACTGTCTCGTGCATCCCCTTGTGAGGGGCACCGTCCTGGCCAGCTCTGAGCTCCCTGGTCAGACATTTCCACCTGGTATGCAGCTGGTACCAGTGCAGGAGGTCTACAGCTCTGTCTCACTGCCCAACCACAACAGAAAAGGCAACGAGCCTCAGAGAGAAGAGCAGCTCTCTCATGCTTACGACTGTGGACACACACACAGGTGACCTGAAAAGGCAGTGAACTCACTGACACCACAGGCATTCAAGTGAGGTTGGGTGCCTTCCTAGAAGGGATGCTGTAGGGTCTGCACAAGCAGAGAATGCATCTGCCTGTACATATCTGCTGCCACAGTGCCTAGCACATAGTGAGTACTCAAAAATATTGACTGCACAAATAATTGCTTGGGTGGGAAGTTGGTCTGGAGGCCTCAGAGTGTCCTTGCACGCAGATTCCCCATTTGTGAGCAGAGTTAAGCTGAAGGAGCGTGGGCATGGAAGGTGTTCATTCCCCAGTCAGCCCCGGCCCCGCAACAGACACCAGAGGCACCGCAGCTAAATGCCGCTCCCACACATTGAAGGTCCCTGAGCATGGCCAGACCCCAGGGTGGGGGACAGCCTGGCTCAGAATGTACACACTAATCATATGACAAGGAAGAAGAATGAGCAAGAGGGCGTGGGTGTGAAGGTGTGGTGGTCTGTGATCAGAGGAAGGAGAAGAAGTGAGGAGAACCAGGCGTAGCCTTACCGATCTGCCAATTTCCAAACAGTGGGAGCTATCTTGTTAGCAGTGGTTGGTGCAACTGTGGTCTGGGCAGCCTCCCTGGTGAGCCCAGAGAGTCTCTGCAGGTAAGCGGTATAGAAGGACCTGGATTCCATGAGCCTGTGAGGGCACAGAACCAGGGAGGAGAGGCAGTAAGTGCAGAGAACAAGATTAGAGCTAACCAATGTCAGAAGAGGAAGAAGGGTGGCTCATCGGACAGGAAGGTTTATTAAATATGTGAACGAGATTCCATCTTGTCCTCTGTGAGGCCAGAAGACGGCACCCAGGCCTCGCTGTAACCCTTCTAATCACTGCACATGCTCTGGAAAGCCTCTCTGACACCAGCCTGATGTCAAACCTCACCTGGTAAGGCAATTGGGCCCAAGAATTCCCCCAGTGGCCCTCTGGCTCCAGGCAGGGCATGGAAAGGCACGGGACAGCCCGGTGCCCACAGACAGGAACGGCGGAGTGTGACTCCCTTCCCCAAGGACCCCGAGATTCAATATGGCAGCTGCCCATCCATAAGCTCGCCCTGAGGTACTATAAGTGACATTACCCCCTAAGAAGTCCAGGGAGTTTGATATGGGATTTTTCAAAAAACAGGTAGCAACAATGACAAAGAGCCTCCAGAATTCTCTAAATCTTTTTACGGTCTTTTTGGTTTCTTTCTTTTTTCCGACAGGGAGGAGTCCTCCAGGGCACGGGATACCTCCTGAGTGCATATTCCCTCTCACCCACAGCCAGGGCACCTGCAGAGAGAGACGCCGGGTCCAGCAGCAGCGTGAGGGCTGCCCCGGGGGAGCTGGCATGGGACGCACGGCTTCATTCCACTCCACCATCCTGGGTTTCTCGGTGAGCAGATGGCTCGGGAGGCAGCATCGTCACAAACAATTTTCCCCTCCACCAACTCGGAGAGAGGAGACAATGCCTTCTCTCCCCACCATCACTGGCACTTTCTGGGCCTGCCCGGAAAGCGAGTGCCTCCCTGTCCTTGGTGGCATCGCACCTCCTGGGCCCTCTAGCAGGTGATCTGGGCCAGGGTGAGGCCAAGTGGCCACCCTGCCCGGCGCCGTGTGGGTCGGCACTGAGGGCCCCGAGGAGCAGCTCACCAGGCACCACAGGCAAGCCTTGCCTCCCTGGCCCAATGCTCCTGCCTGCGGGGCCTGGCTGACATCAATCATCTGCCCAGGGAGGGCACCAAGGCACCATCTGGTGCCATTAACGGGCCATTCAGCAGCAGGAGCCTGGCAGAGGGGCTGAGGCTGGCCTGATTGTTTTCTCTCGGCATTTTGGAACTGGCTATTGTCTGGCTGCTAATGAACTTTTCTGCAATTAGAAAACCAAAGGGAGGGAGGGTCAGGCATATACGAGTGCTTGCCAGGCCTGTAGCCTGCCAATGAGTCTGCCTGCGAACAGAAGAGGGTGGAGAAGAGGGCCAGGGCTGTGGTGGGGACGTAATGAGGGTGCAGGCGACACTGGGTGCGGGGGGCTGAGGCCTTTGAGGTCTCTGAGCTGCGGAACAGGGTTAGCGTTTCAGGCCCAGGCTCCTGACGGTGGAGGCGCTGGCCCCGCAGACAGCAGACTGCAGCTTCTCCTGAGGGGGCTCTTCAGAAAGAACATGTTGGCCACTGTGAAAGGCGGGCAGCCCCTCTGGGCAAGAAGGAAGGATGAGCACAGGGAGGGACGAGAGGGGACGCCAGGAGACAGGATACTCACACGGGGACTCGGGAGACAGAGCCATTCCGGAACAGCAGGTAGCAAGAGGGGAAGTCGGTGACACCAAACTTTCTCACCACATTGGCCTCTGTGTTCAGCACCCTGCGCACCGCCACGCCTTTGTGCTGGGACAGGTCCAGAGCCACCTGCAGGGACAGCAGAACATCTGGGGGCCAGGCCACCGGGTGGAGGGAGCCAGGGCTGGGTCCCAGCTCGGTGACCTGTGAAGGCACCCAGATGGCAGCTGTGCTCCTTCCAGACTCTAAACCCACAAAGAGTGGACCACACTGATGCGCAAGAGATACTCGCCATCAACAGCAGCTAACCAGTAGGTAGCAAGTGCCAATCACTGCCCAGGAGGAGAGGCCTTGGAGCTGTGCATGCCACACACGCTTTAATTTCTTACGACAGTCCCAACTGGGTAGCATTTTCTTTCTAATGAAAGCAATTTGTAAAGAGCACAATAAAATGTGGTTTCATTTTAATTCTCGTTTGTTTTTTGCACTGAGCCAGCACGTTCTTGTCTTTAAGACCTTCACACCCCAAGACTGCTCTCTGATGTCCAGGATTCCCCAGGGCCTTCTCATAACATTTTTCTAAAGGGAAAAGATCCCTTTAGAAATTACTAATTATTGTTTGTTTGAAATATCAATTGTTGGGGGCAAGAGCAGTCTTCCTTATGGAAGCTTGAGTCACAGATGTTTAAAGAACTGTGATTTTATTGCGTTCAAATACATATGGTAACAAATTTCATGGGTAGGATACAAACAAAATAAACCTTTGGAATTGGGTAAACTTCTAAACAGCAGGCTAACTCTGAGCCCAGTATGTGCAGTAGTCAGAGGGGCCCTTTGGTCAATGTGTATAGTTATAAGAAGATCTGAAAACGTTTCTTAACGTGGGGCTCTCTGAAGGCAACAAGAGGCCTTGTTGAGATGACAATGTCCCCACATTAGAAATGGGAAGAGAAGTTCTGAGCATAATCGGACAGGCCATCTGCAAATGGCAGGCACGGACTTCTGTTACTGACGTCTCACTCTTCACCATGGAGCAGGTGGCGCCCCCTAGCCTTTTTTCTTATATTTATAAAGCTTCCTATCTAGACTCCGAATCAGAAAAATATACATCAGTCATCATTATTTTTTTTAGAAAGAAATAAAGAGAAAGCACTAGCTAACCTGTATTGCATAGGTATTATGTAGTGTCCACACAGATTGCCTCATTTATCTTCAGAGAAACACTGAAATAGCAGCTATTCTCAGGAGACTAAGAGATGCGGCACCGTACACTACAGTTGCCTGCATTGGAATCCTGGCCCCACTGCACCAAACCTTTCCCTGACCAAATTTCCTTACTTGCAAAATAATAATAACAACAATAATAATAATACCACCAACTTCAGGGGGGCTGTTCTGAGAACTGAAGGGGTTAATGTTATTAAAATGCCATAACAGTGACTAGCACATAGTAGGTACATAAGTGTTTACTTAAAAATAAAGCTCCCAGGCCGGGCGTGGTGGCTCACACCTGTAATTCCAGCATTTTGGGAGGCCAAGGTGGTCAGATCACAAGGTCAGGAGATCAAGACCATCCTTACCAACATGGTGAAACCCCGTCTCTACTAAAAATATAAAAAAATTAGCCTGGTGTGGTGGCGGGCGCCTGTAGTCCCAGCTACTCAGGAGGCTGAGGCAGGAGAATGGCATGAACCTGACAGGTGGAGCTTGCAGTGAGCCAAGATTGTGCCACTGCACTCCCGCCTGGGCGACAGAGCGAGACTCCATCTCAAAATAATAAAAATAAAGTTCCTGGTTGGGCGCAGTGGCTCACGTCTGTAATCCCAGCATTATGGGAGGCTGAGGTGGGCGGATCTCCTGAGGTCAGGAGTTTGAGACCAGCCTGACCAAAATGGTGAAACCACGTCTCTACTGAAAATACAAAATTAGCCAGGCATGGTGGTGCATGCCTGTAATCCCAGCTAATTGGGAGGCTGAGGAAGGAGAAATGCTTGAACCTGGGAGGTGGAGGTTGCAGCGAGCCAAGACAGTGCCATTGCACTCCAGCCTGGGCAACAAGAGTGAAACTCCGTCTCACAAAAATCAAAATAAATAAATAAATATAAAGCTCCTATCTTGTAGCTGGAGAAACTGAGGCTTAGAAGTGAAATCATGCCTCCAGATCACACAGCTTGCATATGCCTGAACTGTGCTACAAATCCCAGCTTAGTGTGGCTCCAGAACCTGGGCCCTTAGCCACTGGTCCCACGCTAAGCACCACTGCATGGGCATGGGGCACTTGGCTCCAACCACTGGGACCCCAGCCCCTTGGTACTCAAGGACTGTGGT
The DNA here is from genome assembly GCF_000001405.40 of Homo sapiens. Taxonomy (NCBI): domain Eukaryota; kingdom Metazoa; phylum Chordata; class Mammalia; order Primates; family Hominidae; genus Homo; species Homo sapiens. Next base: position 180,179,974 of record NC_000001.11, on the reverse strand, counting down.
GGGAGGGGAGGGAAAAGACCTGATTCCAATCACCATTTATCACCTCTACATAACAGGCATGACCCCAGGCATGAACTGGGACCCCAGAGGGTCAGGCACTCCTTAAGCCAAGCTGTCTTTCCCCTCCCCAACCCCTGTGCCTCCTCTCTCAGGGCTGAGAGGCCTGGAGACAGCATCTGGCTTCAGCTCAGACTCTCAGCTGTGCTTGTTGAGTTTCAGCAGGAAAATCACTCAGGCTGACAGTGCAGTTTAATTTCATGCCTACTCTCATGCCTGTCTCCCTGCACTGACTTGGAGTATCTCCCGTGCACTGGCACGTCCCACCTTTGCAGCTGGGAAAAGCTCACAACTGGTCTATGGAGAAGTCCATGAACCAATGGCAGAATGGTGAGCTCTCTGCATTAGGCGAGGGGAATGGATCCTTATAAAGCACCTACTATGTGTCAGCTGCAATCCAGGCCCTTTACATAAACTGCTGCATTTGACCTTCCCAACAATACTACGGAGAAACGTAATCATCCCTGCTTTCTAGACAGGGCACTGCAGCTGGAAGCGCTGGGGAGCTGGCTCACGGATGCCCCACATGAGACAGACCGGCATCTGGGTAAAGGACCCCATTTCCTCCGGTGGGGCTAGGGCGTCGCTAATGTTCCCTCCCTCCCAAATATTTCACTCCAGTCCCATGGAGTGGGACACTGTGGAAACAACATTGGCTTTGGAGCCAGACGGACCTGGTTCAAAGCCCTCTTCTACCAACTTACTAGCTGTGTGATCTTGGGCATGCTATTTGATCACCTTCATTAATTTTGGGGATTAGCAGCTACGTGTGTCAGCAATCTGGTCCAATGCTCAATAACAGCAGGTGTTATATTTGATTTCCGTGAAGGAGATAAGAATAAACAGCAAGGTTTTGAAACGCAAAGGTCCAGCTCCTGCACTTCCCATGGCTCCCAGCAGGGGTCAGGCCAATGCCAGGCTAAAAGACCCAGGCAGCCAAGACCCTAGAATTGGCAGGAAAAGCCCTGCTCCCAAACTGGGGCTCTCTCTCCATGGCTATCCAAGAATTGCAGGGAACTTCAGGGCAGCTCACCTCTCTACCCAGGTAGGAGCCTCCCTTTTCAAAGATCAGAGCCAGGTACTCTTCGTTATTTCTCGCAAAGAATCCATCAATCTCCTCCAGCCTGCAAGAGACAATTCTGGCAGTCACTCTGCACAGCCAGCAGAAATAAGACAAAACCGCTGGCAACGCCAGACGCTGGTGATGCAGTGCTGCAGGTATGGCCATCCCGCCCTCCTCCGCTTCCACACAGGGCCCTCCAAGGGAGTCAACCAAACCTTTAGTCTCAAAGGATGTTGCTCTTGTTATCTAACCCTGGCTCTTCATCTGACCTACCTTGGGTGCTTGGTTTTGTTTTTGCTTCCTGTCTCTTTTTAAAAGTCAGGAGTGGGCCGGGTGCGGTGGCTCACGCCTGTAATCCCAACACTTTGGGAGGCTGAGGCGGGTGGATCACCTGAGGTCTGGAGTTCGAGACCAGCCTGGCCAACATGGTGAAAGCCCGTCTCTACTAAAAATACAAAATTTAGCTGGGTGTGGTGGCGGGCACCTGTAATCCCAGCTGAGGCAGGAGAATCACTTGAACCCGGGGAGTGGAGGTTGCAGTGAGCTGGGATTGCACCATTGCACTCCAGCCTGGGCTACAAGAGCAAAACTCCGTCTCCAAAAAACAAACAAACAAACAAAAAGAGTCGGAAGTGGGTAGGAGGCCGTGTGGGGAGGGGGACTGGGAAGGGCTGCTTTGAGACCAGTTGTCTCCATGTGCTGGGGCAGGCCCAGGCTGACTGGATGTGGTTTTTATTGGTCCCCTGAGAGCTGGGGGGTATTAGAACCCAACAGCTATAAGTCTGGAACTGTGACAAGTCACGACCAAGGGGGAGATGTGCTCCTTCCTCCCTAGAGCAGGCATTAAAAAGCAATGAAAGAATCAGAAAGCCTTGGGTTCAGGAGACCTTAGAAGCCATCTATATCTCTAACCCAATCTCCTTATTTTAAGATGAGGAAACTGAGGCCCAGTTTCCAAAACAAAACAAAACATATCCAAAACAAAACAAAACAAACAAAAACATGGTATTGATGCTGGAGCCCAGCCAGTGACAGTCCAAATGGATATGCTAGACAGGTGAGGGCCAGAGTGCACCCCGCTGGGGTGGAGGAAAAGAGGTGTTGAGCCTTTAGGGTGGCATCAGGTGGCCAGCCTCTCAGACCTCTTCCCTGGGTCTTCCCTAGGCTGGCAGAAGAGCACAACCTACATGGGGGCCAGTACCCCTTTCCCCACTCCCACCCTCAGACTTCAGAAGAGGCAGCTCACCTTTCATCACACATCTCTACCTCCTTCCTAAAGTTCTTTAAAAGGATTGCTTTGGGCTGGGTGCAGTGGCTTATGCCTGTAATCCCAGTACTTTGGGAGGCCAAGGCAGGCCGATTGCCTGAGCTGAGGTGTTTGAGACCACCCTGGGCAACATGGTGAAACCCCATCTCTACTAAAAATACAAAAAATTAGCCAGGCTTGGTGGCAGGCGCCTGTAGTCCCAGCTACTCGGGAGGCTGAGGCGGCAGAATTGCTTGAACCCAGGAGGTGGAGGTTGCAGTGAGCCAAGATCGTGCCGCTGCACTCCCAGCCTGGGCAACAGAGCGAGATTCTGTCTTCCAAAAAAAAAAAAAAAAAAGGATCACTTTGAGAGACCTTGGCAGGATTGCTTGAGCTGTTGCTTTTGAGATACCCCAGGGCTGAAAATGTGCCATGAGGATGTACGTGTGTGTGTAAGGAGGGAGATGGAAACACAGTCATTGAGAAATAGAAGCAGCAAGGACCAGGGCACAGGCTGACATGGGTGTTTTCTGGAGAGACAGGGTCTGGCTGTGGAACCCCAAACCACATAAAGACTATGCTGTATCCAGGGTCCCCTGGAGGCCCTCTGGAGGATGGAAAATTGGGAAAGATGACAAAGGAGTCATTGTGAGTTGGATTCAACCCCAACTGACACTTGGAAACACAATCTCTCAGCAGGGCCATGTCTCTGAGAGCACCTGCACACAAACTTTTAAGAGAGCCTCTGCGCACCAACAGCGGCCTTGTGAGGCCTTCTTAGCACCTGGGGCCTCCACTGTGTACAAGGCTGGGCTCCCTCTAGCAGCTCCTGCTGGTACATGGATTTGTTCCTTCTTGGCAAGAGTCCTCCGAGGTGGGCATTATCCTATCTTGAGTTCTGATCCAGAAGTGGGGGGCCTAGTGTTTTTAATCTAGCTGTCTCTTCTTTGGGAAAGTATGGGCAAGACCATGCACCTTACTGTCTTCATTTTCCTGGAAAAGAGGCAAGCTGGGAAGCTTGCCTGGCTGACAGATACAGAGCACCGGCCACTGCACCTGATGCTCTGCCATACAGAGAGCCAGGGGCCACCCCCATGCCCCAGGCATGACCACCTTCTCTCCACCTCCCCCCAATTTCCCTCAAAATATTTGATCTCCTTTTTCCTCCTCATGCCATTCTGACTCTCAGTGGCCTTCCCGGGGATAGAGCATGTGAAATCCTGCTGCGTCCCGCAAACATTTTGAGGGAAGGTAGCAAGAAACAGCAGCAGGTACAACCTGGAGAAGCCCCATCCATCTTTTCCTTCCCACCTGGTGGGATGGACCCTTGCACCATCAGTCAGCCCCAGAAAAACAGGGCTCTTCAGCAGGACCTGTGCGATAGGAAGCCCACCACCAGCCATCAGCTGCCACTTGGTTCTGGAGTAGCTCCAGCAGACTGGTGTGTGAGCCCCACAGGCAAAGGCAGCAAGGAAAATAAACTGGGGTCCCCGCCCTGCTGTTCCCACCACCCTCTCACTCCCAGGCCTGGGATCCTGGCCCACAATGCACTAAGCCTGCCCCAGCCCAAAGTACTTGGCAGGCTCCAGTGGGGGACAGGCTGGGGGCCACGTGTCATGATGGGACTCCAGGGCGTCAATGAGCCTCTCCCGCAGTGTCTGCACGTCAGCACCAGCCACTGTAAATGAAAACAGGCGTGAGCGGAGTGTCAGGAGAGCAGAGCTGCTTCCACAGCACACTGGCCACCTTCACTCCCAGAAACAAAGGGCCGAGGGCACAGCCAGCTCTGACAGAGACAGACGAGGCGTCAGTCCTTCCCTGTGCTAGAAGAATGGGGCTTGAGTAGTCCTCCTGTGGCCCCAAGTAGTGCAAGGACACCCATCCCTCAGACAGGAAAGAATCCCTCAGAACTGGGAGTCGTCAGGACTTTCCCCAAGGGCTCTGGTCTGCTCTCTGGGCGCCAACCCCATTGTGACAGAAGAGCTCTTCTGGGAACATGGTGCCCCTGCCCCGACCCTAGGGCCCTGGATATGTCCAACCTGAAGGGCTTCTTCATCCTGCCTTTCCCTAAAGCTGACTGGGAGGATAGTTTTGGGAAGACACAAGTTAGGCTTCCCGTGGGGACCGCCTCACCCTCGACCCTGCCGACTGCCAGGGCTTTCTCCACCCCAATAGAAACCCAGGTGAAGAGGGAGGTTGGGGGAGGAAGATGCTAACAGGACAACCAGAGCTGGGCACCCACCTGGAAATACTGCTCCCGAGCCGTTCTTGGTAAAGGCCTTGAAGAACTGGAAGCAAACACACAGGTGGGCATCAGTAATAGATAGTGGCCAAGAGTGCAGCCACGCAGGCCTGCTCTGAAAATCTGCCTACTTATTCAATGCGGTGGCTGGGCAAATCACTTAATGTTGTTGAGCCTGTTTCTTTTTTCTTTCTTTCTTTTTTTTTTTTTGAGACAGAGTCTCGCTCTGTCGCTCAGGCTGGAGTGCAGTGGCGCGATCTCGGCTCACTGCAAGCTCTGCCTCCCAGGTTCAAGGGACTCTCCTGCCTCAGCTTCCCAGGTAGCTGGGACTACAGGCGCCCACCACCACACTCGACTAATTTTTTTTGTGTGTATTTTTAGTAGAGATGGGGTTTCACTGTGTTGGCAAGGCTGATCTCGAACTCCTGACCTGTGATCTGCCCGCCTCAGCCTCCCAAAGTGTCAGGATTATAGGCGCCTGGCCGAGCCTGTTTCTTCATCTGTAAAATGGTGAATTGGGGGGAGTTGGGGGGAGGTTGCTCTAGGAGCTGGACACTGGCTCCCTCCCCTGTTACCCTCCCACACCCCTCAGAAGCATCCATGGATCCTGTGGGCAGCAGTTCATACACTTTCCTCCTCGAGGGCCATTTCTATGCAGCACAGTACCTAGCATGTAATTACTAACCAATATTTATCGAATGGATGAGTGATGAAGTACCACTGCTGTTTTCCTTTGCAGACTCATCTGAAAACATGAAGTGCAGGCACTTCCTACGTCCCTTGGGAAATGTCAGCTTGCTTCTATGTCAATGTGCCCTTGCTCCTTACTTGGGAAAAGGGGCTTACAGGCTGCTGTCTCTGTCCACTAAGTCCCAGCCCAGCACAGCAGACACAGTCAAGGAAGGGGTCTCCAGAACAGGTTCTCTTGAAGCGGGGACCTGAGTCCCTGGGGAAACATGCCTTGCTACAGACTAGCTGATTTAACTCACCACTTTGTCCTCTTTTCCCATGTACATGACACCCCAAGCCTAGTCTGTCACCTCCTTGGGGCAAGAGGACAGACCGAACAGAGCCTGACTCCTGGCAATCTGGGCTTCTGCCCAGGCGGCAAGACAGCTGCCAAGGCTTTTGCCTGCGCTCTTCCGATTCAGGAGGGAACACAGTTGAGTTGTCCTGGAAGCCGGCCACTGAACTGCCTAGGGGAGAGCCTGCAGGCTGGGAAGAGGCTTCTTCCTGTGGGACTCTAGCCTCGGGGCCACTTTTCACTACCTTGGACTTCTGCCTCCAACAGCCAAACACTGGTTTCCTTCTCCCTCCTTGGGATAGAGCTGTTTGGCCTTATCCCAAGCTGGCAGCTGAGAACAGGCCCCGGGCTCTGGCAGACCTCGTTCAAGGACTGGTTCTGCTTTGCTCTTGCTGTGTGACCTTGGGCAACGCATCAACTGCTCCGAACCTTTGTGTTCTCATCTTTGAAATGAGGATGACACCATCTACCTTGAAGACTTGTGAGGATTCCATGACCATACATCTAAAGTGCTTAGCATGGTACCTAGTGCATACATCAAGGAACTGGTACATGTTAACTGTACCATCATCACCCACCACCAGCATCCCCTTCCCTCCTTCATACCTTTTAAACACTAGGAACCATGATCAGCTAGGACTTGTTTGTTACAGACATTTGTAGGCAGAAAATCTGGAAGCCACCTGCTACCCTCTCCCACATGAGGAACAAAGGCTGCAGAGAAGCCACCTGTCTCTCCCCATCTGCAACCTTCTGCTCCCTGTGACCTCCCCCGGGCCCTTACTCCTGCTCACTGCTTTACTCTCTCTTTTCAAAACATTAATATAAACTTTTATTGTGGATGAAAACCATCCACTTATACATACCACACATATTTAAATAGCGTTCTTTACAGTTATTTAATTTTATTGGCCTATTAAAATTATGTTATCCTAATACTTAAGAAAATGATCATAAATTTCCTTGATTAGGAGATCGTATTGATAATGTAAGTTACGGCATTTATGGACTGACACTTTTTCATGAACAAAATTGAAGATACATCTATTTGGGGTTTGGTTTGCCGACAAATAATAAACCAGGTCAGGTGCAGTGGCTCGCACCTGTAATCCCAGCACTTTGGGAGACCTAGGAGGGAGGATCACTTGAACCCTGGAGTTCAAGACCACCCTAGGCAACACAGTGAGGCCCCATCTCTACAAAAAGTTAAAAATTAAAAATAAATAAAATTTAAAAACAAAAAAGAAACCCGAGGGTGATGTTGCGCTGCAGTTATTCATGGTGATGGTGCTCTTGTTTATTTACAGACAGGTTACACTTTGACTGGTTTCTACATATATGAGAACAACACTGACATCATGAAGCCTTGAGATGGGTGGCTTTCCCACAGCTACAGCTGTTATTTTCACCTCTGAAAAGTAATATGGTCATTTTTTTGTCATCAACCATCAGGTCACCCACATCTGAGCAGGTGCCCATATTAAAAGAGGCTTGCATTACTTCTACCAAAAGGCAGCCTCTCCAGGACGGGTGCAGTGGCTCATGCCGGTAATCCCAGCACTTTGGGAGGCCGAGGTGGGCGGATCACTTGAGGTCAGGAGTTTGAGACCAGCCTGGCCAACAGGGTAAAACCCCGTCTCTACTAAAAATATAAAAATTAGCCAAATTTGGTGACATGCACCTGTATCCCAACTACTCAGGAGACTGAGGCAGGAGAATTGCTTGAACCTGGGAGGTGGAGGTTACAGTGAGCCGAGATCATGCCACTGCACTCCAGCCTGGGCGACAGAGAGAGACTCTGTCTCAAAAAATAAAAAAATTTTAAAAAGGCAACCCCTCAAGATCCCTGCAGCCACAAGCAGCTTGGAGTCTGACCAGGAACCTCGGTCAGCCAGAGTGGCCCAGGGGGATGCAGGGACCCCAAGAGCCTCTCCCCAGGATGCAGGCTGAAGGGAAGGCCCTGCTGCACCTCAGCTGTTCCCTTCTGTCCTCAGAAGCTTCGCACCCACCTCCCAGGCCAATGTCTCCTCCGAGTTCTGGCTCCCACGCCTCACGCTCTTCAGGAACTTCTTCCTAGCCATCTCTCATCATTCCTCTTTTCTACTACAGCCGCCCAACTAGGCCTACAGATAGATTCGAATCCTTCTAGTCTAACCCTTAAAAAAGGAAAGGATGGGAAGGGAAGGAGGATGGGGATGAAGAGAGGCCCTCCTTCCTTCTCGAGTAACCGCATTTCCTTCCCGTGTCCCCATGCTGCCAATGTTCCTGGAACAGCGTCTGCCCTTGCTCCTCAGACTGCTCTCTGGCCATCCCCACAACCCTCAGTTGAAGCCGTTCTAGGGAAGCTCCTTGGTGACCTTCTCTTCAGCCACTCCAGTGATCTCTCCCCGCCCTCCTGGCCTCTCTCTGGTACAGATGTTATTACTGCCTGCTTTGTCTTCCCATGGCGAGCATTTGTCAACTTTCGTGCCACATTTTGTGGTTGCTCTCCTTTGTTGCTTTCACGTTGCCACCCTCCCCTGGTTGGCTTGACACTGACCAGCCTTACTTGGCCCCCTTGCCCTGGTCCTAGCTTCACTTTCGACTGCTCTCCTGTGCCCACTGTCCACCCCCATCTCCTACCCCGGTCTCTCCTACAGACACATGTCAGGTCCTGACACTCTTCTGTTTAAAAAGCTGTTGAAGGCACTGTCACAAAGAAGTTGCTCAATCTTGCTTCTAAATGATGAGTGGATAAAGGGATCAATGAACAAACCTATCATTTCTCCCTTGCCAAAGCCAATGACTTTGTCCAAATGATTTGCCATCTGAACCCTCTGCATCTCAGACCTCACCTGTCCTAGACTCCTGGTTCTTCCTGATGGCCTCCACTCAGGTGTCTGGATACTGCCCCTCCCCCACCATCCCCAAGACTGAATCACCCCTCTCTCAACCTGCTTTGCCACTTGTGTTTACCTCACCCAGCAACCAGTCCCCCTCCCTGCCACCCACACCATCCCCCTCTTCAAAAACCCGTCATCCAGTTAGCTGACAAGTCCTATGAATTTGACCTCCGTGTTACCTCTTCAAAAGTCCTCTCCTTCTCCACCTGCCTTGTCTAGACCAGGCCCGACAGATGATGACGTATTTTTGGGTCACTGCATCAGTCCCCACCTTTCATGCTCTCAGAAGTTTTAGTATGCTCAATCTTTTCATACTCCAGCTATCTTCCTCACTGCTACTAAGGTTAGTTTTCTAAGGCACAGTTCTGGTCTGAACATTTTGCTCCTCCTCAAATCTCTTCCATGACTCCCCACTGTCAATGAATAATGTCCAAACTCACTGCATTCAAGGCCTTCCAGGCTCCAAACCCAAACTCACCTCACATTGCCCTCCACTCCCGCCACTCCAGCTGCAATGAACTTCAACCTGAATCCACCACTCACCCATGCACCCACCTCTGACCAGGAAGCAGGACGACATTTTATTTATCTCTGCAAGCTCCACAGTGTCTGGCATCTCTCAATAGACATCTGTTCAGCTGAACAGAGAATCTCTGCCCTTTGACCATGCTGGAAGCCCATGCGGAAATCAAGTCAGGGCACATTTTTGTCCTCTGATTAAAATGTATCCTTATTAAGTCAACCACTGGGGCGTGTGCCCTGCCCAAGGGAAACCACCACAGCTCCCTGGAAGCAGGCAATTAAGACTCTGGGAGTGTGTTGCTTTTCTCCAGGAGCAGTCAGCACCCAGCCCTTTTCTTTCATCACTTTACACAGGAGCTACTGGAAGACCTCTAGCTGCTCCCTAATGGCAGAAAACCAGGCAACACCAGGCTGGTCTTCACGAAACTATGGAGTGACTGCTATCTTGGGGCCAAAAGAGCTCAAGAGAAAGCACACTTCCCAGGGGTGACACCGATGGCATTCAATTCCAGCTTTTATAACGTTTTAAGGAAAATGGTCCAGCCTCCAGATATTTTTATGGTAAGCCCATGAGGATCCATTACCTTAACCACTTCCAACACCGTGGATTATCCATGGAGAAGACCTCAAAAACAGCAGCTGACTGCTGAGAAAGGGGCCCACCTCCTTTTTCCAGAGAGAGACAGGAGACATCCTGGAGTCCTGTCTTCCTCCCTGACATCTCACCTTCTAGCAAAAGCCACAGAAGGTAACAGCCCAGACTCTGTACCCTCACAGGGCGTCCCTGCTTCCAAACCTGCATTCAAGGACCTGCCATTTCTGGGCTCCCTCCTCCCCCAGCTCTGCCTCATCCCTCAACATGAGCCTCTGCCCAGCTGGACGAGTCTCCTCAACACGCCACCTCGCCCTGCCCACAGAGGGCCTTGGCTCTCACCTTCTCGCCTGCCTATAAGGCCCGCCCACATTCCTCCTCTCTCCCAGCCAAACCCCATCTGTCCTTCAACACCAAGTAGAAGTCCCCTCCTACACACACTCCTCTCTGACCAGTGAAAGAGCTCCGTGAGCCCAGCAAACTCCTGTGGCATACCCTGGGTACCTATCCCTGGCCGCCTCTCACTGGCCATGGGCTCTGGGGATCTCACGCTCCTGGCCACGCCTGCAGTGGTGAGTGCGGTGCTGGGCACCCAGCAAGTAGGCCCGCAGTGGCTGCTGACAGATGGATGGACTGCCACACAGTCCAGCAGCAGCCACACACCAGCTACCAGCAGCCCCACGGGTGGCCCAGGAGTGAGATGGGACAACGGGAAGGAAGCAAACTAACTTTTACTGAAGTCCAAATCACACTAGCATGGTGGCACTTGCATATGGGAGACCTCACTTCACACTTGGCAACGGTCCTCTTAGGTGGATGTTATCATCCCATGTTTACAGACAAGGAAACTGGGGCCCACGGCTGGGGCACTGATAAGTGACTTTCCAAGCCACACACAGTAAGCAGAGAGGCCTGGATTTGAAACCACATCACTGATCTCCTCAGAGCCTCGAAGAGAGAAGACCTGCCCTTCCCCACCCCTATGCTGCTGTGCTGTGTACCCCTTGCTCCGGCCAGGCCTTCGGCCATAAAAAGTCCCATTCTATTCCCACTGAAGGGCACTCCTGAGGCCCACGGAGAAGCCCCTTGACCCGGAAGTTCCAGCCTCTAGGTTGCCAAGCTCCAGCCAGAACCTGCAGCCAACCAGCCCCTCCCTCTCCCACGCCTTTGTTTCCTTCCAGCTGGGCTCTGGCTCCAACCTGATGGGGACCTGACACAGCTGGCCCGCCCTTCAGGGCCCAGGTGTTTGCTAAACAGGCTGGGCTGGTAGAAGCTCACTGTTTGCTCATAGTGACAAGGGGCTGGAGACAGAAGAAAAGGACAGTCACACATGCCACTCAGGGAGGCCAGACTTGTGTGTGGGCCTGTCCCCATCATACCAAAAGCACTCTCTCCTCCCCCTGCTTCGCATGGGCCCTCGCTTTTCAGCTCTTCATGGACAGAGTGCAAGGACAGGCTCCAGCCCCCAGAGGGCAGCAGGCAGGGCAACAGGGCTATGTCTCTGGCCCACCAGCAGTCTCCAGGTCAGCCTCTGCCAAGGGCACACAGGTTCTTCATGGCCCCGAATCTCTGGATATTGGAATCTGTTTGAGTAGTGTTTTCCAAACACTAGAAACAACCTTGTAATGAGCTGTCAAATCAATGTATTTAATCACAGCCGGATTTAAAAAAAAAAATAGAACAGAAAATATCACAGTTTAACTGCACTTAGTAAGAATCTTGTTTTATGAAACTTCTGGTTTAATGATAATAGATACATACCAACTTTGGGATCACAATGTAAAAATGTGTATTGCTTACAGTTGGTCACAGTAAGAAACTATTTGAGAGCCGCTGCATAGGACCTCAGAGCAGAGACCTGCCAGCTCAAGCCACTTGGCCTATGGACTGGGCACTGGGTGCCTCCCCCTGGCCAAAACTGAGCCACAGGTTCCTCAGGAGAGGCAGGAAAGGCTTTGCCGGGGGAGGCCACCGTGTTGGTCTGTGGACAGATGACTACCAGACTGGCCCTGCCAGGTGCTGCCCGTCTGGAGGCAGGGGAGGGCTGAGGAGCCCAGCGAGGGCCCTCCCAGTGCCCCTCCCACAGCCAGCCAGGCAGTTCAGGAGATGGTGACTCACCTGAGGCATCCAGGCTGCGTGCGCTGCGTGACATGGGGTGGCGCTGAGGAGCCTCTGACCTCCTGGGCCTAGGCCGCCTCCTTCATCCCTGCTGTGCCCAGCCTCTCCCAGGCAGAGTCAGAAAGCTCAGGTGTCAGGCCCTACAGAACTCCAATCGGTTGTCTTGCCCTGGCTGCTGTACCAGTGTCAACCCCTCCCCTGGGGGCTGGGCAGTGGCTGCACCCCTGCGGCTCATGCTCACTGGGAGAAAAATATCAGCCTGTGAATGATGGTTCCTTGTGCCACACTAACTTGCCCACAGCTTCCCACTCAGGGCCACTCACCCTGGTTCAGCCAAAGGAACAGAGTGCCCTGTTTGAATATTCTCAATTACACACCTTAGGGCCAAAGATAGCACCATGTCCCTGCCAGGAAGGCCTTTCATTTCAAAGGGATGATTGACATGCAGACTCTCTGCTGCCACTTTTCAATGACACGGCAGTAGCTGTTGGTTCGCTATCAGGAGACCAACCTGGTCTCAGCTAAACCTGGGGCCTGGGGGGCCCTGACCCTATGTGGTAACAGTTTAGGAAGGGACTTCTATTAGGTGTGGAAACCCTGAATCCAGTGGGGGTTGCACTGGGCTCGAGGAACAGAAAGGTCACATGGAGTTAGAGCTGGATGTTCCTGGTGGAGCCACGGCCTTACTTCCCGGATGGATGCTGCTGGGGTAATTAAGCTGAGTTCTGGCTCACAGTTCTGCTTGAAACTTGGCTGCCCCTACCCCCAGCTCAGAGGTATCTTGTTCCAGGGACAATGCTTGGCATTTCAGCTTTCAAAGGCATTTCCTAATAATCCTTAATGGCTACAGAAGAAACTGGTTTTCTAGATGCCATTCTGGTGGGAGGGTACATATTATTTATAGCTGGTGCTACAGAGACAGAGATTTGAATTTGGCTTCTCTAATCTGGAAGAAAACTAATTGGATTGGAGCCAGGCCTGAGCCCAGGGGAGGGCCCTCACCATAACTGCAGCAGCCTTGCTGCCCTGGGCTATCCAGGGCCTCCTATTTGAGAGCCTTGGAAGCTGTTCAGACGTTAATTAAGCTGTTGATGCCCTGCACTGGGCAGGCTGGCAGGTAAGGCATCATCAGAGATCTCGTGCCACTTTCCACCAGAGCGGGGGTGACAAAGCCCTCATGCCTTGGGTGTGATAACTCCCGTGCCGGGGATCCCTGCTGCCTGAGGCACTGACATTCTGACAGTGGGGTGAGGCTACCCTGACAGGTCCCTTCTTAGCTACCTGTGGTTCAAGGCATTTTTGCCTGAGGAGGCTGAGGCTTGCCAGAGTGTCTGGGGTCCCTTTGTGGGGGACCACTAGGCTTCTAGAGTCTGACCCTGCCCACAGGTGGGTCAGAGCCTGAATCCTGGTTTTATAGAGTTAGATCAGACCTCTTAAGGCTTGGAGGTCAAGAGGGAGAGCAATTGAAGAGGACCTTGGGAGGTGGGAGCTCTCACCAGCCCAAGTGATGATCACCTCCCAGCTCAAATCAGAGCAGCTGAAATCTGCCCATCCCGACACATCCCACATGGTCCCTTTCCCTTATAAAGGGAAACAAAGCAGGCCCAGCCTGCCTTCCCCTCCTGTCAGTCACACACCCTCACAGTCGGGAAGCCAGGGATGTTGAAGTCTCTGCAGACTGCACTGTTGGTCTCCTCAGCACAGTCCAGGGCGGCGAGATACAGGGCCGGCCTCCAGGCTGAAAGGACAAAAAACCCAGGGGTAAATAAGAGGGGCTGGTACCCCCTCTGCCCGCCCATCTCCCCTAATGCAATGCCTCACCCCTGCCAACCTCAAAGCACCTGATCCCAAAGCTCTTATGACAAAGGTCACACCTTCCTTGGAAAAGGACCTCTGAGATATTCCAGTTGGTCTGCATTTCTAGCGTCTCACAAAAGGGAACCTGTGTTTTGGATGATTAGCATAAGTCATACTGCCTCATAATGGTATCTGTTTCTCCATTACTAATCGGGGCCAGGGATGGGGGCTGAGAGATGTTGAAGGAGTTTGCCCTGCTCCTCGCCATCCCCCCAGCCCCCCACCCCCCAGGAAAAGCCCTGGTATTGCCTTTGTCCCTGGGGCTCTAAATGGGATCAGTTCCAGAGGGTGGAGAACATGCCTTAGGGGATCTGGAATTCCCCAGGGGACCCTTAGGGAAGTTTCCTGGGGCCAGAGATACTGGTAGTGGGCAGAGCTTGAGTGACTGGGGTAAAGGGTATCAGGAACTGGGTCCCCAGACAGAAACAGGAGCATCTGGAATCCAGGAACTGCGGGGAAAGAAGCCTTGAGGCCAGAGTCTGGCCCCTGCATCAGGCCCCGGGCCACAAGGCTGCTGGCCGCTGAAACATTGGCAGAGAGAATAATGGCACCATTCTGGGCCACAGCCCAGGAACTGAGAAGAAACAAGCTCATATACCAGGCAGCTCTCCTGAGCTCAGGTTCCAGGTCAGGTGCCCCGTGAGCATCCACCAAAGTTCCACCCACATGGAGGCTGCTCCAGCTGGAAGCCAAGGTGCGCACAGAGGAAGACACACAAGCCGTGAGAGGGCAGTGGCAGGGGCCAAATCATGTGGCACAGAACTCTCAAGTTTGGAGAGGTCGGCCCTGCAGACCAAGGCATGGGCTCAGCAGGAAAGGTGGAAACAGAGTTGAACCTAGACCGTCGGTCCAGTGGGCAGGGAACTGCCTGAGCAAGGTGGAGGAGGAGAGGACTGGCAGAAACCAGGCTGCCTGGAGAGGAGGGTTTTTGGGAGGCATGGGAGCCAGAATAGAAGGGAGCAAGAAGAGACCAGACTGGGAGTGTCTGCCTGGACAGCTCAGGATGACGTCCATGGCAGCTGGACCCACATGCGTCTCTGAAGCAGATGAGAGGAGGAGGAGGCCTGCCTGGTGGCAGGCACAATTCCCATTTGAAGCTCATGCCCCAGGGGCAGGGAGTGGAATTTACACAGGCAGCCCACCCAGCACCCATTAAGTACAGAACACTAATATCTGAATAACATCCCTGATAGTCACAGTTTTAGCAGGACCTCTGACCCCACCTGATATGGTCTGGATCTTGTCCCCTCCAAATCTCATGTTGAAATGTGATCTCCAATGTTAGACGAGGTGAAAGGTATTAGATTAGGTAGTGAAAGGTATTAGATCTTGGGGGCAGATCCCTCATGAACAGCTCGGCACTGCCCCCTTGATAACGAGTGAGTTCTCACTCTGAGTTCTCATAAGATCTGATTGCTTAAAATAGGGTGGCACTTCCCAACCCCCTCCTGCTTCCTCTCCTGCTTTGCCTTCTGTCATGAGTAAAAGCTCCCTGAGGCCTCCCCAGAAGCTAAGCAGATGCTGTGTACAGCCTCCAGAACCCTGAGCCAATTAAACCTCTTTTCTTTATAAATTACCTAGCCTCAGGTACTTACTTTTATCAATGCAAAAACACCCTAATACTCCACCCTAGAACTTACTCCTTACGACGTCTCAGAAGAACACAATTTCAGAAGGTATCAGAGCTCCTAAGAACACGTTACGCCTGGGGAAGGAGTGTTACCCTCACCTC
This sequence comes from Homo sapiens, assembly GCF_000001405.40. Taxonomy (NCBI): domain Eukaryota; kingdom Metazoa; phylum Chordata; class Mammalia; order Primates; family Hominidae; genus Homo; species Homo sapiens. The sequence continues at coordinate 180,164,639 of NC_000001.11, read as the reverse complement.
CACGAGACAGATGCAGGAAGAGCCTGGCACACCCTGACGCATCCCTGGAAAGAAGGCAACTAAGCTGGCCCTTCTTGGGGCTGATACAAGGGAGGGGGCTCTGCGAGCTGGGAGGAAGGCCTGTGGCCACACCACCCCCTTCTTTCCCCCACCTTTCTTGCTGGTAGTCTGCTTTTGGCATTGTAGCTTCTGGACTCCTCGAAGGAGGGAGGTGGGTGGGGGGTTGGGAAGAGGAAGTAGATGGAGGTATTTACCAGAGTCAGACGTCAAAAGTATTTAGCAGAGTGAGGTGAGCTACATCCTATGATGCCATTTCCCCAACCTCCTCAACACCCCCCCACCACACACTTTTTGGGGAGCCTTCTTGACTCCCTTAGCACACAAGGATAGCAACTTGAGCCTATCCAAGTATCTGCAAGCTGGGGTGCATCCTTTGGCTTTAAACCTCACCTGCAAGGCAGCCTGCACAAAGGCAGGTATGGTCAGGGCCTGTTGCATGCCAGGCCCAGGATGCAATCCCTCTGCCCCTACCAGGGGATTGCTGATCCCCACCTGCCTCCACATCCTGTCCACTCTCCTCTGAAGTCTCTTCCCTCACCCAAACCTCCATCTCTTCATGCCTGTCCTAGGTTGGCATGAACCCGTGATCTGGTTTTTTACTGACCTCACCTCCAACCTACCCTCCGTGTCCCATGAGCTAGTACAGGTTCTCATGGCAGGGCTTCCAGAGAAACATCAACATATTATTTCTCTCCTGGTGAGGTTCTAATGTGCTCCACCCCTCACTGCCCTCTCTAGCCACCAAATGATCTTTTCTTTCTGTGGATCTGATTATGTCAATCTCTATTCAACATTCTCTGGGGGCTCTAACTGACTTTAGAAGAAAATCTACAACCAGAAGGCAGTTCTTCATTTGGCCCCTGTCCACATATCCAGCCTCCTCTTACGGTTATTTTACGTTAAATTAAGTCATAGATATTCATAAAATATCATTTCTAAGTAAATTAAAATACTGAAACATTAATTGCTGAACATAAGTCTAAAGTATATATGCTTTGGCATCTTGTTTTTGTATGGCATAGAGAATATAATTGGGTCTGTAATAAGCATGAAAAGCTGAGGAAACATGTTTCTAGAAATTATGAAATGGTGAATGTTAATAGAAGACAGTTCACAATGCTTGCTAGTTTTCACTAGAAATTAAGATTACTAAGGAGTAAAAACTAATTAATATAAGCAACTAAAACTAAAAATAATAAGGGACATAATTCTGTATGCAAGGGAAGTATGGCACGGTTTATAAAGGAAGTCATAAAATGTAAGGATGTATTTTAATTAAGGGAAAAAGAGAGTCATTTTGTTCTAAAGTAGAGTGACTGGTTATTTCACAATGAGAAAGAGGAACAGTACAGGACAAACCAATGGATACAAGGAAGTTGTGAAGAGAAAAGAACTTCAAGTGTGGTCGAATGGGCTAACTTATAGTTTTTGTGTTTTTTTTTTTTTGATGAGCCTTAATATCAAAAGTACACTGATGAAAAATCAGAATTTGGTCCTCTCTGTTAAAACAAGGTTTTCTTGAAGTATTGATCTGTTCTTAAAAGGAAACAGTGAAAGGTTTTTCTGTACCTTTTAGGTAATTCTCCTAAAGAAAGATCCTTTGTTTCATCAAGATGATTCCCTGTGCTTCATGTTGTCTTTACTAGGTCCTTGATTACTTAAGAAAATGGAGTCCTCTCTATAAAAGAGCTGTTTTTTCTGCAACAATGTAACATTCTATATTTTCATTTTGAAGTCTTTTAATTATCATTCTGGTTAGATGAATGACTGTGACTTCACAGTGACCTGTGATCCTATTTTGATCAAGTGATTTTTTTTGTTTTGCTTTTTTGTTTTTGTTTTGAGATAAGGTCTCACTATGTCATCCAGGCTGGAGTGCAGTGGTGCGATCGTGGCTCACCTGTCCTCAATCTCCTGGGCTCAAGTAATTCTCCCACCTCAGCTGCTTAAGTAGCTGGTACCACAGGTGCACACCACCACACCTGGCTAATTTTTTAAAATTTTAATATAGAAATGGGGTCTTCCTATGTTGCCCAGACTGGTCTCGAACCCCTAGGCTCAAGGTATCCTCCTGCCTCGGCCTCCCAAAGTGTTGGGATTACCGTCATGAGCCACCATGCCCAGGCTGATTAAGTGTTTTAATTTTAAACCTTTGACATTTTGTACAAACTTCCCAAAATCAAATTCTAAATTAAGGCTTTCTGAACTTGAAGTAACTTTGGAACATTTCAGGGGGCCCTGGAACATCTCAAAGATTCTGCAAAGGGGAGATACTAAACTAGTTAGGCTCATTTGATGTATTAATTATATGGGAAGCATTGTCAAACAAGAAATGATGTTTAATCTTCTTTGAGTTATATTTATTGATGTATGTTTATACTTGCTATTAAGGTGTATCCCCAAAATTATATGATATTCCTAGAAATATGATACATTATCAGCCTTAATTTTGGTTATTAGGTTAAAATGTTGTATGCACAGCAATAACCAGATTTCCTTGTCAATTGTGTCATTATTACTATGAACTCTCATCAGATCTTTAACCACAACCATTTTAAGTCTTATTGTCTACAGTTAATTGCTTTATTCTGATGTTTTTCTAAAAGCTTTTTTCTAAGCAACTATAATCCTGAAGTGCTTCATCTTCAAGGAGATCCACGGAAACGTCTCTGATAAGTACCATTTCTGATAACTTCGAGATAATACGATTGGACTGGGAAAGAATTTCCAGAACTCTAATGAAAAAAACTGATGGGTCTGCAAAACTGATAACCAAGATCAAGCACAACAAGAATTAATTACATGAGACTAAATGAACTAATGAAGAATTATGGGTTTTTCTGGTTTTTAAATTTGAAACGTTGCTGGTTCTTTTTAATGTTTTGTTGTCCAGATTTAAGAAAACTTATTTTCTTTTAAGCTATCTATAGTTTACAGCAATTTGGTAAGTATACTCTTGTGAACAAAAATGGAAACATTTTCTCCCTACAAGACCTCTCTGGAATTCAGAAACTATTTGTGAATATTCCTATTTTTATGGCAATACTGTTATTTGCATAAGTTCAATAAGTATCTGCTCTCTTTACAACAGGATACAATAGGAAACACTGGTCATATTACCAAGGTTTTGAGTGTGATGCCATACTTGAGAATATACCTATGATGAATCTATAGGTACTGCAGGTGAAATCTGAAGTTGGGCTTGGGTTGACTTCCTAGCCTTGAGAAGTTGTTAAAAGTCCAATCTGAGATTCCTTATCGATAAGTTCTAGCAAAGCAAACTTAAGAAGAGCCTACGTGGTCAATCACTATTCTTGCCACACTTATGTAAATAATTAGGCCAAGTCTGATGTGACTAAATATTTTCTGCAAGCAAATTAGTCTGAATTTTATTTTATTTATTTTATTTTATTTTATTTTAGATGGAGTCTTGCTCTGTCATCCAGGCTGGAGTGCAGTGGTGCAATCTCGGCTCACTGTGACCTCTGCCTCCCACTTACCCTGATTATCTTTGGTAGAAATGGGGGTGACTATAGAGAGAAAAAATATGTTCCTAAAGAAAAACTATAGTACATCTGTTATTAGATTGTAGCCTTGTTGATCATTTTCAAGTTTTTATCATCTACCTATAAGATGGATTGAATTCTGAATTCTTCCAGTTTCTTCCAATAACTAGCTACAATTCTCCAACTAAGAACAGGAACTGTTCTGTGCCTAAAGCCCTATAAACAGAAGCTGAACAACTTGATATACATTTCAAGGGACAAGTCTCATGCCTGACGTGTACGCTACACAAAGAGTTCACCAAAATGCCCAATGCCATAACCAGAGACAATCAAACTGCAAACCAGGACAAGAAGTTGACAACTTCATGCTTTCCCAAAACTTCTGAACAAGAGTTTCATTGGAATAAGACTTCCACTTTATCCTTGATTACATCTACCTTTTTTTGTCTGGCAGGATAATGCTGTAGTTAGAATTTCACAATCAGTGGCTTCTGTGGGTAACTTCACAAACTGTTGGATTTGTCACGCTAAACCCAGATCTTTACATGACCAAAGGGATCCTTTAGTCTGCCCAGTGGGTAACTTCAGCAACATCCCTAACACAACTGTTGTTCAAACTGTACTAGTGGTCCCTTTTATAGAGTCAGACTTTTAGACCCATGTGTTCTCACTTCCTGCTTTAATTTAACCCAGTCATGGGATACTAGATAATAGAACTGCTACCTACTAGCGAACAGGGAATCTGTGCAATTGCTGACACTTTCTGTTGCACATGGATAGACACATAGTGTATTGAGACTCAGTTGCAAAAAAATGAACAAATAGTACTTGCTTAAAAAGGGTAAATTCCTCATCTGGCTCATTCTTTGATCTCTTCAATTTTAGTTGGTTTGGTTCATGGGTCCCTGGCTAAGCGTCATATTGTAAACTCTTAGTATTATCCTGGGGAGAGTCATTACAGTAGTTTCCCTGTTACACTGTATCCTCTCAAAGAGTCTTAAATATCTATATGCAGCCCTCTGCTGAATGCTAAATGGTCTCTCTCCAGCTGGAATGATAAAACTCCAAGAAACGCATGATAATGAGGACACCTTAACCTATAAATGATGTGTTAAGACCGAAAACCCAAAACGATGATTACTGAGAGTAGTGCTGATGCCCTGTTTTAGTAACTCTCACCTAGGTGAGAACCTGACCAAAAGGGGAGAACTGTTAAATAATATTTCTAGGAGGCCATTGGTTGGGACTGAGCTCCTGCACAAGGCCCAAGAGACCAAACCAAGATGGAGTCCCTCAAGCTGAAGTTCCACGCCACCAAGCCAAAACTAAGCTGTCGATCTGACCTTCCAAGATCAGGAGAGAGTGAGTTAACAGTCAAATCTTCAAACAAGCCAGTTTCAGCCAACATACAGAAGTCTCCTCTGCTTTAACCTTTAAAAGGGACCGAAATAACCAATCAGATTTTTGATCTGTTTCTACTTTCTTCAGCCTTTTTCTGTCTATAAAGCCAAACTCCTCTGCTCAGCTCATCAGAATACTCATTCTGTAAGACAGAATGTGGTGTTGTCCGATTCCAGAATCACAAATAGAAGCCAGTTAAGATTTTTGAATGTGGTGTAATTTTGTCTTTTGACAAGTAACAGGAGATGGAATAGAGAAGGTCCTTATGTGAGTGCTCCATTGTTAAAGCAAAGCTGCATTTAAGCTTTACTGTCAACGCAATGCAGAGCTGGGTGACAGAGGCTTTTTGAAGTGTCAGGTGTCTTAAATGCCTAACACCAAAATGATCAGTAGTATCAGTCTAGCTCTACTACTGGGGAGAAAACCCTTTCCTGGTGCAATTATTGCTCTGAACAGCGTAATTTTTCTACCAACCACAGAATAAATGGACTAATGGAGAGGGGAAGGGTGGCGAGGCAAGAGAAGTTGGACAGCTGTAAATCTTGGATTGATGGGTGAGGGGATGCCCTCTGGTAGGGGGTGTTGTGGGGATTCTGCTGAGCCCCCACTGGGGGCTTGGTCTGGAGTCAAGGGCAGCGTCCCCTGCCCCACTCACAAGTGCAGGGAGGGCACTGGGTGGAGCAGGAAGCCTTGCTTGGAGTTTAACTGGCTGCAGCACCGTGAGCTCCACATGTCTCTCTGGACCTCTGCTTCCTCCTGGATCAGCGAGGGCCAGGATGAATGATCTCTAATGCCCCTTCTAGCTCTGACAACCGTTGAGGTGCTGGATGGCAAACAACTCTTAACAAGAAACATGCAGCCTCCGAGTGTTAAGTGGGTCTGGACTTCCATGAAGACAGAGGCACAGATTTACCCAAACCACCAAGAGCCAGTCAGACCTGGTGGTCTAGTGACTAGAATCTACTGACCCTCAGCTCTGGACTCTACACCGAAGAATTCAGGAGCTCTCCTGACACAGAGAGTTAGTTTATGCCCTGTCCAGCTAGTCAGCACTATGCGGTCACCAACTCATGCCTTCCTTCCTCCTTGCTGACAGTTTCTGGGCAGTGACGTCACTGGATGGACAAAATGCCTTCTCTACCCCTCACACCTGGCTGACACCCCCGGTCTGAGTCAAGAGGATCCACGGCACCAGCAGAAGGTTCTACACTCACGCTGTCATTTGGAATCCTGTGAGGCTCAGGCCACTGGCCACCATGAACGTGCAGTGGGCTCCTACTCTGCACCAGGCTCTGTGCTGGGAATCACAGGTACACATAGCAGATGTGGCCTGTGCCGTGGAAGAGAAGGGGGGCAAAACCAACACTGCTCACTGTCACTCAAACACACGCCTTACGAACCTCACCTCCATAGCTCGGCACATGCTGTTTTTCCACCTGGAGTATCCTTCCTCCTCCACCCACCTCTCTACCTGCCCAGGCTCCAGAAAGCCAAAAAGAGCTGGAGTCAATGACCTTCTCCAGCATCTGTGTAAACCTGGAAAGTTACTTACCTGTTTTAAAAAAAGAGGAAGACAATATCCATAGTACAGATATTTTCCCGGGTAAGGATTGTCATAATAATGGCCTGTGAAGGCCCTTAGCAAAGTGCTGGCATAAGGCAAGCGTGTAATAAATAACTACTGGCATGAAGGCCTCTGGTGATCAGATTAGCCCTCTGTGACTTTCCCCTCCCCTGGGTTCCCATAAGAAATGGCTGAACCACTCCTTTGGCCTTTTTCAAACACAGCTTTGTAACAGTTGCCAATTTTCCTTCTATGAGTAGCTCATTTCCCCAACTGCAATGCAAACAATGCTTATCACTCAACAAATATTTGCTGATTGATTAGCCAGTGAATAGCAATGAAGGTCTAAATTGGATACAACCAGTTTCCAAAACATACAGTGAGACAACCGGAGCTGCTCTGGAATAGAAAGGGGATAAACCAGGTTCTCAGAAACACATGCTCTGCCCCGGGGCAGCAGGTGCCTAGAGAATCTACTGCCCTAGTCACTGAAGAAATGAACCCTATTCAGTCAGATTAAATGCCTGAAGCCAGCCAAATATGGCTGCAAAATTCTTCTCTCTCCCTGTGACCTTCACTCTGTCTCTGTTCCTGCCTCAAGATACAGGTGTCCTCAGCAGAGAGCATGGGCAGTACTCACACAGCCCAGGGTGGGATGAGCACAGCCCTCTGCGGGCCCACAACCAACCTTTCTCAAGAAACCTCAGGACACAGAGATGAAGCGAGACCAACCCTAGCTTCTCAGCAGGGCCTCACCAGGGAACACCCCTTTGGGTTAGAGTGGAGGACATTCTTCATTGCAGGCTGACAGCAGATTCTGCCAGTGCCCTCCCAACACGATCTGGCTCAAGGACTGACTCACACCAATGGCTCACAGGAGACCTCCAGTTTCCACTGAAATCTCCCACCTCCCATTTACCCTGGCTCACCCCCACAGACTTTGATCCTTCCATTTCCTTTTCAGAGGTTAAATTCTGATTTCGCTTTCTTATTTTAGAGAAAGGCTCCATGCACTGGGGAATCCTGTTTGGAAGTGGTAACCCTCATCCAGGAGCAGAATGGGTCAGTATCTAGACATGCAACTCATAGGAAAACTAAAAACTCTGCATTGCAAGAGGCCAAACATGTGAGTCAGCTGGAAGCTAATCTTTCCCCCCAGCACTCTCAAGAAGGAAGAAATTCTAGAATAAGTCCATCTGCAGCCACTGAACACCTCTTATAACCTCAAAGTGGAAAGCGATCTGGGAATTTTTATGATGTTCATGCCCACAATGTCCCCTGAGATTACCTTATCTTAGGTGTTCCAGTTCCATGATCCATGTTCTTCCTCCCTCCTCCCCTGACCAGATGTGTTGACATCACTCCTCCCCTGACCAAATGTGTTGAAATGGTGTGAAGCACTGCTCAGAAAGGCACGTTCAGCTAATGGGACCAGTGAGGCATGTAGGCAAGTGTAAACTGGAGGTCAAAACAGCTTATAAGTTTCATTTAAAAATAATTTTCCAGGACCATATGGCTAAAAGATGTACACATGGTTCCATCTCGCCTCTTCAGAAACCAATCTGCAAGCTGCTCAGGAAAAGAGGAGGGTGAGTCTGAAAACTAACATCTACAAAGGCACTGTTCTACCACAAAGAGTTGAATTTATCAAGAAATACCAACAGTGGAACAATGGTTCCAGTTCCCCTTTCTCTAGAAAAAGGCCTATTTCCAAAGATGCCCACAGTTCTCATTCAATGACCATTTCAGGGTAGGAGGCCGTGCTAGCGACCTAGCACCAGAGTCAGGAAGTAACTCCATTCAGAGGCAGCAAGTCAGGAACAAATCACTATCACTATACCACTCCTGCCCGCCAAATACCCACTACCTGGATTAGGTGGATGTGTGACACCACAGGAATCTTTAAATTGTGGAAAGGAAACTATGAGACAATGTATGCCGAGTACTTAGTAAGGTGCCTGAAATGATAGGTGCTCCGTAAATATTAATTACTATTATTACCATATTTCCTCGACTCTAAGTCTTAAGTGTTTCAAAATTTTAGCATTTCTGTAATAGAGTTCACCTTCAAATCTTTATACATGTAGTGGTTTTTTCCTATCCTTCTACCCCTTGGGCTGTCATAAAATGAACAGTGTGTCTCACAGTTGATGGTGTCTTGGAATTCAGGAAATATAGTTTTGGTGCCCCAACCAGGGATTGGGAACATGGAGCAAGAGCCAAACACGCACCAAAGGCCTCTGGGTGCATGGGTTTAAAATATAAGGGTCTGAGCGGGGGAAGAGAGAGAAGGATGTGGCCCAGAAGCTAAGGAGCTGGAGGCGGCAGGTCAGGAGAGGCCCGGAACAGAGATAGGAAAACTGCCAGGTGGACATACCCACATCAAAGACAAAAATGAGAAAGGAAGTCTATGTACCACCTGGTCAACCAGTCGAGGGAGTGGAGAAAGGTGGCAGGGAGGCAAAATGGATGTCCGTTCCCTTTTCTCCCCAGCACTGACCCACAGCAGCTAGGGAACCTGGCAGGAAGATGACATGGGTCCCTGGACGAGAGGAAGAGGACTGCCACAAGGCTGGCCCAGGAAACGGTAAGGTGTCAGCGGACCATGCGGAGGAAGGAACAAAGGAGACCTCTCGCAGGGAAGGAGGCAGTAACCTGGCGGGGGACGAACCGGGCGAGCAGGGCAGGTCTGGGGGCCCAGGCCGCGGAGAGGGAAAGAAGCTCGGGATGAGGGCCAAGAGGAAAAGGCAAGGGAGCGGGAGGCAAAAATGGAGCTGAGAAACATGAAGGTGGTGGGCGTGGGATGCGCGGAGAGGAAGAGGTGGGCGGAGGTGACTGGAAGAGGGACGCGCTCCCGGAGTAGGAGGCTGCCCACCGGGCAGGTGGAGGGGTCCGGGCGGCGGGGCACGGGGGAGCGGGCCGCCCCCGCTTCTCACCTTTGACGTCTTCGGCCAGCGCCTTCCACGTCGGGGCGAAGGCGATGCAGTGGCCGCACCAGGAGGCGAAGAACTCCACGGCCCAGGCGCTGCGGGAGCCCAGCACCGCGCCGCGCACCGTGTCCGCCTGCAGCAGCGTCAGCGGGTCGGAAGGCGAATAGAGCGCCGACCGCGGGGCCGCGTTAGCGCCGGGAACCGCGAGCAGCCACAGCAGCAGCAGCAGCAGCGACGGCGGCGGCCCGGAGCCGCTGTTGCACCTCCTCATCCTCGGCGCTGCGCTCACCACCACACGCAAGCACCGGATGAGTCGGGTCCCGGCGCCGCGGCACCGCCTGCCTCCGCCCGCAAGGAGGAGCCACGTGGCCCCGCCCCTGAGCCCCCGCCCCCGAGCCCCCGCCCCCGAGGCCGGCCCAGCCACCCCGCCCCGCCGGCCGCTCCTGGGCGCGGGAGCGGGCGGGGCTGAGCTTGTTGCAGGGGCTGGCCCTGGCCGGGTGGTGAGCCATCCTTTCGCGGTCCGCCGAGGCCTCGGAGCAGCGCGACCCGGGTTCCCGCCTCAGGCCCCAGGAGGCGAGGTGTACAGTCCGGTAAAGGAATGGAGCGCCCGCCGAGCGGTCGCTGCGGGGGTAGCCTCGCGGAGGTTGTTTGGCCTCTCACGGCCCCCGTATCCAACGGAAGAGGAGTCCGTTGGAATAGACGACCCGGATTTCGGCTGTTGTAGGGCAGTTCCTGGGCTCCCGCGGAGCGATGAGACGTTGTGAATTAGATGTGAGAAGAGGGACGCTTGGTCTGCGACCACCAAGACCCCACAGGATCGATGCACCCACCCCTGCTGATGACCATGACCATCTAAAGGGGAACATCATTTGAGGGGCCCTACTCATGGATCAGA